>NC_000023.11:55711075-56027131 GCF_000001405.40 Homo sapiens | reverse complement strand
ATGGGGGAGAATAGCTGTGCCACAGCTGCTAGGAGCCACAGTAGTGCTGGCTGTATATGAAACTACCCATTTAGGTCAAGAGTCACTTGAAAAGCTGTTAAGCTGGTACTTCTACATCTCACACTTGCCAGCTCTAGCTAAAACAGTAGCGCAGCAATGCGTTACCTATTGACAGCACAATGCAAAGCAAGACCCCTCTGTCCCTCCCGGCATACAAGCCTATGGAGTAGCTCCTTTTGAAGATCTTCAAGTGGACTTCACAGAGATGCCCAAATGCGGAGGTAAGAAGTATTTACTGGTTCTAGTGTGTACTTACTCTGGGTGGGTAGAGGCTTATCCGACACGAACTGAAAAAGCTCGTGAAGTAACCCGTGTGCTTCTTTGAGATCTTGTCCCTAGGTTTGGACTGCCGCTATGGATTGGCTCAGATATTGGGCCAGCATTTGTGGTTGACTTAGTACAGAAGACAGCAAAGGTATTGGGAATCACATGAAAGTTACATGCTGCCTACCGACCTCAGAGTTCTGGAAAAGTGGAGCGAATGAATCGGACTGTCAAAAATAGTTTAGGGAAAGTATGTCAAGAGACAGGATTAAAATGGATACAGGCCCTTCCTATGGTATTGTTTAAAATTAGGTGCACCCCCTCTAAGAAAACAGGATACTCCTCTTACAAAGTATTATATCATAGTCCTCCTCCTATACTGCGAGGACTTCCGGGTACTCCCCAAGAGTTAGGTGAAATTGAATTGCAGCGACAGCTACAGGCCTTGGGGAAAATTACCCAGACAATCTCAGCTTGGGTAAATGAGAGGTGCCTGGTCAGCTTATTCTCCCCAGTTCACCCTTTTTCTCCAGATGACCGTGTGTGAATCAAGGACTGGAAAGTAGCTCCTCTGCGGCCATGATGGAAAGGACCCCAGACTGTTATCATGACCACTCCCACAGCTGTAAAGGCGGAAGGAATCCTGGCCTGGATCACACAGCAGCATAAAGCCTGCAGCCACTGAAACCTAGGAGGCCAAACCAAGCCTGGACAATCCCTGTAAAGTGACTCTGAGGAGGATGACAAGCCCTACTCCAGTCAAACCCGGAAGTTGACTGGTCTACGCACGGCCGAAGCATGAGGAAAATTGTCATGGGACTTATTTTCCTTGTGACATGGACTTGTGTGGTAAAAGCTTCCACTGCTTCTTTTCACACGGAGGACTGCTTTCAGTGTGTACATCAGGTCACTGAGGTAGGACAACAAGTTAAAACAATCTTTTTGTCCTATAGTTATTATGAGTGCCTAGGAACACCAAAAGGAACATGTTTATATAATAACACTCAGTACAAAGTATGTAATCCAGAAAGTGATCAGCCTGATGTGTGTTATGACCCCTCTGATCCTCCCATGATCACGGTATTTGAAATAAGACTAAGGACTGGCCCTTTTCTAGGTGACACAAGTAAAGTAATAGCTAGAACAGAAGAAAGAGGGGTCCCCAAACATGTAACCCTAAAATTCGACACTTGTGCCACTATTAATAGTAATCAGCAAGGAATAAGATGCGGTTCTCTAGATTGGGAAAAGAGTTACACAGCAGAAAATAAGTATATCTGCCATGAATCATATTCATGTACAAATGTGTGTCAATACTGGTCTTGTGTCATCTGGGCTACTTGGAAAAAAGATGAATAAGATCTTGTTTGGCTCCAAAAAGGAAAAAGCAGCCCCTCCTGCACAAGTGGAAGCTGCAACCCTTTAGAATTAATAATTACAAATCCTTCAGACCCAAAGTGGGAAAAAGGAGAGCACGTATCTCTAGGCATTGATGGAAAAGGACAAGATCCTAGAATAAATATCTTAATAAAAGGAGAGGTTCGAAAACGCTCTCTAGAGCCAGTATTTCAGACTTTCTATGATGAACTAAATGTGCCAGTACCTGAGATTCCAGGAAAAACTAGAAATTTGTTTTTGCAATTAGCTGAGCATGTAGCACAGTCTTTAAAATCACTTTGTGTTATGTTTGTGGAGGAACTGTAACAGGAGATCAATGGCCATGGGAAGCCCAAGAATTAGTCCCTACGGACCCAGTTCCTGATGAATTCCCAGCCCAAAAGAACCATCCTGACAATTTCTGGGTTCTAAAAGTCTCAATTATTGGACAATATTGCATAGCTAGAGAAGGAAAAGTACTTTGGGAGGCCAAGGTGAGAGAAGAGAAAAAGAGACCCCTCATATTGTTTTACATTGTTTTATACTCAGTACCCATTTTAAGAAGAAACAAGGAAGTGAAACCAAAGGCAGGCAGCCCGGTGCCAGGCACCAGACCCAAACCCAGTCCCAAAACCAGGCCTTTAAAATTCAACCCATGACCTAGCAACCGATGTTATCCATAGATTCCAGACATTGTATGGAAGGACATTGTGAAACTTCTCCTTCTGTTCTGTTTCACTCTGATTACCGGTGCATGCAGCCCCTGTCACATACCCCCTAGATTGCTCGATCAATCATGGCCCTTTCACGTAAAATCTTTAGCATTGTGAGCCCTTAAAAGGGACAGAAATTGTGCACTCAGGGATCTCGGATTTTGAGACATTAGTCTGCCGATCCTTCCAGCTGATTAAAGCCACTTCCTTCACTACCTTGGTGTCTGTGGGGTTTTGTCCGTGGCTCGTCCTGCTGCAAAGGTGGGCAGATCACTTGAGGCCAGGAGTTCCAGACCAGGCTGGCCAACATGGCAAAACCCTGTCTCTACAAAAAATACAAAAATTAGTCCAGTGTGGTGGTGCGAGCCTGTAATTCCAGCTATTTCGGAAGCTGAGGCAAGAGAATAGCTTGAACTCGGGAGGCAGAGGTTGCAGTGAGCCAAGATCGCGCTACTGCACTCCAGCCTGGATGACAGAGAGACTCTAACTCCAAAAAAAAAAAAAAAGAAATTAAAAAGACATTTTGTTCACCATCAGATTGATAAAGATTAAAAATATTGTCAGTACGCAGTGTTGTAAAATAAATTTTTTAAAAAATTAAATGTGTGGAAACATTCAATCTCATAAATTGGTGGGCATGTAATTTGTTACAGCTTCCTTAGAGAAAACTAATATATATCTATCAAATATTAAAATGTATATATCCTCTGATCTAAATAATTCTACTTGTATGACTATTCTCATACAGTTGTATAAAATTATATGTGGAAAAATATCACTGGAGTTCTGTTTGTGCTAGCAAAATACTAGAAACAACCTAAATAAATGTCCATCAGTAGATTACTGAATAAATGCATCAGAGCATGTTGATAGAATGACATTCTTTACATCCATTGAAAAGTCTGCTAAGAGTTGAGATTTTTGAAAAGGGGGAGTAAAGACCTGCAAAAATATTTTCTTCCATAAAAGCAATAAGAATGCTGGTAATAATTCTCAAAATCAACATTTTTAGAACTCTAAAAATTAAACTCTTGCAACAATCAAAGGAGTGTTTGTGTTAAAAAAAAAAAGTATGAATACCAGTGTATATAACAAGCTTTGTATTTGGGGGTTCAGTTTAGGTGAAGGTATATTTATCATATCATCTTGATTCATTGACCCATTTATCATTATAAAATGCCCTTATTTACATCTAGGAACAATTTTGTCAAAAATTCTGTTTGGTCTGATGTTAGCACAGCCACTTTGGCCATGATATTCAAAATACAGCTTTTTCATCCTGTTTGTGTCTTTGTTTGTCTCATAGAAAGCACGTGGTTGGATCACAGTTTTTAAAAATCCATTCTGTTTGTCTCTGCCTTTTGGTTACAGCAGCTAATCAATTTAAACTCAATATAATTACTGATAAAATAGGATTCACATCTATCATTTTGCTGTTTGTTTTCTGTATGTTTTATATATTTTGTTTTCCATTGCTGTCTTCTTTCTTATAAATATTTTGCCATATACCATCTTAATTCCCTTGTTTCTATTACTATAGTTTATAATTTAAAATTAAATAATATACAAAACTTTGCCCCTATAAATCTCAATTCCCTCCCCATCTTTTGTGTTGTAATTGTCCTATAAATTACATATTTAAATATTGCATGCCCATTAACACACTTATGGACATCTTATTCCCCATATTTTCTTTGTAAGCTTTTTGGTTAACCTAATGTTTGCACCAATCCTTATCTACCACCTCAGGTGTTGTGATGTGATATAAAATTATTGGTGGTAGATTTTATATATATATACATAATTTTCTCTGATTATTTCTGACAAATGGCTCCATGGAATGGTCTATTCACCCTGGGGGAGCTTTTAGTCAGGTCTATTAAAGGTAGCCTTACACATGAGGTCTCCCTGAGAGCTGTCATACAGGTTGAATAATGACAGTTTTCTGGTAAGGGACTTTGAAGAGGCTCCAACCTCATTCTACCCTCTTCGGTGGTTACCACGTTGCTGCTTTTCACTGTGACTTGCATGCTGTTGATTTTCAGGGCTGCTGTGGAACTGGGGAGAGGGCATAGGAACAGGGCAAATTAAAATGATAAAAAGCTCATGCTCCTACTGAGCTTCAGATATTTTTCTTTTTTTTTTCTTCTTTTTTTTTTTTTTTTTGGTCAGACAGAGTCTCGCTCTGTCACCCAGGCTGGAGTGTAGTGGCGCGATCTCGGCTCACCGCAAGCTCTGCCTCCCGGGTTCACGCCATTCTCCTGCCTCAGCCTCCCGAGTAGCTGGGACTACAGGCACCCGCCACCACCATGCCCAGCTAATTTTTTGTAATTTTAGTAGGCACGGGGTTTCACTGTGTTAGCCAGGATGGTCTCGATCTCCTGACCTCGTGATCCGCCCGCATCAGCCTCCCAAAGTGCTGGGATTACAGGCATGAGCCACCATGCCTGGCCTCAGACATTTTTCTTGAATAAAGGCTCCATGGATTTCTGCAAGCCTTTGGTTAATTTCTAGAGTTCTGAAAACATTGATTCTCACATTTTTTTGGCCAGTGTTCTCATTGGTTTTTATAGATAAGGGATATTCTACAGGTTTTCACTGCACCATTTTCACTGATGACACACCAGACTGTAATCTTAAATTCAGATATTTTATGTGAGGCTTTTTGTTTGTTTCATTTTGTTTTGGTTTAAATTGTAGTGAATATGGTTGACACTTGCTTTGAATTTTTTCCAAGACGCATTTTTTTTTTTTTTGCTCTATTCTCTGCACACATTTCTGGGACATCAATTACCCAATTTTCATGTACTGAATGAGGCTATGAAGTATTTATGAGAATTATCTTGGACCTGCACAAGGCCTGCTGTTCCCTCAGCAAAGCACAGTGCCAAGGTGGGGTAAACATATATTTAGATACATATCAAGCTTTGGATTCCAGACTTTCACTAGAAGCTATCAATCTTACCACTCACTAGCAGTACTTACTAGTAGTACTTAAAAACTACTCACAGAAATTATATTTCTGTACTTTGTATTTCCTGATGAGCATAATTCTGACATCTCTGCTATTTAACTTCAAAAAAATTCAATGGGAAAAACTGTATTTTTGGAGTTATGTAAAAAAAAAAAAAAGAGCGGGTCAGTATAACCACTTTGGAAATCTATTTGGCAGTACTGACTAAAACTAATCACATGCATAACCTCTTGCACCGCAATTCTACCCCTTTATATATAATCAACAGAAACGGGTGTGCACATATGTAGCAAAAAATTACTTACAAAAAAATTCATACAGCTTTTATTATTTTAATTGTATGATTATTATTAATAGCCAAAAACTGAACATGACCCAAATGTCCATCAGTCTTAGAAAGAGTAAATAAATTATGGTATAGTCATACAATGAAATACTACTGAGAAATGAAAAAAGAACAAACCACTGCTGCACACAACAGCATCAATGAATCTCAAAATCATTAAGTTGCATGAAATAAGATACATACAAATAAATAGATATCATATGGTTTCATTCATACAAATTTCAAAAACAGATGGTACTAATCTATAATTCTATAAGATGGGTGAGAAATAATAATGTTTCATATTTCTGGTGCCAATTACACAGGTATGTTAAATTGATGAAAACTTGCTGAGCTGTGCATGTATAATTTCTGTACTCTTTCATATGTATGCTGTATTACAATAAATATCAGCAAATCAGAATGTAAACATACATATTCTGACTGAAGAGGAGAGAAAGGAAGCATTTGAGGCAAAGGGAACAATATGTACAAAGGTATTGTGATGTGAAGAGCATGCTGTGTTCTGTGTTATTGGAATGGTGATTAGTTCAGTAGGGCAGGAGCACAGCTATACTTATAGGTAAAAGTGGAGAGGTAGAGCAAGCCTTTTATTTCTGGAATACAGTAAGAGTGTTTAAAAATGGTTTTGACTTGTTTATTCCCAAAATTAAGTCTACTCTCACCATATATATTGCATATATGTATTTACAATAGGCCGTCTATCTAAATGTTCCGGAAGCACCTCAACATAGACACTCTGGAACAAAATATCTTCAGTCTGATACTGCATCCACAGACTAAAACTTGTTCTTCCTTTGGTACCTTGGCACCATTCTTCACTCCATTGCCCAAATCAGAATCCTGTGAATCACCTTTACTTCCTCTTCTCCCACAACCAATCAATAGCCAAATATTGGTGATACCATATCATGTCATTTATAACTTTAGAATCTACCTGCTTCTCTACAGCCCAATGTCTACTACCTTACTTTAAGGCCCACTGTTTCACATGGACTTATCACAAAAGCCTCTAGACAGTATTTCTGCTGCTAGTTTCTCCTCTTTTCTAAGCATGCTCCACGCTGCTGTAGCAGGATGTTTCTAAACACCAAAATCTTTAGCATGCCTTATATTGCCCTTCACAATCTTTCCTTTTTTTTCCCCAGAGCTCTTATCTTCTCTAAATAAAAGTGCTGTCCTAAATAGCACTCCAGCTGAATACATGCTGATTTCCATTATGTTCAAAATGCTGTTTTAGAACTCCTTTCATATTTGGTGTATGTAGAATTCTAGAATAAGGGATATAATAACTAAAAACTTTGTTGTGCCTTCCACCTAACTTTTATCTGACTGGTCAGATGCCACGACACATCAATACTTGATTGTGGTCAATTCTCTATTCTGTTTTTATTAATCAAGCTTATCATTGTGGCCTTCTGTCACATTGCAGTCAGCTGTCAAATAAGACTCTGAGATTAAGGTTTGAGTTTAGGTAGAGGAAAATGGCCTCACAGGCCTCCAAACTTAACCATAAGATCTAGCTTGACCTACCACAGTTCTCTGAATAGAGTTCTAGGAAACAAGTCTGTCTAACTATGTGTTACATTCCTTTCCCTTACCATTCTTTCTTGTGTTCCTCAGGGACTTTGTGGAGAGGACCATGATAGCTCCAAGATAACTATTCTTGGTTTTCTGAGCCAAACACCATTAAAGTCTACTATTACTTCTATATGCATAGAAGAAAATCAGCCTCAGGACTTTATCTTACCACATAACCCTCATCACTAACTTTATGTACCCACCTCTGCTTTTGACTCTTTATTCCAAAAACTAAGTCCACTCTCAGTAATCTGCCACAGAGATGTTAAAGTATTTGTGAATATCCAAAACATAGGTCTTTGCAGAGTTTGCTGCATAGAGCAAGTGCTCAATACATCAACTGAATGTTAATGAAGATAATCCAATAACCTTTAAAATAGACAGTCAACGAAAAATTTTCTGGGAAAGAAGTGCATTTTATTCCTAGGTATTCTCAGCACTCTCTGAAAGGAAGATTCTAAAACAGCAGCCATAGTTTAGTAAAGATCCATTCTCCAAGAGAAGTCTAAAGAGTGGCTTAATAACATATAACAATCTCCAGGGGGCTGGTTTTTATATCAAATGACTATCTGAGAAGATCTGGTCATATTTGTGAAATCCAATACTAACTTTTCCTTTGTAGTCAGGAGACTATCATATACAACTGGCTGTTACTATTTTTTTTATAATGCTGATGAGTTCTTTCCTTTCTCCTTCTATACAGAATTCAAAGCAGATTGAACAGACTTAAACAGCAGTATGGGGATTCCACCCAAACAAATGACCAAAACATCTGGAAAGTAAAGGCTGTCAGAGCCTAAAATCCCTGAGATGATCAAAGAGCTCTACTAAAGAAGGTGGAAGTTCATTCCTTAAAAATATGTTGAAAAGAATGTCCTAGTCACTTTTCTGAGATCCTGTCTAAATATAGCCAGATTCCTACAGCTTGAAAGTTTTATCATGACATACACACACCAAACACACACATCCCTCTCCTTCTTCCTGTCAATCTCTTACTCTCTCATTTGTTTTAAACCACACACACACACATACAAACAAATGCCCAGTGTAACCATATAGAATTGCTAATATTTAACAATTTTTACCTACAAAAATGGCAATTTTTTATGGTTTAACTGAATATATATATACATATAGTATAGCAAATTAGCATATATTATATAATAATATGTATATGTGTGTAAATTAACATGTATTATATAATAAAACATATTGATGTGTGTGTGTGTATTTTTCCCTCAGAGAGTTAGGCCATACTTGTTTCTATGAAAACCAAACTTTGCCCAAAGGGCATAATTCAGCTGCTATGACTAGTTTCATTCTTCTTTCCACCCAATACACATTCATACACATAAATAGAAAAAACTCTAAAGTCTTTATTATGACTTTCATTCAGAGCTATGTCAAAGATAGGTTTCTTTTTTCTTCTGAGTAGTATATTTTTATTTATAGTTAATAATGTGGGAATTAAAGTTAATAAAAATTAGGAGAAAACTATGTTAAGTGAAATAAGTAAGGCACCGAGAGACAAATGCATGTTCTCACTTTTATGTGGAAGCTACACAACTGATTTCATGGAGGCAGAGAGTTTGTAATGGTGATTGCCAGAGGCTGCGAAGGGTAATGGGGATAGGAGAATGAAGAGGAGCTGGTTAACAGGTACAAAGATACAGTTAGATAGAAGAAATAAGTCCTAGTGTTTGATAACACAATAGGGCCACTATAGTTAACAATAATTTATTGTACATTTCAAAACAGCTAGAAGAGATCTGGAATGCTCTCAACACAAATAAATGATAAGTGCTTGAGATGATGGATATCCCAATTACCCATATTTGATCATTACACATTGTATGTTGGTATTACATGTACCCTATAGATATGTACAACTACTATGTATCCATAAAAATTTAAGAATTTAAAATTAATAAAAATAAATAAAACACTTCAAATGCTATTTGGGAGTAGGGTCAGATATATTGGGAGAAGAGGTAAAACAGTCTTGATCCAAAATGAATGCAATTTTTCTTCATTTGGCTTTATGTCCATCGTTTTTTACAAAAATCCTTCTTTTATCTTTAACTAAAAAGAGAACTAAATAAAAGGTTATCATATACAACTGAAGGGAAATATCCATTCCACTTAAGATTATGACACAATCAGTACTACCCCTCAAAAAATCACACACCCACTAGCAAACATACACTACCATTATCACTACATCCAGTGCACTGGGGGAATACTTGCTCACTTTTCATGGCAGAGCAATCTTTTCCATACCCTACAGTGAACATTAGTGTCAGTCTCAGACCAACTGCATCTTCCTCCATTGCGCTTCCCCGTTCTACTATTTTCTCTTTCCTACAAACTGCTTCTGGTTTTGTCTGAAAGGGTGACTGTGCCCTCTGCCTCCTCCAGGGCAGAAAGAATGCTTTCAGCATTGGTCAGGAGCCTCTGACCAGGCAAGCAAGGAGGCCATGTTCTAGGCTGGCTGCCATTGTGCTTGGAAGCCTACCTTACTTCTCTTAGGCCACCCTCTCAGCATACATACCAACTGCTACAGCAATGGCATGCCTACAAGTTTGCCAGGTCCCTAATACTAGCTCTTCAGTCAGCTTCTGCGTTACAGGGAAAAATTAATAACAAATAAAAACATATAGATCCTGCTACTATTCCCTTCAGGTTAGACTTTGACCAAGGTTGGGAGCAGGAAACAGATTTCTAGACCAGCCTCTGTAGTATTTTCTATAATAGAAACAACCTCTCTTATTTTAAAATCAAATGTTAAATATAGATATATAGCACCTCCCTCAATCCACCACTAACCTCTCCAGTGAACTACTGGACATATAAAAATGTGGCTTTATTATAAAAAGTTTACTTTATAACATATCCACATGGTATTTCACTTAAAATATATTTGTATAAAAACTATAAAAAATAAACTTATAAGGTAAATGTAGTAACATAGTAAAATGGATTTGACAATCCAAATGTCTCTATGTGCAGCAGAAGGAATAGAAAAATCTAATTTGAATCCTAGTCTAATATTAACATATTGTGTGGCACTAGGCAGGTCACTCCTCCTCTTTGACTATAGTAGTTAAAATGTAGACTCAGGAACCACAGTAGTTGTTTGACCTTGGATAAGTTAAATAACTGCTTTATGCCTTAGTTTCCCATCTATAAGATGGGGATAATAATAGTTCTTATAATGTTACAGTGGAGATTCATGGCTTATTTAACGTGAAGTACTTCTAAGAGTGCATGATTATATTGTCTAATAAATGTGAATTGTTATTGTTTCCAGTAAGTTTTCATTTGGTATAGGAAATGAATGGCAGATTCTTATCAATCTTACAGTCTAGTTAACTAAGAATTACTATGTCTATCACCAGGAGTTATTACATTTAAAATCACAATTAAAATGGAAGGAAAACAAATTAATGCAAACTACTATGACAGCTTCTAGGGCTTCAGCATTGGGAATCTCAATTTTGATTGATCTACTCAACAAATGTGCTGAATACTCACTCTGTGCCAGGCACTATATTATATACTTCACATACATTACCTTATATTTACCTCACAATACTTCTGTGTAGAAGCTAGCGTTGTGCCAGCATTATATTGAGGCTAAATGATTTGCCCAAGGTCACACAGTTGTCACTGCTTGAGCTAAGATGTGAACCCAAGTTCCAAAACCCAGGTTCAATAGCATGCTAAAATTGGGCTGAAACTGTATGAATCTCTAGAAGCAAATGCTCCAAAAAAGCATTCACAATTAGAGCTTATTGTTTGTTAGTTACTTTGTACACACAAACACATACACATATGTACACACATACACACATATGGTCTGGGAAAGAAAATGCTATTTAAGAGTTTACTTATTTAAAAGGAATAGAGACTGAGAAGACAAAATTGTCCACTGTTCCCAAAATATTTCTGCGGCTTCCATTTTGGCTTCTAATTTTTTCCCTTTCCCGCAAACAAAATCCTGTGGGGTCTCTTATGTTAGTCTCCTTCTCTACACCACCATTGATTCTGCCCTTTTGTACACTAGTTAACTATTAAAACAACCTCTTAACTCTTTTCCCTGGTGGTATTCTACCCTTCCTCCACTGCAGTCTGTATGGTTTTTACCTTGCTTGAACCCACTCACCTAGACTTTTAGCAAAATGCTAGAATCAGGTCAGAAAGTGCTAGAGCTACAAGAGACCTATGTATTGAGCAAGGCAGAGATTATGTCATTTTCCTATTGGAAAACCACCAGTGACCTAATAGAAAATGTACAAAGGCAATTCACAGAATCAGAAAGCCAAAATTGCCAACAAACAGATGAAAAGATGTTCAGCCTCATTAGTTACCAAGGAAATTCACATTATAACAAAAATGCGATGTTATTTTAACCCATCAAGTTGGAAAACAATATAAATGGTTGGTGAGTGTGTGAGATAATACAGATTTTCCAATACTGCTGATGGGAATGAAAGCTAGTACAGCAACCTTAGAGAGTGATTCAGGCAAAAGATGTATGTATTTTGTGACACATCAAATCTGACGTACTGTAGATATGTCTTCTTAATCCAAGGTCTAGAGAACTTCAGGAAGTCCATGATGTTGAATGGGGAAAAATTATATTTTTATTTTTATTTTGCTTTATTTTAAGTTCAGGGGTACATGTGCTGAATGTGCAGGTTTGTTACATTAGTAAACATGTGCCATGGTGGTTTGCTGCACAGATCATCCCATCATCAAGTTATTAAGCCCAGCATCTATTAGTGAATTTCCTGATGCTTTCCCTCCTGCCATACTCCCCAACAGGCCCCACTGCATGTTGTCCTCCCCTTACCATGTCCAAATGTTCTCATCATTCAGTTCCCACTTATAAGTGAGAACTTGCAGTATTTGGTTTTCTCCTCCTGCATTAGTTTGCTGAGGATAACAGCTTCCAGCTCCAACCACATCTCTGCAAAAAAAAAAAAAAAAAAAAAAACATGATCTTGTTGCTTTTTATGGCTACATAGTATTCTATGGTGTACATGTACCACATTTTCTTTAACCAGTCTATCACTGATGGGCGTGTGTGTTGATTGCATGTCTTTGATATTGTGAATAGTGCTGCAATGCACATATGCGTGCATGTATCTTTATAATAGAACAATTTATATTCCTATGGGTATATACACAGTAATGGGACTGCTGGGTCAAATGATATTTCTGGTTCTAGGTCTTTGAGGAATAGCCACACTGTCTTCCACAAAAGTTGAACTAATTTACATTCCCACCAACAGTGTAAAAACATTCCTTCTTCTCCGCAGTCTTGCCATCATCTGTTGTTTCTTGACTTTTTAATAATTGCCATTCTGACTGGTGTGAGTTGGTATCTCATTGTGGTTTTGATTTGCATTTCTCTAATGATCAGTGATGTTGAGCTTGTTTCCATATGTTTGTTGGCCACATGTATGTGTTCTTTTGAGAAGTGTCTGTTCATGTCCTTTGCCCACTTTTTAACAGGGTTGTTTTCTTATAAATTTGTTTGTTTCTTGTAGATTTTGGATATTAGACATTTGTCAGATGGATAGGTTGCAAAAAGTTTCTCCCATTCTGTAGACTGTCTGTTTACTCTGATGATAGTTTCTTTTGCTGTGCAGAAGCTCTTTAGTTTAACAGAATCCCATTTGTAAATTTTTGCTTTTTTTGCAATTGCTTTTGATGTTTTTGTCATAAAATCTTTGCCCGTGCCTATGTCCTGAATGGTATCGCCTAGATTTTCTTTTAGGATTTTTATAGTTTCAGGTTTTACATTTAAGTGTTTCATCCATTTTGAGTTAGTTATTATATAAAGTGTAAGAAAGGGGTCCAGTTTCAGTTTTCTGCATATGGCTAGCCAGTTCTTCCAGCACCATTTATTAAATAGGGAATAGTATTAGTCTGTTCTCATGCTACTAATAAAGGCATACCCAAGACTGGGTAATTCATAAAAGAAAAGGGTTGAATTGACTCAGTTCAGCATAGCTGGGGAGGCCTCAGGAAACTTATAATCATGGCAGAAGGAGAAGCAAACATGTCATTCTTCACATGGTGGCAGCAGAAGAACGACTGCCTAGTGAGGGGGAAGCCCGTTAGAAAACCATCAGATCTCATGAGCACTAACTCACTATCATAACGAAAAAAAGAAGAAGGAAATCACCCCCATGATTCAATTATCTCCACCTGGTCCCTCCCAAGACACATGGGGATTATGGAAACCACAATTCAATGAGATGAGATTTTGGTAGGGACAAAACCAAGCCATATCATTCCACCCTTGGACCCTCCCAAATCTCATGTCCTCACATTTCAAAACACAACCATGTATTTCCAACAGTATCAAGGTCTTACTCATTCCAGCATTAACCCAAAATTCCAAGTCCAAAGTCTCATCTGAGATAAGGCAAGTCCCTTCCACCTATGAGCCTGTAAAACTGAAAGCAAGTTAGTTACTTTCTAGATACAATGGGGCTACAGGCATTGAGTAAATACACCAATTCCAAGTGGAAGAAATTGGCCAAAACGAAGGGGCTACAGGCCCCATCCAAGTCTGAAATCCAATAGGGCAGTCATTAAACCTTAAAGTTCCAAAATAATCTCTTTCGACTTCATGTCTCACATCCAGGTCTTGCTGATGCAAGAGGTAGGCTCTCATTGCCTTGGGCAGGAATCCTTTCCCCATTGCTTGTTTTTGTTAGGTTTGTTGCAGATCAGATGGTTGTAGATGGGTGGTCTTATTTCTGGGTTCTCTACTCTGTTCCATTGGTCTATGTTTTTGTACCAGTACCATGCTGTTTTGGTTAGTGTGGCCTTATAGTATAGTTTGAAATCAGGTAGCATGATGCCTCCAGCTTTGTTCTTTTTGCTTAGGATTGTCTTGGCTATTTGGGCTCTTTTTTGGTTCCATATAAATTTTAGAATAGTTTTTTTTTCTAATTCTGTGAAAAATGACAATAGTAGTTAAATGGGAATAGCACTGAATCTATAAATTACTTTGGGCAGTATGGCCATTTTCATGATATTGATTTTTCCAATGTTACTGAAGTTGCTTATCAGGTTAAGAAGCTTTTGGGCTGAGATGATGGGGTTTTCAAGATATAGGATCACATCACCTGCAAATAGAGACAGTTTGACTTCTCCTCTTCCAATTTCAATACCTTCATTTCTTTCTATTGCCTGATTTCTCTGGCCAGAACTTCCAATACTACATTGAATAAAAGTGTTGAGAGAGTGCATCCTTGTCTTGTGCTGGTTTTCAAAGGGAATGCTTCCAGCTATTGTTCATTAAGTATGGTATTGTCTGTGGGTTTGTCATAAATGGTTCTTATTATTTTGAGGTATCTTCCATCAATATTTACTTTACTGAGAATTTTTAATATGAAGGGATGTTGAATTTTATCAAAGGCCCTTTCTGCGTCTGTTGAGTTAATCATGTGTTTTTGTCTTCAGCTCTGTTTATTGATTTGCATGGGTTGAATCGGCCTTGCATCCTGGGAATGAAGCAAACTTGATTGTGGTGGGTAGGCTTTTTGATGTGCTGCTGGAATTGGTTTGCCAGTATTTTATTGAAAGTTTACTGAAAATTTTGGCATCAATATTCAGCAGGAATGTTGGCTTGAAGTTTTTGTTTTTTGTTGTATATCTGCTAGGTTTTGGTATCAGGATGATGCTGGCCTCATTAAATGAGTTAGGGAGGGGTCACTCCTTTTCAATTCTTTCAGATAATTTCAGAAGAAACGGTACCAGCTCCTCTTTGTACCTCTGGTAGAATTCAGCTGTAAATCCGTCTGGTCCTGGGATTTTTTTTGGTTGATAGATTATTACGGTCTGAATTTCAGAACTTGTTATTGGTCTATTCAGGGATTCAACTTCTTCCTGTTTTAGTCTTTGGAGGGTGTATGTGTCCAGGAATTTATCAATTTTTTCTAGATTCTCTAGTTTATTTGCATTCAGGTGTTTATAGTACTCTCTGATGGTCGTTTGTATTTCTGTGGGATCAGTAGTGATATCACATTTATCATTTTTTATTGTGTCTATTTCATTCTTCTTTCTTTTCTTCTTTATTAGTCTAACTAGTGGTCTATTTCTTAAATTTTTTCAAGAAACTGCTCCTGGATTCATTGAATTTTTTTCAAGGGTTTTTCATGTCTCTATTTCCTTCAGTTCCACTCAGATCTTAGTTATTTCTTGTATTCTGCTAGCTTTGGGATTTGTTTGCTGTTGCTTCTCTAGTTCTTTTAGTTGAGATGTTAGTTTGATAAGTTGAGCTCTTTCTAGCTGTTTGATGTGGGCATTCAGTGTTATAAATTTCCCTCAACATTGCTGCATCCAGAGATTCTAGTACATTCTTTGTTCATATCGGTTTCAAAGAACTTCTTCTTTTCTACCTTAATTTCATTATTTACCCAGGAGGCATTCAGGAGCAGGTTGTTCAATTTCCAAGTAGTTGTGTGGTTTTGAGTGAATTACTCAATCTTGAGTGCTAATTTGATTGTCCTGTGGTCTGAGAGACTGTTTGTTAAGATTTTAGTTCTTGTGTATTTGTGGAGGAGTGTTTTACTTCCAATTATGTGATCAATTTTAGAGTCAGTGCCATGTGGCACTAAAAACAATGCATACTCTGTTGTTTTTGGGTAGAGAGTTCTGTAGATATCCATCAGGTCCACTTGATCCAGAGCTAAGTTCAAGTCCTGAATATCATTGTTAATTTTCTGACTCAATGATCTGTCTAATATTGTCAGTGGCATGTAAAACTCTCCCAGTATTATTGTGTGGGAGTCCAAGTCTCTTTATAGGTCTCCAAGAATTTCTTTCATGAATCTGTGCTCCTGTGTTGGATACACATATATTTAGGATAATTAGCTCTTCTTGTTGAATTGATCCCTTTACCATTATGTAATGCCCTTCTTTCTCTTTCTTGATTTTGTTGTTGTTGTTGTTGTTTAAAGTCTGTTTGGTCATAAACTAAGATTGCAACAGATTGCTTCTATCTGCTTTTCATTTACTTGGTAAATTTTCCTCCATCCCTTTATTTTGAGCCTATGCATGTCTTTGCAAGTGAGATGGGTCTCTTGAATTCAGCACACCATGGGTCTTGACTCTTTATCCACCTTCCCATTCTGTGCCTTTTACTTGGGGGATTTTGCCAATTTCCATTAAAGGTTAATATTGTTATGTGTGAATTTGATCTGGTCATCATGATGCTAGCTGGTTATTTTGCAGACTTGTTGATGTAGTTGCTTCACAGTGTCACTGGTCATTGTATTTCATTGTGTTTTTGTAGTGGCTGGTAATGGCTTTTCCTTTCCATATTTAGTGCTTTCTTCAGGAGCTGTTGCAAGGCAGGCTTAGAGCTGACAAATTCCCTCAGCATTTGCTTGTCTGAAAAGGATTTTAATTCTCCTTTGCTGATGAAGCTTAGTTTGACTGAATATGAAATTTTGGGTTGAAAATTCTTTTATTTAAGAATGTTGAGTATTGGCCCCCAATCTCTTCTGGCTTGTAGGGCTTCTGCTGACAGGTCTGCCTTTAATCTGATGGGCTTCCATTTGTAGGTGACCTGGCCTTTCTCTCTGGCTGCCCTTAACATTTTTTTCGTTCATTTCAGCCTTGGAGAATCTGATGATTATGTGTCTTGGGGTTGATCTTCTCATGGAATATCTTACTGAGGTTCTCCGTGTTTCCTGAATTTGAATGTTGGCCTGTCTTGCTAGGTTGAGGAAGTTCTCCTGGATAATATTCTAAAGTATGTTTTCCAACTTGGCTCCATTCTCTCCATCTCTTTCAGGTACCCCAATCAGTCATAGGTTTGGTTTTTTTACATAATTCAATAGTTCTGGTAAGTTTTGTTCATTCCTTTTCATTATTTTTACTCCAATCTTGTCTGCCTGTTTTATTTCAGCAAGATAGTCTTCAAAATCTGAAATTCTTTCCTCTGGTTGGACTAGTTGGTTATTGATATTTGTGGTTGCATTGTGAAGTTTCTGTGCTGTGTTTTCCAGTTCCATCAGGTCATTTATGTTCTTCTCTAAACTGGTTATTCTGGTTAACAGCTCCTGTAATTTTTTTCATGTTTCTTTGATTCTTGGCATTGGGTTAAAACATGCTTTTTTAGTTCAGCAAAATTCATTATCACTCACCTTCTGAAGCCTACTTCTGTCAATTCATCCATTACAGCCTCTAACCAGTTCTGTGTCCATGCTGGAGTGGTGTTGTGATCATTTGGAGGAGAAAAGTCACTCTGGCTTTTTTGGTTTTCAGTGTTTCTTCATTAATTCTTTCTCATCTTCATGAGTTTATATTTAGCTTTCATCTTTGAGGCTGCTGACCTTTGGATGAGGTTTTTGTGAGGACTTTTTTTTTTGTTGATGATGTTGTTGTTGCTTTCTGTTTCTTTGTTTTTCTTTTAACAGTCAGGCCTCTCTTCCACAGGCCTGCTGAAGTTTGCTAGGGGTCCACTCCAGAACCTATTCACCTGGGTTCCTCCCACACCTGGAGGTGTCATCAGTGGAGGCTGAGGAACAGAAAAGATGGCTGCCTGCTCCTTCCTCTGGGAGCTCCGTCCCAGACTGGCACTGACAGGATACCAGCAGGAACACTCCTGTATAAGATGCCTAGAGACCCCTTTTGGGGTGATCTAGGGGACCACCTAGAGTGGCCTAGTTGGGGAGGCATGGGATCAGGGACCAGCTTAAATAAGCCCTCTGGTTGCCCCTTGGTGCTGGGGGTAATGTTGCTTCTCCGTACTGCCTAGATTCTTCAGAGCCAGCAGGAGGAAAGACTCAGTCGACTAATCCATGGCATCCATGGCTGCCACTCCTTCTAGGGCCTCTGTCCCAGAGAGATCAGACTTCTGTCTGCAAAACCCTGGCTGGAGTTGCTGAAGTTTCTGCAGGGAGAACCAGCCCAGTGAGTTAGGACGGATCAGAGTCTGGCCTAAAGAGGCAGTCTGGCCACGATCTGCCACAGCCACTGTGCTGTGCTGTGGAGAATTCCTCCTGGTTCCAAACTGCCCAGTCTCCCTGGCACCAGCAGGAAAAAATGGCAGACTGGAGCTGCAGTGAGGGTGCTGCCCTTCACCCCAGGAGCTCAGTCATCTCAGGCAGCAGGCAATTGCAGTGATGGCCGTCACCTCTCCTCATGGGAACTCAGTAGTCAGGCAGTCCCCAGCCAAGTGGCCACTGATAATCTGTACAGATGTCTGCTTGGGACACAAGGCCCTGGTGACATGGGCTCATGAGGGGATCTCCTGATCTGTGGGTTGCACAAATCCGTGGAAGGAAAAATGTGGTTTCCCATGTGGGATAGAACAATTGCTCACTGCCTCCCTTCGTTGCGGGTGGGAGTTCCCCTTGCCCCACGTGGCTCCCGGGTGGGCCATCAGTCCACCCTGCTTTTCCTTATTCTCCATGGGTCATGCTAACTGCCTCGTCAGTCCCAGCAAGAGAACCTGGATACTTCAGTTGCTGGTGCAGAATTCACTTGCTGTTTTCATTCTTCTCAGTGGGAGCCTCCTACCAAAGCTGTTTCTAGAGGGCCATCTTGGCCACCTCCCCCCATTTTTATTTTCACTAATTGAAATTTAGCATTTCTTTTAATTATGCATGTAGGCAAAATGTTACAATTAATTGTATTTGTGTGTGTATATATATATATATATATAGCTTTGCACTAATAAAATTCCAGTTATTTGCATAACATATTAGTTATTAGAGTAATCTCAAAATATTGCTTATGCTCATTAGTAATTTTAGATTATAGTAACTACTAGGCTCACTGAAATATCTTCCTATTGAATGAACTTAATAAAAAAATCACATTTTTTTTCTTCAACTTTTAAGTTCAGGGGTACATCTTCAGGTTTGTTACACAGGTAAACATTTGCCATGGTGGTTTGCTGAACAAATCATCCCATCACCTAGGTATTAAGCCCAGCATCCCTTAGCTAAGAATCACATTATTCTATCACAAACTTTAAAATGATTTGGTAAGTATATTTCCATAAAATGGGTCCCTTTTTTAGTCTAATGCATTGTACTTTATGTATTTGAAAACGTTTTTTTCAAAGATGGTTTACTACAGGCACCCAGCACCCAACTCATCCACGGAGAAGTACAAAAACAGCAAGTAGATAATCACATGTCAAAGACAGAGTTTAAGAGAGAACACTGGAATTTAGCAAAGCAGTGACAGGAAACCTCTAAGGCATGGAAGGAGAGGGACGCAAAGTAGTGCAGAGTCAAAAAGAACTCCCCAGTGTGGAAGAAAAGCAAGCAAGAGATCCCCAGTGGTTCAGGTTCCCACCACAGACTCCTGTAATCCTAGCCATGGAGAAGCCCTCAGCTGTTGCAGGCCCTGAGTATAGGGAGTTACCTAAAGCCTACACCCTGGCATTATTCCAGAGGAGTGTGTGCTGGGTTCCACATACAACTCTGGGACCCAAGCAGCTGCTTCACAGCGCCATTTTGAGAGTACGACTCCCACCAGACTACATCCTGCTCTGGGACCCAACAGACCCTGCATCTCTACATCCCAAAAGCCCTGCAGACATCCTCTCATGCCCACTCAGAGGAATGCAACATTATGACACTGGCTGGACCCATAAATGCAGCCAGATACTCAGAACTCTAGCAGTGCACTGGATAGGCTGCCTCTGGGACATATGGAGCTAAAATATGCAGTAACCAGATCCTGAGAGCCACTTGCCTAGGGCTGCTGCCACTGATGGCATCCCCACTGACCACTAGCAGCAAGGAAGCCATTTGTCTACATGTACATTCATGAATCCTGGGACCAGCTTGCCCAGGCACAGTGAGGGGCCTGAGAACAGGCCCACCCTGCCCACTGACACTGACACCCAAGCACACTATCTGCTATCCGGGGGCCTGGGAAACGACCCAGCCTGCCTGTTGACACTGGTACACATGTGCACAATAGGAAAGCCTAACAACAGGCCCTGTCAACCTGCCACAGTCAACAGACTGAAGAGACAACCTGTAGAATGGAAGAAAATATTTGCAAACTATGAATCCAACAAGTGACTAATATCTGGAATATACTAAGATACCAAAAAAACTCAAGAGCAAAAATACAAATAATCCCATTTAAAAGTGGGCAAATAATCCGAATAAACATTCTTCAAAAGAAGACTCACAAATGTCCAACAGACATATAAAAAATTCTCAACACCAATAATCATTACAGAATTGCAAATCAAAACCACAGTGAGATTCTGGATTCAAGATAGGAGACTAGATGCAGCCAGGAAGTACATCTGCCATCAAGAAACAGACATCAGAAAGATTGGTACACTCTGAGCAGATCTTCAGAGTGAAGCCTTGAGAATGGATGTAGCAAGGACAAAGATGCTAGGATGAAGGGGGAAGATGATAGAAACCATGTACAGAGCTACCATGCACTGGGACTTGTTCCTGGATTGCAGCAACTCCTGGGGAAGGGGTGAGTTAAACAGGTGAGGAGCAACCTACTTTCACCATGGACCTCTGGAATCCTGGCAGCAGGAGACCTCACAACCACTACAGACACTTCAGCTGGCAGCACAGCGACTTAGACAGATAGTAGGAGCAGGACTCCAGGCTGTGGAGATTCCAGAGGGTCTGGTGTGGAAATGCCTGCAGTGGAGCATGGCCAGGGATGTGTAAGTCCCAAAGGTTGCTATATTCCTCTAGGAGACTTTAGCCTTAAGGGGACTGTTGAACCTGGAGAGAGCAGGACAGCCTTGTGTGTAAGATGGGGCCAGTGTAACCTGAATGCCCCTGTCTGTTGGCCTCCGCCAGGGTCTAAGCCTGGCCACGCCTGCCTGCAGTGCAGCCTCGGATGCCCAATCAGGGTGCTTCCAAAGGGTCCTCATTATAGCTCCTTAACTGGCAGACCATAACTGACCACTGCAGAGCTCCACCAGAGTGTCCTCCACCACCACACACCAGCCTACCTGCATCCTCTCCACCACTGCAGCCTCACCTGCACCGCTCTGCCAGCATGCTATCACCCACAGCCACCCACCAACTTCTCTGCCAGTGTGTGCACATGCAGATGGACCTCACCTCCTCTCCTCTGCATGCACACACCCTGCCATGCCTATCCTGCAGGTGTGAGCACACTCCGTGAACCCAGTTGTGCTGCCATTGCTGGTGCACACATGCACACAAACATTTGCAACCAAGCCTGACCCATGCAGCCACTGATGCTGATGCGAACATGTGCATGAAGGCTGAAAACCCCACCCCACCCCCTGTGCTGCCAATATTGCTGCTGCAATCATGCACATGGAGACCAGCAACCCCACACCCACCAGTGCTATGCCCTCACCAACACTGTTGGCTACAGCATGCACTTAACTGCAGCAGCCTTGCTCTCACTGGTATGCCACCCCAGCTAATGCAATGTGCACCCTGCTGCACAGCCACTGCTCCTGGCACATACAAATGAGTATAAATCCCACTGCCACCATCCCGACAAAGCACTGTAACCAATAATTGGGGACATATTGGTGCCTACAGTGCAGAAGATTGCTAATCTTGAGGGGCTAGAGAACAAAGCTGGGGGGCTGACACCACCCCCCTGTAATCCCACCACCTGTAATCCCAGCTACTCTGGAGGCTGAGGCAGGAGAATTGCTTGAACCTGGGAGGCAGAGGTTGCAGTGAGCCAAGACCGCACCACTGCATTCCAGCCTGGGCGACAGACCAAGACTCCATCTCAAATAATAATAATAATAATAATAATAATAATCATAAAGGATAAAGGTATAGGGAAGCTCCCATTAAGGCATCATTCTGGGCTAGCAGTCATTAATTTAACCCTGGAGCAAAGTGGGTGGCTTTTATTTGTGGACTAGCTTACATATATTCCCACGGAAATCTCCAGGTATGCTGACAAGCGAGTTGTCAGTCATACCACAAATGCTTTGCAACTTGTCTTCAATACCTAACCTCATGATTATGCTGTTATCTTCTATTTTGTCCTCCAGATTCACTCTTCAAACTTCTCCACTCTGCTTTGTGTCCCTGAAGCCTAGTTTATATGTATTTCATTAATGGGCTCCCCTCTTCTCTGGCTTTTGTTTGGGGTTTGGGCAATAAGAATTACCCGCAAGACTTCGAAATGAGGAAAGAGGGCATGATTGAATTATTTTTTTCTCCAAGCTTCCACCCTACAGTCACTGTGAGCTGGCTGTTTCCTTCAACCAAAGATCACAGCTTCTGTCCAGTGGCTCTCTCTAATAGCTATAGATACTCATATAAAGTTCCAGAAATTATTTCCTACTTGTACCTCTTCAGCCTAGGGGTACTAAAAGCACCTGTCATTATTATACCTAGGGTAATACACTATTCTTTGTGGTTTTCTTATTCTTTGCTCACAACTTTGTGGGTAGTTCCAGTATTAAACTCTCCCCCAATTACTCAATGGCATCTGTTTTCTTCTGGAACCCTGACTGATAAAACCATTACCATCATTACCATTCAAATAATAACAGTCAACATCTGTTGAACAGGTACCGTGTGCAAGGCTTAATTTCAAACACTTGACATGTATTGACTCATTTGACCTTCACAAAAACTATGTGGTAAATATCCCTTTCTTTTCTACAAATCTTCCTATACTCTTCCTTCCTTCATTTCTGTTCCAGATATTTTCCTCTCCCTTTTACTGTGAAAAGAAACTGGAGCTTCTACTCCTGCTACAGTTTAAAGGGGAAGTAAGGAATAAGGCCCATAATTCATCATGGCTTGCAAAAATATTAATAAGGGTGACAGAAAGGACATGATTTGGTTATTATATTCAGAGCAAGATAAGCAAAGAATGGATAGAAAAACTACACAAGGTCAATTGTACAAAGTTGGTGAATAACATAAGATACGTTGTTCCTCACTTTGTGTCACGGAAAATGATTTTCAGGCTACACAGGATGAAGAGGAAAAAGAGGTAAAACAGATTTTAAGAAGAAGTAGAAGCCCATGATAAGCAAAACAATAGTAAGAAAACACACAGATCTGTTTTAAACAGTTGTTAAAATCAGCCACCAGGAAGAGCGGTAAAAAGAAGAGGATAAGAAAATAAGCCATAGATGCAAATCAATGAGGTATTTTATCACCTTGCCCAGGAATTTTTCAATGACACTACATTGCCATGCAACTGTATTGTTTATCATATATAGTCCTAAATTGTCCTTTAGTTGTTTCACATGTTTTCCTGTTCTCTCAATAAACAGAGAAAGTTCATTCTCTTTTTTTTCAATCCCACTGGGCTAAGCACTCTTGATCAAAATCCTTCAAAAGCTTCCCAATGATCTTGAAATAAAGTTCAGACTTTTATTTATTTATTTATTTATTTATTTATTTATTTATTTATTTTACGGAGTCTCGCTCTGTCACCCAGGCTGGGGTGCAGTGGCATGATTTCGGCTCACTGCAACCTCCGCCTCCCAGGTTCAAGCAATTCTCCTCTCTCAGCCTCCCGAGTAGCTGGGACTATAGGATCACACCACGATGCCCAGTTTTTTGTTTTTGTTTTTGTTTTTCTTTGTATTTTTAGTAGAGGCGGGGTTTCACCATATTTTTCAGGCTGGTCTCGAACTCCTGACCTCAGGTGATCTGCCTGCCTTGGCCTCGCAAAGTGCTGGGATTACAGGCCTGAGCCACTGTGCCCGGCCAAAGTTCAGACTTTTCACAAAAGACTTTCATAGTCAGGGACAGAGAAGGAGGAAGAAAGGAAGGAGGAATGAAGTGATTTTTAGTGAAAGCTAAAAGTGAATAATGGTTTTTCAATTATTCCTACCTTTTCAACTTCTCCTTGTATCACTATCCCCTTCACTCATTTTATTCCAGATACATTGTTCCTTTTGTAGCATTGGATATTCTGCATTCCTTTAAACATCAAGTACTTTGTACTTGTTACTCTCTTTGGTATGCTCAGCGAAAAAAGACAATTAGATACCTGAAAATAAAGCTTCGCTTAGTTAGACTGATAGCCATATGGAGTCTTCAAAGCTATGGGAGTGAAACAATTGAGGTTGTTTATTGAGCTAAGATGCAGTTTATATGACTAGCATAGCAACTTATAGCATCACATATGTAGCATTTACCTATATATTCACTCATCCATTCATTCAGCAAATATTCATTGAGTGACTATTCTGTAGCAGAAAACATAGGTGCTTAAGAATACCTATTCATCGATTCAACTACTATTTTCTGAGTGTCAATCATGTGCTAGAAACAATGTTGGATACTTCAATGAATGAAAGAAAAAAATGGTCCCTGCTCTCATGAAGCTCACAGTCTACTGGAGGAAGGTAGACACTTAAACACACACACACACACACACACACACACACACACACATACACACAAATTGATTAATTACAATTTTCTGTGTGCTACAAATGAGAAGTACAAAGTGTGATGAGTGTGAATGAGGGGTTTAAAAATGTTTCACTAAGTAAATATCTATTGAGTAAAAACTAAAACAGTGTGTAGAAATTCAAAAAAAAGAATAGGTGTGCAGGGGTTAGCAAAGAGAATACCAGGCCAAGAGAACAGTAAGTGCAAAGGCTTTGATACGTAAAGGAATATAAAATATCCAACTACTTTGAGGATCACTGTGACTGAAATAAAGCAAGTGAAAGAGAGAGTGATAGAAGATGAAGTTGGAGGGTAAGAATAATTGAAAGAGAAAACATTCTTCATTTTTAGCTTTCTCAAATCACTTCATCTCTCCTTCCTTCTAATTTGTCCCTGATCATACAGATTATTTGTAGGCGGGCCTTCATAAAAAGTCTGGACTTCATTCTAAAAACACTGGGAATCTTTAAAAAGATTCTGTTTAAAGGGTGAAATGATCTGATAGTTAATTTGAAAAGATTGCACTGGCTACTATGTGAGAATGGGTTGCAAGAGAGCATTTGAGGAGGTTAGTAAAGAAACCACTAGAGTTTCAATAAGAAAAGAGTGATGAATCTCATCAGATTTCATGTAGAGAATAAGTACTGACATGTGAGCATTGAGTGACAAGGAAGCCACTGATGACTTTTACAAGGGAAGTTTTTGTGGAGTTGTTAAGAGCTGAGGCATGACTATGAGGTTGAAGAGCAAGTGGGAACTGAGGCAATGTACCCAGTGAATGCATATAAGTCTTTTGAGAAATCTGGTTGAGGAGAATATATAGATTTACTTGTTTACCCACGGGAAAGAAGACTGATTTTATTTTTAAGATGGAAGAAAGTATAGCTTGTTTACTGATAGAAAACATTACATACAGATAGAGAAATTGAAGATGCAAAAGGGAGAAATAATAAAGTTTCCAGGAAAGAACCAGTGAGTAGGGTCTAAAGCATAGTCCAAGGATTGGCCACAGAAAGAAAGAGGGCCTCGTCCTCCATCATTAACAAGATGGAAAAAGGAAAGAATGGGTGCAGATGCAGATATTCTCTTTTTCCCACCATTAGGCTGCTAAGGCATGATGAATACATGATTTGAACTCAGCTCATCACATGATTGTGATGTCCTGGACATTTGATTCTGGAAGAAAGTATGCAGAGAAGCAACAAGAAAAAAGTACACATTGTACAGGTGTTGGAATCAACAACACCTGATTTCTAAGCACAGCAGTTTCGATGATCCCAATAGCGGTGGCCATTTCCAGAGATAGCATCAGTGCCCACTGCAGCATTCCAGTATCAGTGATAGCAACAATAAGGCCCATATATCAGATGGCTCCTCTAGTGTAAATATGGCTGTGGTGCTTTGTTCTTGCCTATTTACTCTGTCTGTTTCACTAAGCTTCCAAGCAATTCTAGCAATTACTCTGCCCTTTTCACAAATTCCTCATCTGCTTAAGTGAGACAGAGCTGGTTTCAGTGGCTTGCAACCAAAGAAACTGACTGATACATACATGCAAAGGAAACAATGTCTTTTTTTAAAGTAAGGTGTCAATTGAGATAGAACAATACAAAAAAAAAGTAAAATGAATAGTTGCTTCTTTGAAAAGATAAACAAAATTTATATGCAACTAGCTAGATTCACAAAAAAGAGAATATTCAAATAATTATAATCAAAAATAAAAATAAAAACATTACAACTAATACCAGGGAAATACAACCGATCATCTGACACTACTATGAACACATCTATGAACACAAGCTAGAAAATCTAAAGAAAATGGAGAAATTACTGGAAACATACAAACTCCCAAGCTTGAATCAGGGAGACATAGAAATCTTGCATAGACCAATAATAAGTAATGAGATTGAATCAGTAATAAAAAAAAATCCCTCCCCCCCCCCCCAAGAAAAAGCACAGGAACAGATGTATCCACAGCTGAATTCTACCAGATGTTCAAAGAACTGGTGCCAATTCTACTGAAACAATTCCAAAAGGTCAAGGAGAGAATCCTCTCTGACTCATACTATGAAGCAAGTACCACGTTAAAACCAAGCCAGGAAAGGACACACACACACAAAAACTACAGACTAATATGCCTGATGAAGATAGTTGCAAAAATCCTCAACAGAATGCTAGCAAACCAAATCCAGTATCACATTAAAAAAATAATTCACCATGATTAAGTGGGTTTCATGCTATAGATGCAGGGATGTTTCCACACATCGAAGTCAATAAATGTGATTAACCACAAAAACAGGATTAAAAACAAAAAGCCTATGATCATCCTAGTAGATGCAGAAAAAGCAACTGATAAAATCCAGCATCCCCTAATGACTTGGATCTTCAATAAACTAGACATAGAAAGAATGTACCTCAAATCATAAAGGTCATATATGACAAACCCACAGACAACATTATACCGAATATGGAAAAGTTGAAAGTATTCCCCTTCAGAACTGGGACAAGACAAGGAAGCCCACTTTGAACATTTCTATTCAACTTAGTACTGGTAGTTTTAGCCAGAGCAATCAGGCAAAAGAATAAAGGCATCCAAATAGGAAATGAAGAAGTTGAACTATCTTTTTTTGCCAATGATATGATCTTATACCTTGAAAACCCAAAAGACTCCTCCAGAAGACTCCTAAATTTGATAAATGAATTCATTAAAGGTAATAAAAATCAATATGCACAATTCAGTAGCACTGCTATATACCAATAATGGCCAAGCTGATAATCAAATCAAGAAATCAGTTCTTATTTTACATCTTTCTACACATTAAAACAGCTGAAAAAAATAAAATATCTAAAAATATACTTAACAAAGAAGGTAAAATATCTCGACTGGAAGAACTACAAAACACTGATAAAAGAAAACATAGATGACACAAACAAATGGAAATACAATCCATGGTCATAGATTGGAAGAATCAGTATTATGAAAATGACCATACTGCCCAAAGCAATCTACATATTCAACATAATTTCTATCAAACACTAATGTCATTTTTCAAAGAATTAGAAAAAATCCTACAATTGACAGGGAACCAAAAAAGAGCCCAGATAGTCAAAACAAAACGAAGCAAAAAAAAAAAATCTGGAGGCATCAAACTACCTGATTTCAAATTATAATACGAGGTTATAGTAACCAAAAAAGCATGGTAGTGAAATAAAATACCCCCGTAGACCAATAGAACAGGATAGAGAACCCAAAATTAAAGCAAAATACCCACAAATAACTGCTCTTTGATAAAGCAGACAAAAAGAAAAGCTGGGGAAAGGACACCCTAGTCAATAAATGGTGCTGGGAAAACTAAATAGCCACAAGCCAAAGTACGAAACTGGATCACTCTCTCTCACCATATACAAAAATTAACTCAAGATAAATTAAAGATTTAAAAGTAAGATCTCAAACTATAAAAATACTAGAAGAAAACCTAAACAATGCCCTTCTCAACATTAGCCTTGACAAAAAGTTTTTGGCTAAATCCCCAAAAGCAATTGCAACAAAAACAAAAAATAAATGCGACCTAATTAAACTAAAAAGCTTCTGCTAAAAAAAAAAAAAAAAATTAAAAGACCAAGTAGGCAACATACAGAATGAGAGAAAATACTCACAAAATATACATTCAACAAAGAACTAATATCCAGTGTGGGGAAAAGCAAGAGAGATCAGATTGTCACTGTGTCTGTGTAGAAAGAAGTAGACATGGGAGACTCCATTTTGTTATGTACTAAGAAAAACTCTTCTGCCTTGAGATTCTGTGACCTTACCCCCAACACCATGCTCTCTGAAACATGTGCTGTGTCAAACTCAGGGTTAAATGGATTAAGGGCGGTGCAAGATGTGCTTTGTTAAACAGATGCTTGAAGGCAACACGCTCTTTAAGAGTCATCACCACTCCCTAATCTCAAGTACCCAGGGACACAAAAACTGCGGAAGGCCGCAGGGACCTCTGCCTAGGAAAGACAGGTATTGTCCAAGGTTTCTCCCCATGTAATAGTCTGAAATATGGCCTCGTGGGAAGGGAAAGACCTGACCGTCCCCCAGCCCGACACCCGTAAAGGGTCTGTGCTGAGGAGGATTAGTATAAGAGGAAGGCATGCCTCTTGCAGTTGAGACAAGAGGAAGGCATCTGTCTCCTGCCCGTCCCTGGGCAATGGAATGTCTCGGTATAAAACCCGATTGTACGTTCCATCTACTGAGATAGGGAAAAACCGCCTTAGGGCTGGAGGTGGGACATGTGGGCAGCAATACTGCTTTGTAAAGCATTGAGATGTTTATGTTTATGCATATCTAAAAGCACAGCACTTAATCCTTTACCTTGTCTATGATGCAAAGACCTTTGTTCACGTGTTTGTCTGCTGACCCTCTCCCCACTATTGTCTTGTGACCCTGACACATCCCCCTCTCGGAGAAACACCCACGAATGATCAATAAATACTAAGGGGACTCAGAGGCTGGCGGGATCCTCCATATGCTGAACGCTGGTTCCCCAGGTCCCCTTATTTCTTTCTCTATACTTTGTCTCTGTGTCTTTTTCTTTTCCAAGTCTCTTGTTCCACCTTATGAGAAACACCCACAGGTGTGGAGGGGCAACCCACCCCTTCATCCAGAATCTGCAAGGAATTCAAAAGAATCAGCAAGAACAAAAGCGAAAAGGAAGAAAAGTCAAGAATGCTGACTGTATGCAGCCAAGAAGAGCTTCTCTCATCAAAAGATAAGACCAACAAGAAGACCAGCACACTCCAAGCAGATCTTCAGAAGAAAGGTATTGAGAGTGGACAGAGGGAGGACACAGAACCTGGGCTGAAGGGAGAAAAAGCTGGGAATCCTACACATGGTTGTCAAGCACCAGGAATCATACTGGCCCTGAGTGGCTCCTAGGGAAAGGATGAGTTAAATGAGCATTGGAGTAGTACACTCTTGCACAGACATCCAGAAACCTAGCTGCAGGAGACTTCATGATCCCCACAGACATTTGAGCTGGCTGGGAGAGCTGCTTGAAGAGTTAGCAGGAACAGGACTCCAGTCAGTACAGACCCCAGAGGGTTTGGTGCAGGAATGGCTGCAGTGGAGCATGGCCAGAGATGCCCATCCGCACTGGCTAATGATGCTTCTCTAGGTGCCTTTCACCTTTGTTAACTGTTGGACCTGGACATAACAGGGCTATCTCACCAGTGGGATAGAGCTGGTGTGATGTGAGTGCCCCTACTGTATATCAGCCTCCCCCAGGGTCCCTGCCTGGCTGCACCAGGGGCACTTCCCAGAGGCAACCACCATAGCTCCTTTACCAGCAGACTCTGCCTAACCATCAGAGAGCTTCCACAGATGGGTCCCTGCAAGCATACAGCTGCTCACAGCCTCCCCCCACTGCTTTGTGGGTGAGTGCATGTACACAGACCTCACCATCCCAGTGCCTCAGGCATGAGTACGCAAACATCACCATGACTGCCCTGCCCCACTAGCACGCATGTGTGTGCACCCTTGCCACCTCCATCACAAGCATGTATGCACGGACCCTGCCATGCCACTGCTGCCAACAGATGTGAGTACCATGCTGCCACTATCCTGACAAAGAACTTCTGCAGACACCCTCCACTGGAGTGCTCTTGCCAGCAAACCAGGAACACCTCAGCTCCTCCAGCAGAGCAGGTGTTCAACCTGTAGGGGCCAGAGAAAAAAGCTGTGGGCCTGGTACCAGCCCCCAGAATTAGAGTATGCAGCCCAAGAATGCTGCGCTAATCCTTCGACCCCAGAAATCATTCAGAAACGAAGCCTGTCAACTAAATCCAACTTATACGACAGTCAAACCCTCAAGGGCATCAAATAATGCAAAAGCAAAAAGCCCTATCTAAAGGACATAAACTTCAAAGATTAAAGGAACATCATCCCACACAGATGAGAAAGAACTAGCATAAGAATTCTGATGACTCAAAAAGACAGTGTTTGTTTACCTCCAAACAACCACACTAGCTCCTAAGCAATGGCTCTAAACCAGACTAAAATGTCTGGAATGACAACCATAAGATTAAAAGTTTGGATGGCAACAAAGATTATCATGATTCAAGAGAAAGTTAAAATTGAATCCAAAAGAATCTAAAAAATCCAGTAAAACAATACAAGAGCTGAAAAATGGAATAGCCACTTTAAGAATCAAATTGATCTGAGAGAGCTGAAAAACTCCCTACAAGAATTTCATAATACAATCAGAAGTAATACCAGCAGAATAGACCAAGCTGAGAAAAGAATCCCAGCCCTCGAAGACAGGCTCTTCAAGTCAACTCAATAAGACAAAAATAAAGAAAAAATAATTTTAAAAAGTATGAACCAAATCACCAAGAAATATGGGATTATGTAAAGAGACCAAACTTATGACTCATTGGTGTCCCCGAAAGAGCAAGCAACTTACAAAAAATATTTAAGAATATTGTCAGTGAAAATTTCCGAAACTTACTAGAGAGGGAGACATTCAAATTCAGGAAATTCAGACAAACCCTCCAAGATACTATGCAGGATCATCAAGACTCATAGTCATCAGATTCTCCAAGGTCAACAAGAAAGAAAAAAATATTAAAGGCAGCTAGAGAGAAGAGAGAAGTCACCTTCACAGGGAACCTTTTACAATAACAGTGGAAGTTTCAGCAGAAATCCTACAAGCCAGAAGACATTGGGGTCTATATTAGACATTCTTAATGAAAGGAAATCCAAATTAAGAATTGCATATCCTGCCAAACTAAGCTTCATAAATTAGGGGAAATAAAATTCCATTCAGAAAAGCAAATAATAAGGATATTTGTGACCACTAGACATAGTTTACAAGAGGTCCATTAGGAAGTGCTAACCACAGAAACAATAGACAATTACTGGCCACCACAAAAACACATGTAAGTACATAGACCAATAAGACTGTAAAGCATCTATACAATCAAGTTTACATGAGAATGAGCTAACATGAAGACAGGATCAAATTTCACATTTCAACACTAACTTTGAATGTAAATGGGTTAAATGTTCCAACTCAAAGGCAGAGAGTAGCAGACTGGATAAAGCAAGACCCAAGTGCATGCTATAATCAAGGAACTCGTCTAACATGCAATGACACACATAGACTCAAAGTAAAGTGAATGAGGAAGATCTATCAATACAAAAAGCAGAAATTGCTATTCTTATTTCAAACAAAACAGACCTTAAAGCAAGAAGGATCAAAAAAGACAAAAAAGGGCATTACATAAAGGTAAAGGGTTCCATTCAACAAGACCTAACTATCCTAAATATATATGCTCCCAACATTGGAGCACTCAGATGCACAAAACAAGTTCTTGGAGACCTATGAAGAGACATGGGTAAACACAACAATAGTGGGAGACTCCATTAACAGTATTAGACAGATTGTTGAGCTAGAAAGCTAACAAAGATATTCAGGAAATAAACTCAACACTTGTCCAAATGAACCTAACAGACTTCAGCAGAACACTGGACTAACAGCAGAATATACATTATTTTCACCTAGGCATGGTACATAGTCTAAAATTAACCACACACTCAGCCATAAAGCAATTCTCAACAAATTCAAAAACCCAAAATCATACCAACTACACTCTCAGACCACAGCATATTAAACATAGAAATCAATACCAAGATCTCTCAAAAACCATACAATTACATTGAAATTAAACAATATGCCCCTGAATGACTTTTGGGTAAACATGAAATTAAGGCAGAAATCAAAGAATTCTTTGAAACTAATGAAACCAATGATAAAACATATGAGAATCTCTGGGACACAGCTAAAGCAGTGATGAGAGAAAAATTTACAGCACTAAACACCCCCATCCAAAAGTTAGAAAAATCTCAACAAAGTAACATCACAAATAGAGGAACTAAGAAAATAAGACCAAATCAACCCCAAAGCTAGCAGGAAAAAAAAAAAAATAACAAAAATTACAGCTAAACTGAACAAAATTTAGACGTGAAAGCCATACACACAATCAACAAAATGAAAAGTTGTTTTTTTGAAATAATAAGTGAGATTGATAGACCACTAGTTAGACTGATAAAGAAAAAAGAAGATCCAAATAAACACTATCAGAAATGACAAAGGAGACATTACCACCAATGCTACAGAAATACAAAAGAAAAAAAAAAAGTCTATTAAGACCATCTCTATAAGCCGAGTGCAGTGCCTCAAGCCTGTAAACCCAGCACTTTGGGAGGCTGAGGCAGGTGGATCATGAGGCCAGGAGATTGAGACCACCCTGGCTAACGCGGTGAAACCCTGTCTCTACTAAAAATACAAAAAATTCGCCGGACATGGTGGTATGCACCTGTAGTCCCAGCTACTCAGGACACTGAGGCAGGAGAATCTCTTGAACCCGGGAGGCGGAGGTTGCAGTGAGCTGAGATCGCACCACTGCACTCCAGCCTGGGCAACAGAGCAAGACTCCATCTAAAAAAAAAAAAAAAAAAACCTCTATAAACACCAACTAGAAAATGTAGATGAAATGGGTAAATTTCTGGGAATATACTACCTCCCAAGATTGACCAGAAAGAATTCCAAACAGAGAACAGACCAGGAATGAGTTCTGAAATTGAATGAGTGAAGAAAACAAAAACAAAACCAAAAAACTACCAACCAGAAAAAGCCCTGAACCATAAGAATCCACAGCCATATTTTACTACACATGCAAACAAAAGCTGATACCAATCTATCAGAAACTATTCCACAAAATTGAGAAGGAAGGACTCCTCCCTACCACATTTTATAAGGCCAGCATCATTGGGATACCAAAACTTCACACAGACACAATGAGGTAAGAAAATTGCAGGCCAATATCCCTGATAAACATACATGCGAAAATTTTCAACAAAATACTAGCAGTCCACATCCAGTAACACAACAAAAAGTTAATCCACCATGATCAAGTGGATCTCCTTTATTTCTGGAATGCAAGTTTGGCTCAACATATGCAAATCAATAAATGTGATTCATCACATAAAAAGAATTGAAAGAAAAACCACATGATCATCTCAACAGACATAGAAAATGCTTTCAATGCAATTCAACATCCCTTTACGTTAGAAACCCTCAACAAACTAAGCATTGAAGGAACACACGTCAAAATAATAACAGCAATCTATGGAAAACTCACAGCCAACATCATACTGAATGGGTCAAAGCTCAAAGCATTCTTCTAAAAAACCAGAACAAGACAAGGATGCCAACTCTCATAACTCCTATTCAACATAGTACTGAAAGTGCTAACCAGAGCAGTCAGTCAAGAGAAAGAAACAAAAGGCAGCCAAAAAAGAAGAGAGGAAGGCAAACTACCTCTCTTCTCAGATGATGTGATTCTATACCTAGAACACACCATAATCTCTGCCAAAACGCTTACAGACCTTACAAACAACTTCAGCAAAGTTTCAAGGTATAAAGTGAATGTACAAAAATCAGTAGCATTTCTATACACCAATAATGACCAAGCTAAGAACCAAACCAAGAACCCCAGCCTATTCACAATAGCCACAAAAACAATAAAATAACTAGGAATACAGCTAAACAGAAAGATGAAAGATCTCTACAATGAGAACTACAAAACACTGCTCAAAGGACTCAGAGATTAAACAAACAACTGGAAAAACATTCCATTATCATAGATAGAAAGAATCAGTATTATTAAAATGGCCATATTCCAAAAAGCAATTTCTGATTTCAATGCTATTTCTATCAAACTACCAATGACATTCTTTACAGAACCAGAAAAAAACTATTCTATAATTCATATGGAACAAAAAAGTATCCCAAATAGTCAAACCAATCCTGTGCATACAGAACAAAACCAGAGGCACCACTCTACCTGACTTAAATGGTATTACAAGGCTACAGTAACCAAAACAGCATGGTACTGGCACAAAAACGGGTTCATAGATGAATGGAACAGGTTAGAGAGCCCAGAAATAAAGCCACATACCTACAGTCATCTGACCTTGACAAAGTCAAAAACAAGAAGCAATGGAAAAATGAATTCCTATTCTATAAATGGTACTGGGATAACTGGCTAGACATATGCAGAATATTTGAAGTGAACCCTATCTTTTCCCCACATACAAAAATAAACTCGATGTGAATTAAAGACTTAAATGCAAAACCTAAAACTATAAAAACTCTAGGAAAAATCCTAGGAATATAATTCTGAACATAGGCCATGACAAATATTTCATGATGAAGACTCCAAAATCTATAGCAAAAACAGAAATGGATAATTGAGACCTAATTAATTAAACATCTTCTGCAAAGAACAATAAATTATCAAGAGAGTAAACAGACCAACTACACAACAGAAGAATATATTTGCAGACTATGAATCCAAAAAGGTCTAATATCCAGAATCTATAAGGAACTTCAACAAATTAACAAGCAAAAACAAAACAACCACATTAACAAATGAGCAAAAGACATGAACAGACACTTCTCATAAGAAGACATACAAGTGGACAAGAAGCATATGAAAAAATACTAAGCATCACTAATCATTAGAGAAATGAAAATCAAAACCACAATAAGATAACATCTCACACAAGTCAAAATGACAATTATTATAAAGACAAAAAATAACATATGCTTGTGAGGTTGCAGAGGAAAGGGAATAAATATCCTGCTGGTGTTAACGTAAATAAGTTTAGCCACTGTGGAAAGCAGTTTGGAGAATTCTCAAGAAACTTAAAACAGATCAGTGGAGCCAAGATGGCTGAATAGGAACAGCTCCAGTCTACAGGTCCCAGCGTGAGCAACACAGAAGACGGGTGATTTCTGCATTTCCAACTGAGGTACCGGCTTCATCTCACTAGGGAGTGTCAGACAGTGGGTGCAGGACAGTGGTTGCAGTGCACCGAGTGGGAGCCGAGGCAGGCCGAGGCATCGCCTCACCCAGGAAGTGAAAGGGGTCACGGAATTCCCTTTCCTAGTCAAAGAAAGCGGTGACAGATGGCAACTGGAAACGAGTCACTCCCACCCTAATACTGCACCCTTCCAATCGTCTTAGCAAAAGGCATACCAGGAGATTATATCCCGCACGTGGCTTGGAGGGTCCTACGCCCACAGAGCCTCGCTCATTGCTAGCACAGCAGTCTGACATCAAACTGCAAGGTGGCAGAGAGGCTGGGGAAGGGCGCCTGCCATTGCCGAGGCTTGAGTAGGTATAAACAAAGTGGCCAGGAAGCTCCAAATGGATGGAGCCCATGGCAGCTCAAGGAGGCCTGCCTGCCTGCCTCTGTAGAACCCAGCTCTGGGGGCAGGGTATAGCCAAACAAAAAGCAGCAGAAAACTCCGCAGACTTAAATGTCCCTGTCTGACAGCTTTGAAGAGAGTAGTGGTTCTCCCAGCATGCAGCTGGAGATCTGAGAATGGACAGACTGCCTCCTCAAGTGGGTCCCTGACCCACAAGTAGCCTAATTGGGAGGCATCCCCCAATAGGGGCAGACTGACACCTCATACGGCTGGGTACTCCTCTGAGACAAAACTTCCAGAGGAATGATCAGGCAGCAACATTTGCTGCTCACCAGTATCCGCTGTTCTGCAGCCTCCACTGCTGATACCCAGGCAAAGAGGGTCTGGAGTGGACCTCCAGCAACCTCCAACAGACCAGCAGCTGATGGTCCTGACTGTTAGAAGGAAAACTAACAAACAGAAAGGACATCCACACCAAAATCCCATCTGTATGTCACCATCATCAAAGACCAAATGTAGATAAAACCACAAAGATGGGGAAAAAGCAGAGCAGAAAAACTGGAAACTCTAAAAATCAGAGCGCCTCTCCTCCTGCAAAGGAACACAACTCCTCACCAGCAGTGAGATTAAGAAACTCACTCAAAACTGCTCAACTACATGTAAACTGAACAACCTGCTCCTGAATGACTACTGGGTACATAATGAAATGAAGGCAGAAATAAAGTTGTTCTTTGAAACCAATGAGAACAAAGACACAACATACCAGAATCTCAGGGACACATTCAAAGCAGTGTGTAGAGGGAAATTTACAGCATTAAATGCCCACAAGAGAAAGCAGGAAAGATCTAAAATTGACACCCTAACATCACAATTAAAAGAACTAGAGAAGCAACAGCAAACTCATTCAAAAGCTAGCAGAAGGCAAGAAATAACAATCAGAGCAGAACTGAAGGAAATAGAGACACAAAAATCCCTTCAAAAAATCAATGAATCCAGGAGCTGGTTTTTTGAAAAGATCAACAAAATTGATAGATCACTAGCAAGACTAATAAAGAAGAAAAGAGAGTAGAATCAAATACATGCAATAAAAAATGATAAAGGGGATATCACCACCGATCCCACAGAAATACAAACTACCATCAGAGAATACTATAAACACCTCTAGGCAAATAAACTAGAAACTCTAGAAGAAATGGGTAAATTCCTTGACACATACACCCCCCCAAGACTAAACCAGGAAGAAGTTGAATCTCTGAATAGACCAATAACAGGAGCTGAAATTGAGGCAATAATTAATAGCTTACCAACCAAAAAGAGTCCAGGACCAGATGGATTCACAGCCGAATTCTACCAGAGGTACAAGGAGGAGCTGGTACCATTCCTTCTGAAACTATTCCAATCAATTGAAAAAGAGGGAATCCTCCCTAACTCATTTGATGAGGCCAGAATTATCCTGATACCAAAGCCTGGCAGAGATACAACAAAAAAAAGAGAATTTTAGACCAATATCCCCGACGAACATCGATGCAAAATCCTCAATAAAATACTGACAAACCGAATGCAGCAGTACATCAAAAAGCTTATCCACCATGATCAAGGGGGCTTCATCCCTGGGATGCAAGGCTGGTTCAACATATGCAAATCAGTAAACGTTATCCAGAATATAAACAGAACCAAAGACAAAAACCACATGACTATCTCAATAGATGCAGAAAAGGCCTTTGACAGAATTCAACAGCCCTTCGTGCTAAAAAATCTCAATAAATTAGGTATTGATGGGACTTATCTCAAAATAATAAGAGCTATCTATGACAAACCCACAGCCAATATCATACTGAAAGGGCAAAAACTGGAAGCATTCCTTTTGAAAACTGGCACAAGACAGGGATGCCCTCTCTCACCACCCCTATTCAACACAGTGTTGGAAGTTCTGGCCAGGGCAATCAGGCAGGAGAAGGAAATAAAGGGTACTCAATTAGGAAAAGAGGAAGTCAAATTGTCCCTGTTTGCAGACGACATGTTTGTATATCTAGAAAACCCCATTGTCTCAGCCCCAAATCTCCTTAAGCTGATAGGCAAATTCAGCAATGTCTCAGGATACAAAATCAATGTGCAAAAATCACAAGCATTCTTATACACCAATAACAGACAAACAGAGAGCCAAATCATGAGTGAACTCCCATTCATCATTGCTTCAAAGAGAATAAAATACCTAGGAATCCAACTTACAAGGGATGTGGAGGACCTCTTCAAGGAGAACTACAAACCACTGCTCCATGAAATAAAAAAGGATACAAACAAATGAAAGAACGTTCCATGCTCATGCGTAGGGAGAATCAATATCATGAAAACAGCCATACTGCCCAAGGTAATTTAAAGATTCAATGCCATCCCCATCAAGCTACCAACGACTTTCTTCACAGAATTGGAAAAAACTACTTTAAAGTTCATATGGAACCAAAAAAGAGCCCACATCGCCACGTCATTCCTAAGTCAAAAGAACAAAGCTGGAGGCATCATGCTACCTGACTTCAAACTATACTACAAGGCTACAGTAACCAAAACAGCATGGTACTGGTACCAAAACAGAGATATAGACCAATGGAACAGAACAGAGCCCTCAGAAATAATGCCGCATATCTACAACTATCTGATCTTTGACAAACCTGACAAAAACAAGAAATGGGGAAAGGATTCCTTATTTAATAAATGGTGCTGGGAAAACTGGCTAGCCATATGTAGAAAGCTGAAACTGGATCTCTTCCTTACACCTTATACAAAAATTAATTCAAGATGGATTAAAGACTTACATGTTAGACCTAAAACCATAAAAACCCTAGAAGAAAACCTAGGCATTACCATTCAGGACATAGGCATGGGCAAGGACTTCATGTCTAAAACACCAAAAGCAATGGCAACAAAAGCCAAAATTGACAAATGGGATCTAATTAAACTAAAGAGCTTCTGCACAGCAAAAGAAACTACCATCAGAGTAAACAGGCAGCCTACAGAATGGGAGAAAATTTTTGCAAACTACTCATCTGACAAAGGGCTAATATCCAGAATCTACAATGAACTCAAACAAATTTACAAGAAAAAAACAAAGAACCCCGTCAAAAAGTGGGCAAAGGATATGAACAGACACTTCTCAAAAGAAGGCATTTATGCAGCCAAAAGACACAAGAAAAAATGCTCATCATCACTGGCCATCAGAGAAATGCAAATCAAAACCACAATGGGATACCATCTCACACCAGTTAGAATGGCGATCGTTAAAAAGTCAGGAAACAACAGGTGCTGGAGAGGATGCGGAGAAATAGGAACATTTTTACACTGTTGGTGGGACTGTAAACTAGTTCAACCATTGTGGAAGTCAGTGTGGTGATTCCTCAGGGATCTTGAACTAGAAATACAATTTGACCCAGCCATCCCATTACTGGGTATATATCCAAAGGATTATAAAACATGCTGCTATAAAGACACATGCACATGTATGTTTATTGCGGCACTATTCACAATAGCAAAGCCTTGGATCCAACCTAAATGTCCAACAATGATAGACTGGATTAAGAAAATGTGGCACATATACACCATGGAATACTATGCAGCCATAAAAAATGATGAGTTCATGTCCTTTGTAGGGACATGGATGAAGCTGGAAACCATCATTCTCAGCAAACTATTGCAAGGACAAAAAACCAAACACCACATGTTCTCCCTCATGGGTGGGAGTTGAACAATGAGAACACATGGACACAGGAAGGGGAACATCACACCCCGGGGCCTGTTGTGGGGTTGGGGGAGGGGGGAGGTATAGCATTAGGAGATATACCTAATGTTAAATGAAGTGTTAATGGGTGCAGTACACCAACATGGCACATGTATACATATGTAACAAAGCTGCACATTGTGCACATGTACTCTAAAACTGAAATTATAATAAAAAAATAAAATTAAAATGAAAAAAAAAAAGAAACTTCAAACAGAACTACCATTTGACCCAGCAGCCTCATTACTAGGTATGTACCCAAAGGAATAGAAATCATTCTACCATAAAAATACATACATACACATGTTCATCGTAGCACTCTTCACAATAGCAAAAACATGGAATCAACCAAGATGCTCATCAATGGTGGACTAAGAAAATATGGTACATATATAATATGGAATACTATGCAGGCATTAAAAAAGAACAAAATCATGCCCCTTGCAGAAACTTGGATGGAATTGGAGGCCAAAATCATAAGCAAATTAAGAGAAAACAGAAAACCAGATACTACATGTTATTTGAGAGTGATGGCTGGGAGAAGATGAGGATCAGAAAGCTATGTATCTGGTGCTATACTCATTACCTGAGTGCCAAAATAATGTATACACAAAACTCCCATGACATGCAATTTACCCATGTAACCAACTTGTACATTAACTCTGTGAACCTAAAATAAAAGTTGAAAAAATCAAATAATCTCATTAAAGTGGGCAAATAACGTGAAAAAACATTTCTCAAAAGAAGATACATGAGGTCAAGATGGTCAATTGGAAGCAGCTGCGGTCTGCAGCACTCACAGAGAAGAATGAAAGTTGCAAGTGAATTAAACATCTTCAGCTAAAATATCCAGGTTCTCATACTGGGACTGACTAGGCACAACCTTATCCACCATGATCAATTTGGCTTCATCCTCAGGATGCAAGGTTGGTTCAACATACACAAATCAATAAATGTAATTCCTCACATAAACAGAACTAAATAGAAAAACCATATGATTATGATGCAGAATAAACCTTTGATAAAAATTAACATCTATTCATGTTAAAAACTCTCAATAAAGTAGGTTTTGAAAGAACATATCTCAAATTTATAAGAGCCATTTATGACAAATCCACAGACAATATCACACCGAATAGGCAAAAGCTGGAAGCACTCACCTTGAAAACTGGCACAAGTCAAGAATGCACTCTCTCACCAATGCTGTTCAACATAGTATTGGAAGTTTTGGCCAGGGCAATCAGGAAGAGAAAGAAATAAAGGTATTCGAATATAAAGAGAGGAAGTCAAATCATCTTTGTTTGCAGATGAAGTGATCCTATATCTAGAAAACCGCATCATCTCAGCCCAAAAGCTTCTTAATCTGATAAGCAACTTCAGCAAAATCTGAAATACAAAAATACAAAAGCAATGTGCAAAAATCACTACCACTGCTATACACCAACAACACGCAAGCAGAGAGCCAAATCCTGAATAATCCCCCATTCACAATTCCCACAAAAAGAATATAATACCCAGGAATAAAGCTAACAAGGAAAGCGAAGGACCTCTTGAAGGGGAACTACAAACCACTGCTCAAGGAAATCAGAGAGGACACAAACAAATGAAAAAAACATTCCATGCTCCTGAATAGGAAGAACTGATATTGTGAAAATGTCCATACTGCCCAAGGTAATTTATAGATTCAATGCTCTTCCCATTATACTACCATTGACATTTTTCACAAAATTAGAAAAAAAAAAAACCTTTTAAAATTCTTATGGAACCAAAAAAGACGCTGAATAGCCAAAGGAATCCTAAGTGAAAAGAACAAAGCTGGAGGCATCATGCTACCTGACTTCAAACTATACTACAAGGCTGCAGTAACCAAACAGCATGGTACTGGTACAAAAACAGACACATTGACCAATGGAACAGAATAGAGAATTCAGAAATAAGACAGAACATCTACTACCATTCTGATCTTTGACAAACCTGACAATAACAAGCAATGGGTTAAAGACACCCTATTTAATAAATGGTGCTGGGAGAATGTGGTAGCCATATGCAGAAAATTAAAGAATTAAAAATTGCTTACACCTTACACAAAAATTGATTCAAGATGGATTAAAGATTTAAATGTAAAAACAAAAACTATAAAAGTCCTAGAAGAAAATCTAGGCAATACCATTCAGGACATAGGCACAGACAAATATTTAATGACGAAAACATCAAGAGCAATTGCGACAAAAGCAAAAATTGATGAATAAGATCTAATTATATTAAAAAGCTTCTGCACAGCAAAAGAAACTATCATCAGTGTGAACAGACAATCTACAGTATGGGAAAACAATTTTGCAATCTATTTATCTGACAAAGGTGTAATATCCAGAATCTACAAGGAACTTAAACAAATTTTCAAAAAAAAAAGCAAACAATCCCATTAAAAATTGGGCAAATAACATGAACAGACACTTCTCAAAAGAAGACATTCCTGCAACCAAGAAACATATGAAAAAAAATCTCAACATCACTGATCATTAGAGAAATGCAAATGAGAACTACAGTGAGATACCATCTCACAACAGTCAGAATGGCGATTAAAAGTCAAGAAACAACAGATACTAGCAAGGTCGTGGAGAAAAAATAACACTTTTACACTCTTGGTGGGAATGTAAATTAGTTCAACCATTGTGGAAGAGAGTGTGGCGATTCCTCAAAGATCTAGAAGCAGAAATACCATTTTGACCCTGCAATCCCATTACTGGTTATATACCCAAAGGAATATAGACCATTCTGTTATAAAGATACATGCACTCATATGTTCATTGCAGCACTATTCATAATAGCAAAGACATGCAATCAACACAAATGCCCATCAATGATAGACTGGGTAAAGAAAATGTGATACATATACACCATGTACATATACACCATAGACTACTATACAGCCACAAAAAGGAATGAGATCATGTCCTTTGCAGGGATCATGGATGGAGTTGGAAGCCATTATCCTCAGCAAACTAATGCAGGAACAGAAAGCCAAATACCATATGTTCTCACTTATAAGTGGGAGCTGAATGATGAGAACACTCGGAAACGTGGGGACCTGTTAGGTGAGCGGGTAGAGGGAGAGCATCAGGAAAAATAGTAAATGGATGCTGGGCTTAATACCTGGGTGATGCATTGATCTGGGCCCCAAACCACCCTGGCACACGTTTACCTATGTAACAAACCTGCACATCCTGCACATGTAGCCCAGAACTTAAAAAGTTGAAGAGAAGAAAAAAACAAATCCAAATTCCTTAATATATATATTATATATACACATATACCATAGATTATATATACACATATACCATATCATTATATATATACACACCATATATATATATATCATTATATATACACATATACCATAGAATACTACACAGCCATAAAGAAGAATGAAATAATGAATTTGGTAGTAACTTGGGTGGAACTGGAAACCATTATCCCAAGTGTAATTACACAGGACTGGAAAACAAAATATCACATGTTTTTACTTATAAGTGAGAGCTAAGCCATGGGTACACAAAGGCATACAGAGTGGTATAATAGACAATGAAGCCACAGAACGGGGGATACTGGAAGAGAGCTAGGGATAAAATGTCACCTGTTGCATACAGTGTACACTATCCATTTGACAGGTACACAAAAAGCCCAGATTTCACCACTATATAATTAATGCATGTAACCAAAACCCACTTGTACCATTAAAGCTATTTATTTAAAAATTTAGGCAAGACTATGTGTAGGAAGTTATTATCAACCACAAATAGAAATGGTATTTCTAAATAATTGGAGTAAAGTAATTGTAAGTATGACATGGAGTAGAGCAGTATGTTTGCAGGATATTGAAATTGTTCTGAGTAGAATGAAGTATAATTCTTGAATAATACTAAGAGATGAAGTTGGTGGCATTAGTTAGGTAAGGCTTTGATGTGGATGAAATTAGACTGTACTTGGAAAACCATGTGGAGTAGCTTAGAAACAAAATGGTTAACCTATTCCTTTTCTGTTCTTTTATAATCAGCTTTATTTAGGTATAATTCAGTACAGAAAACTGAGCATATTTAATATATAGAATTTTAATAAGTTTAGAAATATGCATACACATGATTCCATCACCACAAAGTAATAAAAATATCCATCACCTACAAAAAATATAAAAATGGAATAAAAAGTAAGGTATCAAATTCAATATTAAGGAATTTGGATTTTAATCACTCAGAGGTTGCAAACTGGAGACCCATGAGCCAGAAAGTAGTTTTCTAATTTTAGGTAGGATACTTTTTCTACCACAGATTTAAAAAACACTAATAAAAAGTTATATGACAACAACATAGATTTCCACGTTGACTTGAAAAATAAGATCTGGCAAAGCTAAAACCTCAACTTTGTGTGATAAGTATAGGCTGTCCCCTTTAGATGAATAATGCATTTGCCTGCCTACTTCATTCATTTACCTTACATGAATGAATAGCACTGTAAGCATTTATATTTGTGACCTCTGACAGGGAGACAGAAAAGTTGCATTGTCAGATTTTTAATATAACAATAGCTTTCATATAGAACATTTTTGCTGTGTAAGACACTGTTTTAAATTGTTGAAATTGATTCTTTTAATTCTCACTTAACTCTGTGGGGGTGATAATATTACAATCCTCATTTTACAAATGTGATGGTTGAAAGGGAGGTTAGGCAACTTATTCAAGGTAAGTGGTTGAGCTAAGATACTAGCTCTAGTAGACCAACCCCAGAACCCCCAATTTTAACCATTTTAATAGCTATGCTATCTCCATTTTAGAAAAATTATTCTGACAGCCAATGTAGAGTAACATTGGAAGAAATCAGGTTAGAGGCAGAAGGATCAGTTAGAAGGATATTACAATAAATCGTGAGTGAAATAATGACAGCCTGACCTAGGAAAGAGGCAGTGGAGACAGAGTAAATAGGACAGATTTAAGAGTTTTAAGATAGTCTTAGGAGAAGCTGTGGTACAGCCTGACTACAGAAAGCTCTATGGCCTCTGACCTTAATTGATAGGACTTGAGATGACGTTGGTTGTAGAAGTAAGACACCAGAACCCCTTGACACCAATGGTTCACAAATGTACTACAAAACATTAATGTTAGGTTTTAAAACTCTCCTGCCCTGCTTAACTTGCTTTAATATATCACTCTGAGGAGAATACCAGGAAAATGCACATTCTTTATTCCTGGAGAGTATCTCTACTGAATCCCTGCTTGCTTTCCTTCCTCAGTAATATGAACTTGGTGACCTAGAGTCACTATCATTCTCAAATCAGCCAGCTCTTACTTCCTGTCCTCTGGATTCCATTATGGCCCTTCTTGCTCTTCTTTCACCAAGTCCCACCAAAATAACAAAGCCAGAAAAAAAGCCCTAAAGCCCAGAGCCTCCAAGTATTCCAAAAGCTGTGCTACCCTCAAACTTAGCTTAGCTGCTTTCACCTGAATAGGTGGGTGGAGCAAAGGAAGGATGTCTGCTTCAGGGTACAGTATTGTTCTGCCTGTTCCCAGTCTTTTCCTGTTTCTAGTAAGTATACATTGTTGTCATTGTTCGGCCTGTGCAGCATTTCCACAGTGCTCCATAGCCCATCTGTCCATCCCTTCTCCACAGTGCTTTATGCTTTCCAAGATTCCACCCAAAGAAGGCTGTGGGAAAGATGGTGAATTTGAGGTTAATTCATTGTTCCATGCTCTGCAGTAACTTCTAGAAATATCCTTGTTTACCTTACTAGAAATTGAATTCCAATCATAATTTTGGTGATAATCCTTGTGCAAGAAGGAAATGTTTCTTCAAGGTAATTTCCTCGTCTTAGAAGGAAAGGTTAATACCACCAAAATATAGACTTCTTTCTCTCATATTTTCAATTTGTTGTTTGATATTTTCAAAAGAAAAAAGACTGAAATGAAAGTATCCTGAGGAGTTGGGGTTTCATAAAAGCAGTGGCATGTGAATATGTATACACTGCTGCCAATAGTGTAGCCCTAATTAAGCACTTCAGTTCACAAACTGTGACCACTAAACTTTCTGTTGTTCTTTAGAACCTATTTTCTTGTCCAGAGAACTAAAGTGGATTACAGTATCCCCTGAACCACCTACTTTTGAACGTTGGTATTACTTAAAATAATTTTTTTTAATTATTTTGAGATGGAGTCTTGCTCTGTCGCCTAGGCTAGAGTGCAATGGTGCAATCTCGGCTCACTGCAACCTCCGCCTCCCGGGTTCAAGCCATTCCCCTGCCTCAGCCTCTGAAGTAGCTTGGATTATAGGCACACGCCACCAAGCCTGGCTATATTTTGTATTTTTAGTAGAGATGGGGTTTCACCATGTTGGCCAGGCTGGTCTCAAATTCCTGATCTCAGGTGATTCACCTGCCTCGGCCTCCCAAAGTGCTGGGATTACAGGCGTGGGCCACCGGGCCCGGCCTACTTAAAATAATTTTACCTCAGACTTCAAACGGTAAAAGGAGGTCATATGCTATGGAGGGGGGGAGAAGCCTAAGATTTTAAGGCAAATAACAGTTCGCACACTTATTAGGTACATAATTTGTGCACAAAGTGCATACTCTGTCCACACATCATCCATAATGCCTCCTTTTAGGGCACAAAGTGAGGAACCAGGCTTTAGTTGCATTAGGGACAATTGATTTAACCATGTCTCTTAGCCCAGGAATCATTAAGCAGGACCTAAAATACAGGATCTATAGTCATTTGTCCTTTACCACGGTGGCATCAAATTATGCACGGTGAATAGACCAGGAAAAGGTGCAATATTCAGAATATTTAATTGATAAGGTACATGCACTGACCAATCAGAATGGATGTCACTGCATGTATCAGTTTATACTGACCTGTCAGAACACAGATGCCTCTCAAACTCAACATGACCCAAATTAAATTAATTGTTCTCCCAATCCTATCTCCAAACCTTACCCTCCTCTATTCCCTATGTGTGATCATATTGTCCCCATCTGAGACATTAATTACCTGAAGCTCAGCGAAGTTGATGTCTGACCTGAGTATTAAATGAGGTAACACTTGTGGCATGTGACTCACAACAAGCACTCAGTAAATGTGAGTTTATTTTCTTATTGCCTGAAACAATTCTTACATAGTCCTATCATTCTGACCTCTTGACTTCTCCCACTGATCTTTCCCCACTGAAACTCCTTTTCATCCTTATACTGATTTCCAGTTCCTCAGCACATATGTGTTCTCTCGATCCATCAGCCCATTCAAAGCCTCACTTGCCTCCTTTCTGGCCTGCAGTCACTTAAATGGTAGACTAACTTCAATGGTATACTAACTAGCACCTTAAAACTTTTTCTGCCTTGGCCCTGTTCAAGCTCTAAATAGCCCTTTCTGGTGGCCTATACTATTTCTAAATTGATAAATATTGACAAAGAAGCATCACAGAACCTACTCTATTTCCTGGTATTCCCATCTCAGTGAATGGCAGACCTACACATAGTCAAAAATCTGGGAGTCATTTTTAACTTCTCTCTCACTCACCTCCCATATCCAGTTTGTCATCAAATCCTGTTGAATCAACTTCAAAACGTCTCTCAAAACTAACCCTTCTTCTCCATTCCCACAGCATTTGCTTTTTTGTTTTGGAAGCCATATCTTGCAAGATCACTGCAGTGTTTTCCTAATCAGTCTTTCTGACCTCAGCTTCAGTCCTTCCATTACAGCCTTTATATTGCTGCTTCACAAAGAGTAATCTTATTAAAGCTGGCCATACCAATTGCTGAAAATTCATCAATGTCTATCTATTATCTATAAAGATAGTACAAGGTACCAATCAAAACATACAAAGTCTTCTGTGATTTGGCATCCTCCCTTTTTATATTTCCCTACAGGAGTGCCTCTGTATCCATGTGGGATATGTACCAAGACCCCCAGTGGATGCCTGAAACCATGGATAGTACCAAACTTCATACATACTATGTTTTACTTTTCTCGTTCTGAGAACTGAGAAAGCTGTTAAGCAACTAGGATGCAGGTAGCGTGCACAGCATGGATAAGCTGGGCAAAGAGATGATTCACATCCCAGGAAGGATAGAGTGGGATGGTGCAAGATTTCATCACACCACTCCAAACAGTATGCAATTTAAAACTTATGAATTTTTTATTACTGGAATTTTCCACTTAATATTTTCAGACCATGGTTGACCATGAGAACTGAAACTGCCCAAAGTAAAACTGGATAACAAGGGATTACTGCACATCTCTCTCTCTCTCTCTCGCCCTATATGCTTCAGATTTATGGAACTGATTACAAGTTCTTGAACTAAGCCAAATTATATCATTACTCTTTGTCTTGGTTATCATGTGTCCTCTGTATAAAATATGCCAAGTCTGCAGTCTACCCAAGTCCAATTTTTATCTTTTAAGACAGATCCAAACATTCCTTAAGCCATACCCCTCTTTGCCTCTGTAGATATATGATTGCCTTCTTTGTAACCTCACTATATCCTTAATATGTTTATCTCCTAGAACTGATAACATTTATATGCTCTTATTTATATTGCTGCCTGTCCTTACTATTACAATGTGAGACAAAGTACGGGACCAGGACAAAAGTTATAGGGAGGCAATTTCAGCTTAACCTAAGCATGAGTTTTTTAATAATAAAAACTCAGGTTGTTTCTAGGTATGCATCTAAGTTTCCTTTAAAAAATGTAAAACAATGAGGCATGTGGTCTTCAAAGACATCCTCCTGAAGACTTCACTATGATGAAAGTGCTCAAAAATTTCAAACTGGTTGTGGCTACTTTCACCAAAACTCATCAAACTTAAAATGGGTGAATTTTATGGTACATAAACTATACTTTTCAATAACAAAAAAAGAAATCAGAAAACATGTGCTGGCATACATTTCCTCCTGATGAGATTTTTGTAAAGAAAATAACGAGTATACACAAAATTTTTAAAAGAAGGTTACCTGTTCTTTGAAATGCAGCCTTTTCCACACTAATTGTTAAAAGACGGAAAAACATCAACTTGTACATATGTCTGTATGTCTGCAGAAGGGAAACTAGAAACCATAGTGGTGAGATCTTCCAAATACAAATATTGGATAATGTTCCCTACATTTTTCATAGTTAAGAGGGTAATTGAAAAGCCACAAAACGGAAATACTACTTATATGGGATTGAGGACAAATCAAAATGAGAATGGAAACACAGAAGGCAAGGAGAAAAAGGAGAGGGAAAGACAGAAACATGTCTGTGTGTCTATCTTTCTACATGTATATCTATATATATATAGAGAGAGAGAGAATGTAAGAGAGAGTGAGAAAGCAAAGCAGAATGCCCCCTTTGAACCACTCCAACCATCAGATCATCAATGCCTTCTACCATGGAAGGACAGCCCATAATTATAACGTAGACCAAAAAAACCCAGCCAATCCAGCACAAATAATAGTCATCTCTGGAAAATGATAGAGCTCTCCTTGTCCTTACTATATAAAGAGGCTCCTGGACTGGTGCAATTCCCTTCCAAAAGGTCTCCCTGCTTCTACTCTCGTCTCCCACAATTTCAACTCTACTTAGCAGTGCAAGTGATCTTAAAACATAAATCAAATAATATCTCCCCCTTTCTTTATACCTTCCAATGGCTACCCTTTAACATTCAGAATAAAATTTAAGTCAACTTTAGCCAGTACACATAATAAAAGTGCATTCACAAGCAAGACGGCGGAATAGGAGTTTCCAGTGCTAATTTTCTCACAAAACATCCATTTGAACAATTATCTATGCATGAAAATACAATTACAAGAGATAGGGAAGTCACTGAGAGATTATAGCACTTTTGTGGAGCACACACACACACACACACGAAGGATGCATTGCAAGGGGTAGAAAGGACAGTTAACTCTACCTACATTTAAAAAGGAAAAAAGAATGAAGATAAAATAAATAAAATTATAAATAAAACTAATTACTACTGATACCACAAAAATTCCAAGGAACAATTAAATGCTAACAAATTGAAGAGCAAAGAAGAAATGAATACATTCCCAGACATACATTTACCAAGACTGAATGTACCTTGACATAATAAAGGCATATATAGCAAGCCCACAACTAACATCATACCCAACGGTGAAAAGCTGAAGACTTTTTCTCTAAGATTAGAAACAAGACAAGGTGTTCACTTCTGCTACCACTATTCATTCAACACAGTATAGAAGTCCTAGCCAGAGCAAGTAGACAAGACAAAGAAATAAAAGCCATCAAAATCATAAAGTAAAAAGTAGAATTGTCTCTGTTGGCAGATGACCTATCTTATACATAAAAATCTCTAAATACTCCACCAAATAAACTCTAAGACATAATAAACAAATTCAGTAAAGTTCAGGATACAAAATCAACATAGAAAATCAATTGCATTTTGGTACACTAAGAACAAATTCTGAAAGAGACATTAAGAATTATAATAATGACAAAAAGTATAAATTCTTTAGGAATAAACTTAACTGAGTGGGTGAAAGACCTGTACACCAAAAACTATGAAACACTGATGAAAGAAATTGAAGATGACACAAATAAATGGAAAGATATCCCATGTCCATAGATTAGAATTAATATTGTTAAAATGTCAGTACAACTCAATCTAATGATTCAATGCAATCCCTATGAAAATTCCAAAGGCACTTTTCACAGAAACACAAAAACAAAATCCTAAAGTTCATATGAAACCACAAAACATGCCGAACTGCCAAAGGAATCAGAAAACATGGGGTGTGTGTGTGTGTGTGTGTACACAAATGGACTACTAGTTAGCCTTAAAAATAAAGTTATTTGTGACAACGTAGATAAAAGTGGAGGTCATTATGCTAAGTAAAAGTGAAAAAAGCAAGCCACAAAACGAATACTGCATGATCTCACTTATATGTGAAATCTAAAAAAGTCAAACTCATAGAATCATAGAGAAGAATGGTGGTAATCAGGAGCTGGGGGAAATGGGACGATATTGAGTAAAAAGAACAAAGTTTCAGTTATGCACTATGAATAAGTTCCAGAGATCTAATGAACAGCATTGTGACATTGTTCATCATACTGTAATGTGTACTCAAAATCTGCTAAAAGAACAGATATTAAATATTCTCACTACCAAAAAAGGTAACTATGTGAAGTGATATGTTAATTAGCTTGATTGTGGTAATCATTTCACAATGTATAGATATATGAAAATATGAATACATGTTTTTTTGTTTTTTTGAGTCGGAGTTTCACTCTTGTTGCCCAGGCTGGAGTGCAATGGCGTGATCTCAGCTCACCGCAACTTCCACCTCCCAGGTTCAAGCGATTCTCCTGCCTCAGCCTCCCGAGTAGCTGGGATTACAGGCATGCACCACCATGCCTGGCTAATTTTATATTTTTAGTAGAGATGGTGTTTCTCCACGTTGGTCAGGCTGGTCTCAAACTCCTGACCTCAGGTGATCCGCCCGCCTCAGCCTCCCAAAGTGCCGGGATTACAGGCGTAAGCCACCGCGCCTGGCCATGAATACATTTTTATGTGTTAATTATACCTCAATTTTTTTTTAAAAAAGTCAGCCATTCCCTTCATCAAAAGAGGCCTATTATACAAATGAGGACACAAGGGGTCCTGCATGATATAATGTATTGGCCAAATTCTGCCACCTGTTCTTGTAGTGCCTGCAAGGTAATAACGGTTTTAAAATTTTTTAATGATTAAAAATTTCAAAAGAAAAACACTATTTTGCGAAACATGAGAATTATATAAAATTCAAATTTCAGTGTTCATAAAGTTTCATGCAAACACACAAAGTGCATCTGCCCTATGCTGAAAGGATAAAAGTCCCAATATGTGGAATGAGGATGAAATTCGGGACTTTAGTAAAAGTCCCAAAGTGTAGATTGAGGAGAGACATTTAAAATCAAATAAAGAAATTTATTAATAAATGCATATTTTATTATACATTCCTTATTTGTTAAAAGATCCTTCTTACCTTTCTGAATTCCTCTCCTACTCTTCCCCTTGTTCACCACATTTGCATTACCCTTAAATCCTCCCAACATGCCAAATGCATTCTCTCTTCAGGGTCTTGCACTTATCTTCCTTCCTGGAACACTATCCCTGCTCCAAACTTTTGTCTTTGTTGGTTCCTTTTTATCTTTTAGATCTCAACTCAAATGTAATCATCTCACAGAGGCCAGACCACCCTGTGTGGCCTCCTCTAGTCATCCTTTTTCACTATATCCTACGTTTCCTTCATAACACATTTTACAGTTTGTATCATACTGATTGTTTTTTCATTAATTTTCTGTTTATCAGAATGTAATCCCATTTACAATAGCTACAAATATAATTTTTAAACCTAGGAATTAATCCAACCGAAGAAATGAAAGACCTCTATAATGAAAACTGTAAAACACTGAGGAAAGAAATCAAAGAGGACACAAAAACTTGCAATGATATTCTATGTTCATGGATTGGAAGAATCAATATTATTAAAATGTTCACACTACCCAAAGGTAGTCTGCAGATTAAATGCAATCTCTACAAAAATGCTAATGACATTCTTTACAGAAAGCTTGTTTGTCTTCACTTACTAGACTATAATATCTGTAAAGGCAGAAGCCAAGTATGTCTTATTCATTGCAGTTCTCCAGCACCTAGTTAAGTACCTGGCACATAATATGTGGTAATAAATATGGATTAAATGAATAAGTAAATACTACTCATCAGAATGCTTTTCAGCAAATATTTATTTATCTGAAGGTTTATGTTAATACATGTATTTATTTTTATAAATGACCAAACACAGTGTATTCAATCTTCTTTGTGAAAAATTAATAAAGAAATGATCCTAGCTACCCTGCACCTACACTATCTCTATTTTTTCCTTATTATTGTTTATTATTGGATCCTCATACTCCAGTATGCAATGCTTGACATATATAATAAAATTTTGATAAATATGGGCTGGAATATTTTTTTTCAAAATTCTACAACTCTTTTTCTATTTCTGTTTCAACTTTTATTTTAGGTTTGGAGGTACATGTGCAGGTTTGCTAAGTGAGTAAATAGCATGTCACTGTGATTTGATGTGCAATGAGGCAGTGAGCATAGTACCCAACAGGTAGTTTTTTGACCCTCAACCTCCTCCCACCCTCTCTCTCAAGTAGGTTCTGGTGTCTACAATTCCCTTCTTTTTATCCATGTGTACTCAATTCCTCATAAGCTCCCACTTACGAAAGAGAATATGTGGTATTTGGTTTTCTGTTCCTGTATTAATTCACTTAAAATAATGGCCTCCAGCTGCATCCATGTTGCTGAAATGAACATTGTTTTGTATTTTATGCCTGTGTACTATTCCATGGTGTATATGTACCATATTTTATTTATCCAGACCACCGTTGATGAGCATCTAGGTTGATTTCAAGTCTTTGCTATTGTGAATACTGCTGCTATGAACAAACAACTGCAGGTGTCTTTATGGTAGAACAATTCGTGTTCTTTTGGGTGTATATCCAGAAATGATACTGCTGACTTGAATGGTATTTCTGTCTTTGAGAATTCTTCAAACTACATTCCACAGTGGCTGAACTAATTTACACTTCCACCAACAGTGTATAAGCATTCCCTTTTCTCCAAAATCTAATAAACTTTTGTTATTTTCTGACTTTTAAATAGCCATTCTGACTGGTGTAAGATGTTATCACATGGTGGTTTTGATTTTTATTTCTCTAATAATCAGTGACGTTGAGAATTTTTCATATGCTTGTTGATAGCATGTATGTCCTCTTTTGAGAGGTATCTGTTCATGTCTTATGCCCATTTTTAATGGGGTTGTTTTTTCTTGTTAATTTAAGTTCCTTATGGATTCTGGATATTAGATCTTTGTCAAATGCATAGTTTGCAAATAACTTCTCCCATTTTGTAGGTTGACTGTTTACTCTGTGATCATTTCTTTTGCTAGGTAGAACCTCTTTAATTTAATTACTTCCCACTTGTCAATTTATGTTTTTGTTGATATTGCTTTTGGAGTCTTTGACATGAAATCGTTGCCATGGCCTATGTCCAAAATAGTATGTCTTAGGTTTTCTTCTAGGGTTTATACAGCTTTAGGGCTTACATTTGAGTCTCTAATCCATCTTGAGTTGATTTTGTATATGAAAAAAGACAAGAGTCCAGTTTCAATCTTCTGCTTATGGCTAGCCAGTTATGCTATCACCACTACTTGAAAAGGTTATTCATTGTTTGTTATTGAAATTTTGTTGAAGATCAAATGATTGCAGGTGTGTGGCTTTGTTTCTAGGTTCCCTAATCTGCTCCATTGGTCTGTTTCTGTTTTTGTATCAGTACCATGGTGTTTTAATTACTGTATTCTTGTAGTACAGTTGGAAGTCAAGTAGTGTGATGCCTCTGGCTTTGCTTCTTTTGCTTAGAATTCCTTTGGCTATTCAGGTTCTTTGTTGGTTCAATATGACTCTTGGAATAGTTTTTCCAAATTCTGTGAAAAGTAACCTTGTTAGTTTCATAGAAATAGAATTCGATCTGTAAATTGCTTTGGGCAGTATGGTTATTTTAACAATATAGATTTTTCCTATCCATGAGTATGAAATGTTTTCCATTTCATTGTGTTGTCTCTGATATCCTTCAGCAGTTTTTCTGTAATTTAAAATTTTTATGGGTACATAGCAGATGTATATATTTAAAAGGTACATGAAATATTCTGATAAAGAAAGCCAATGCATAACTATCACATCAGGGTAAATGTAGTATTCATCACCTCAAGCATTTATCCTCTGTGTTACAAAGAATCCAGTTATACTCTTGTCATTATTTTAAAACATAAAATTAAATCATTATTGACTATGATCACCCTCATGCTGTCAAATCCTACATCTTATTCTTTCTATTTGTTGTACTCATGAAACATCCTCACACCCCTCTCCAATGCCCCACTACCCTTTCAAGCTTCTTGTAACCATACTTCCACTCTCTATCTCCATGAATTCTATTGCTTTTATTTTTAGCTCCCACAAATAACTGAGAACATGCAAAGTTTGTCTTTTCATGCCTGGCTTATTTCACTGAAAATAATGACCTCCAATTCCATCCATTTTATTGCCAACGACAAGACTTTTTTATGGCTGAATGATACACTATTGTGTATATGTACCACATTTTCTTTATCCATTCATCTGTTGACAGACACTTAGGTTGCTTAAAAATCTTGGCTAATGTAAATAATTCTGCAATAAACATGAGAGTGCAGATATCTCTTTGATATACTGATTTCCTTTCTTTTGGGTATATATCTAGAAGTGGGATTGCTGGATTTTATGGATTTTATGGAGAACCAAATGGTTCTCCATAATGGTTATACTAATTTACATTCCCATCAACAGTGTGTAAGGGTGCCCTTTTGTCCATATCCTCACCAGCATTTATTTCCTGTCTTTTAAATAAAAGCTATTTTAATGGAAGTGAGATGATACCTCATTATAGTTTTGATTTGCGTTTTTCTGATGGTAAATGACATTGAGCACCTTTTCATATGCTTGTCTGTCATTTGTATGTCTTCTTTTGGGAAATGTCTATTCAAATCTTTTTCCCATGTTTTGATCAGATTATTAGATTTTTTTTCCTATAGAGTTGTTTGAGCTCCTTATTATGCTGGTTATTAATCCCTTGTCATATGGGAAGTTTGCAAATATTTTATCTCATTTTGTGGGTTGTCTCTTCATTTCGTTGATTGTTTCCTTTGCTGTACAGCTTTTTAAATTGATGTAATCTATTTTTCCATTTTTGTTTTAGATGCATGTTTTTGTGGGGTATTACTCAAAAAATCTTTGCCACTCTAATGTTCTGGGGAGTTTCCTCAATGTTTTCTTGTACTAGTTTCATAGTTTGAGGTCTTAGATTTAAGTCGTTAATCAATTTTGATTTGATTTTTGTGTATGGCAAGAGATAAGGGTATAGTTTTTTGAGTCTGCTTATAAATATCCAGCTTTGCCAGCACAATTTATTGAAGAGACTGTCCTTTCCTCAATGTATGTTCTTGGCTTTTGTCAAAAATGAGTTCACTGTAAATGCATTAATTTATTTTTGAATTCTCCATTCTGTTCCATTTGTGCTATGTGCCTATTTTTATGCCAGTACCATGTTGTTTTGCTTACTACAGCTCTGCAGTGTAATTTTAAGTATGGTAGTGTGATTCCTCCAGTTTTCTTCTTTTTGCTCAGGATGACTTTGGCTATTCTAGGTCTGTTGTGACTCCATATAAATTTTATGATTTTTGTTCTATTTTTGTAAAGAATGTCATTAGCATTTTCGTAGAGATTGCATTTAATCTGCAGACTACCTTTGGGTAGTGTGAACATTTTAACAATGTTGATTCTTCCAATCCATGAACATAGAATATCATTGCAAGTTTTTGTGTCCTCTTCAATTTCTTTCCTCAGTGTTTTACAGTTTTCATTATAGAGATCTTTCATTTCTTTGGTTGGATTAATTCCTAGGTTTAAAAATTATATTTTTAGCTATGGTAAATGGGATTACATTCTTGATTTCTTTTTGAGATTGTTTGCTAGTGGCATATAGAAGTCCTACTGATGATTGCATGTTGATTTGATCTCTTACAACTTTGCTGAATTTACCCATTGTAATAGTTTTTTCGTGGTGTCTTTAGGTTTTTCCAAATATAAGATCATATCATCTGCAAACAAAAACAGTTTGACATCTTCCTTTCCAATTTGGATGCCCTGTATTTCTCCAGCCTGACTGCTCTAGCTAGGACTTGCAGTACTACGTTGAATAACAGTGGTGAAAACAGGTATCCGTGTGTTTCTGATCTTAAAGGTTTTGGTTTTTCCCTACTTATTATGATACTGGTTGTGAATCTGTTGTATTTGACTTTTATTACATTGTGGTCTGTTTGTTCTATACCCAGATTTTGTTGAGGGTTTTTATAATGAAGGGATGTTGAATTTTATCAAATTTTTTTTTCAGCATCAATTGAGATGATCATATGGTTTTTGTCCTTCATTCTTTTGCTATAGTGTATCACATTGATTGATTTATACATGTTAAAACAGTCTTGACCCCTTGGAATAAATCCACTTAATCATGATGAATGATCTTTTTAACGTATTACTGAATTTGGTTTGCTAGTTAATGTTGTTGAGGATTTTCAATTCAATGTTCATCAGAGAAATTGACTTGGAGTTTTTTTAATGTGTTTTTGTCTGGCTTTGATATGAGAGTAATACTGGCCTCATAGAATGAGTTTGAAAGTATTCCATCCTTTATTTTCTGGAATAGTTTCAGTAGAAATAATATGAGTGCTTCTTTAAATGTTTGGTACAATTCAGCAGCACAGTCATTGAGTCATCAGATTTTCTTTGTGGGGAGACTTTTAAATGCAGCTTTGATCTCATTACTTATTACTGGTCTGTTCAGGTTTTGAATTTTCTCAATGTAGATACGTTGTATGTTTCTAAGAATTTATCAATTTTTTATAGATTTTACAATTTATTGGTGTATAATTGTTTATATTAGCCTGTAATGTTTCTTTGGATTTCTGTGAAATGAATTGTAATGTCTGCTTTTAAATCTCTAATTTTATTTATTTGGGTCTTCTCTCTTTTTCACTTAGTAAGTCTGGCTAGAGGTTTGTCAGTTTTATCTTTTAAAAAACCACAACTTTTTGTTTCATTGATCTTTTGTGTTGTTTCTTCATTTCATTTTCATGTATTTCCGCTCTTTGTTATCTCTTCTACTAATTTTGGGTTCGGTTTGCTCTTGCCCTCCTAGTTCTTCAAGATGCATCATTAAATTGTTTATTTGAAGTATTTCTTTTTTTCACATAGTGGCTTATAGTTATAAACTCCCCTATTAGGACTGCTCTCACTGCATCCTGTAGGTTTAGATATGTCATGATTCCATTTTCACTTGTTTCAAAAAAATTTTCAATTTCTTTCTTAATTTCATCTTTGACCCACTGGTCATTCAGGAGCATATTGTTTAATTTCCATGTGCCTGTATAATTTCCAAAATTGTTCTGTTTTTGATTTCTGGTTTTATTCCATTGTGATCACAGAAGATTCTTGATATTATCTCAATTTTTAAATGTTTTAAGACACATTTGTAGCCTAACATATGGCCTATCCATGAGACTGAACCATGTGCTAAGGAGAAGAATGTATATCCTGCAGCCATTCAATTGAATGTTCTGTAAATATCTATTAGATCCATTTGGTCTATAGTCCAGATTAAGTCCAATGTTCCTTTGTTAATTTTTCTATCTAGAAGGTCTGTCCAATGGTGAAAGTGAGATGTTGGTGTCTCTAGTTATTATTGTATTGGCATCTCTCTCTCTTTAGCTCTAATTATATTTGCTTTATATAGCTGATTGCAACAGTGTTGGGTGCATATATATTTACAATTGTTATAACCTCCTGCTGAATTGACCACCTTATCATTACATAATGACCTTCTGTATCAGTCTGTTTTCATGCTCCTAATAAAGATGTATCTGAGACTAGATAATTTATAAAGGAAAGAGGTTTAATTGAATCACAGTTCCACATAGCTGGGGAGGCCTCACAATCATGGCAGAAGATGAAGGGGAAGCACACAACATCTTACATCACAGCAGGCAAGAAAGCATGTGCAGAGGAACTGCCCTTTTATAAAACCATCAGATCTCGTGAGACTCATTCACTATCACAAGAACAGCATGGAAAAAACCCACCCCCATAATTCAATTACTTCCCACTGGGTCCCTCCCATGACATGTGGGGATTATTACAATTCAAGGTGAGATTTGAGTGGGGACACAGACAAATCATATAACCTTCTTTGTCTCTTCTTATACTTTTCACCTTAAAAATCTATTTTCACTGGTATAACTACTCCTGCATTTTTTGGTTTCCACTGCCAAGATATTAATCTTTTTCATCCATTTATTTCAGTCTACGTGTGTCTTTCTAGGAGAAGTATATTTCTTGTAGGAAACAAATTATTGCATTTTTTTAAATCCATTCAGCCACTTGATGTCTTCTGATTGCAATGTCTAGACCATTTACAGTCAATGTTACTATTAATAAGTAAGTCCTTCCTCCTGCCATTTTTTATTTGATTCCTGGTTGTTTTGTGATCTTCAATTCCTTTTTTCCTTCCTTCATGTCTTCCTTTTAGTGAAAGTGATTCTCTTGTAAATATCCATTAGACACATTTGGTCTATAGTGTAGATTAAGCCCAATGTTTCTTTGCTGATTTTCCATCTGGAAGGTCTGTTTTAATTTCTTGCTTCTCACTTTTTGTGTATCTATTGTATGTTTCTTGATTTGAGGTTACCATAAGGCTTGCAAATACTATCTTAAAATCCATTATTTTAAACTGCTGACAACTTAACACTGATTGCATGAACAGACAAGCAATAAGAAAACTAATAAAAACTCTACACTGTAACTTCATCTCCCCACTTTTAAAATTTGTGGGTTTGTTTCCATTTATATCTTATTGTACTGTCTATGTCTTGAAAAGTTGTCTTAGTTATTATTTTTTATTGGTTCATCTGTTTGTCTTTCTATTTAAGGTAAGTGTAGTTTACAAACTACAATTATAATGTTATAATATTATGTGTTTTTCTATGGACTTACTATTACCCGTGAGTTTTGTACCTTCAGATTATTTCTTAATGCTCATGAATGTCCTTTCCTTTCTGATAGCAGAATTCTCTCTATCATTTCTTGTAGGATGGGTCTGGTGTTGGTGAAATCCCTCAGCTTTTGCTACTTTAGGACAGTCTTTATATCTCCTTCATGTATGAAGTATATTTTCACTGGCTACAGTATTCTAAAGTTTTTTTTTTTTTCCTGTAGCACTTTAAATACATGCCACTCTTTCCTGTCCTGTAAGATTTTCACTGAAAAGTCTGCTTCCAGAGGTATTGGAGCTTTACTGTATATTATTTGTTTCTTTTCTCTTGCTGCTTTTAGAATCCTGTTTTTATTCTTGAACTTTGAGAGTTTGATTATTAAATGCTTTGAGACAATTGTTGGTTAAATCTGCTTTGTGTTCTGTAACCTTCTTGTACTTGGATATTAATATCTTTCCTTAGGTTTGGGAAGTGCTTTGTAATTACCCCTTTGAATAAACTCTCTATCCACATCTTGTCTACCTCCCCTTTAAGGCCAATAACTTTTAGATTTTCTCATCTGAGGCTAATTTCCAGGTCTTGTAGGTGTTCTTCTTTATTTTTATTCTTGTCCCTCTGACTGTGTATTTTCCTATAGCCTTTCTTCAAGCTCACTAATTCTTCTTTCTGCTTGATCAATTCTGCTATTAAGAGACTCTGATGCATTCTTCAGTATGTCAACTGCATTTTTGAACTCTAATTTTTTTCTTGATTGTTTTTCATTAATCTCTGTTAAATTTATCGGATAGAATTCTGAATATTTTCTTTGTGTTATCTTGAATTTCATTGAGTCTCCTTAACACAGTTATTTTGAATTCTCTGTCTGAACGGTCACATATCTTTGTTTCTCCAGGATTTGTCCCTGGTGCCTTCTTTAGCACGTTTGGTGAGGGCATGTTTTCCTGGATGGTCTTTTTGCATGTGGATGTTCATCAGTGACTGCAAATTGAAGAGTTGAGTATTTATTGCAGTCTTTGCAGTCTGGGCTTCTTTGTACCAATACCTCTTGGGAAGACTTGCCAGGTATCTAAATGGACTTTGGTAGTGTGATCTAAGTTTTTGGTCACTGCAGACATATCTGCATTAGTGGGCACCCCAGGTCCAGTAATGCAGTAGTTCTTGCAGACTCATAGAGGTAATGCCTTTCTGATCCTAGATAAGTTGTGGAAGAATTATCTGGATTACCTGACAGAAACTCTTGTTCTGTTCCCTTGTTTTCTTCCAAATAGAGTCTCTCTCTCCATGGACAACTGTCTTGGACTGGTAGAGGAATGACACATGCACCCATGTAGCTACCATCATTGCGTCTGTGCTGGGACAGACCTGAAGCCAGCAAAGCACTTGGTCTCACCCAAGGCCTCCATAACCACTACCTAGCTAATGCTTATGTTTTCCTAATGCCCTAGGGCTCCACAATTAGCAGATGGTGAAGCCAGACAGGTGAGTTTCTCCAGGTCTGGGCCAAGTCCAGACATGCCATCTGGGAACCAGGGACTGGAGTCAAAAACCTTAGAGATCTAACTGGTACTGTTTTCTACTGCAGCTAAGCTGGCACTCAAGCCACAAGACAATGTCCTTCACACTCTTGCCTCCTTCTTCCACAGTCAGACAAGTCTCTCCACATGCCACCACCACCAATAGCCCATGGGGAGTGCTGTAGGCTAACATTGATATTCACTTAAGGCCCAAATGTTCTTCAATCAGCTTGTGGTGAATGCTGCCAGGCCCGAGACACAAACTTCATATCAGTGGGCTGCCCTCTGAGCCAGAGTAGGTCCAAAATAGGCAGTGTTTTGCAATTCTAATTGTAAAGACGTTTCACCTCCCTGGTTATCTCTACACTTAGGTATTTTATTCTTTTGTGGGTATTGTGAATGCGATTGAGTTCTTGACTTGGCTCTCAGCTTGAACATTATTTGTGTATAGAAATCCTATTAATTTTTGTACATTGATTTTGTATCCTGAAACATTACTGAAGTTGTTAGTAAGGTCTAACAGCCTTTGTGCAGAGACTATGATGTTTTCTAGCTATAGAATTATATCATCTGTGAAGAGAAATAGTTTGACTTCCTCTCTTCCTATTTAGAGTCCATTTATTTCTTTCCCTTGCCTGATTGTTCAGGTTAGCACTTCCAGTATTATGGTGAATAGAAGTGGTGAGAGTGGGCATTCTTGTTTTACTCCAATTCTTAGGGGGAAGGGGTCCAGCAATTGCCCATTCAGTATGATGTTGGCTGTGGGTTTGTCAGAGATGGCTCTTGTTACTTTGAGGTATGTTTCTTCCATGCCTAGTCTGTTGAGGGTTCTTAACACGAAGGAATACTGAATTTCATTGAAAGCCTTTTCTTCAACTATTGTCATCACCATGTGTTTTTGTAGTTCTGTTTATGTGATGATCACATGTATAGATTTGTATATGTTGATCCAAGTTTGCATGCCAGGAATAAAGCCTACCTGATCATGGTAGACCAGCTTTCTGATGTGCTGGTTAATTTGATTTTGTTGAGGATTTTTGTGTCTGTGTTAATCAGGGATATTGGCCTGGAGTTCTCTTTCATTGTTGCTGTGCCAGGTTTTGGTATCAGAAAGATTCTGGCCTCATAGAATGAATTAGGAAGAAGTCCTCCTCAATTTTTTGGAATAGTTTCAGTAGGATTGGTACCAGGTCTTTTAAATATGTCTGGTAGAATTTAGCTGTGAATCCTTCCAGTGGAAGGCTTTTTCTGGTTGATAGGTATTTTTTATTAGGGATTCAATTTGGGAAGTCTTTATTGGTCTGTTCAGGGTGTCAGTTTCTTCTTGGTTCAATCTTGAAAAGTTGTGTATTTCCAGGAATTCACGAATATGTTCTAGGTTTTCTAATTTGTGTACATAGAAGTGTTTGTAATAGTCTCTGGTAGTTTTTATGTATTTCTGTGGGGTTGTGGTAATGTCATCTTTGTCATTTCTGATTGTGTTCATGTGGATCTTTCCTCTGTTATTCATTTGTCTATCTAGCAGTCTATCAATCTTATTTATTCTTTCAAGAAACCAACTTTTGATTTCATTGATGTTTTGTATAGATTTTGTGTGTGTGTGAGATAGGGTCTCACTCTGTCACCCAGGCTGGAGTGCAGTGGCACAATCTTGGCTCACTGCAACCTTCACCTCCCAGGCTCCACCAATTCTTCCACTTCAGCCTCCCAAGTAGCTCAAACTACAGGCACTCACCATCACATTTGGTTAATTTTTGCATTTTTTTATACAGGTGAAGTTTCACCATGTTGCTCAGGCTGGAATCAAACCCCTGGGCTCAAGTGATCCACCTGTCTTGGCCTCCCAAAGTGCTGGGAATACAGGTGTGAACCTGTATGAATTTTTGCATCTCAATTTCATTCAATTTAGCAATGATTTTTGTTATTTTTCTTTGGCTACTTTTGAGGTTGGTTTGCTCTTTTTTTCTCTAGTTCCTCTAGGTGTGATGGTAGGTTGTTAACTTTAGATCTAAGTTCTCGATGTGGGTGTTTAGTGCTATAAACTTTCCTCTTAACTCTGTTTCAGAGGTGTCCCAGAAATTATGGTATGTTGTATCCCTGGTTTCATTAGTTTCAAATAATTTCTTGATTTCTGCCTCATTTACATTCGAGGCAGGTCATTAGAGAGCAGGCTGTTTAATTTCCATGTAATTTTATGAGTTTTGAGAGATCTTCTTTGTATTGATTTCTATTTTTGTTGCATTATGCTCCAAAAGTGTAGATGGAATAATTTTGGCTTTTTTAAAAAAAATTGTTGAGAATTGCCTTATGGCCAAGTGCATGGTTGATATTAGAGTATGTGTCATGTGCAGATGACACGAATATATACTCTGTTATTGGGTGGAGTATCCTGTAAATGCCTGTTAGGTACATTTGAACAGGTATCCAGTTTACATCCCAAATATCTTTGTTCGTTTTCTGCCTTTATGATATGTTTAACACTGTTTGTGGTGTGTTGAAGCCTTTCACTATAATTGTGTGGTTATCTTGATCTCTTCATATGTGTCCAAGAACTTGTTTTATGTATCTGGGTGCTCCAGTGTTGAATGAATATATATTTAGAAATGATTTTTTTTTATTTTCAGAGGGGGAGTGTCTTCAGTAATTTTATTGTAACAGAGAAGCCAGGCTGCAATAAGTCTACATGATTAGAGCAGATAGTGATTCTTTCCAAAGGGTGTAGCTTGATCCCAGCTGGCAGCACATAAAGCCTAGAATATCCTATTTCCTGGTACTGCCCTGTGCCACCTAACTCATGATGTGAAATGAGTGACTGCACAACTACATTCAACAAAGAGAGTAGGTCCAACTGGGCAGAGACAACATCTCAACAGAAGACAAATATACAATCCTTGAAGAGGATGCTGAGATAAAGTGCAGTTACCTACTCTCCACTATTCTTTGCTGAGAAAGGTGATGGTAAGGCATCAGCAGAAAATTATGTTCTTTATTTTTAAATAAATCCCAACAGGATGGGGTTGATGATCAATCAAGCAGTAGAATGGAATGAAAATCTACATTAGTTAAAAATCTTTGTGCATAAGGAAAAAAACAACAATGACAAGGGAGAAGAGAGAGCCTTCTCTTTTTCTTAAATAAGACAGAAAACAACATCTTTTATTTTCCTTGCTGTAATGTCAGCATACTGATTGGTTTTCATAAAATGCAATTTCTGCAATATGGTCTCTTTTTAAGGTTGCTCCATCATGGGAGGACAGACACAGTGCTGACTGTTCATGATAGAAGTAGGTCTTCTCTCAAAGCTTCCAATGTGTGCTATTTCTCATGAGGAACCCTGACACTGTATTACACTTCAGTTAAAGCTTCTGAAATATTGCAATGGCATAACTGACAGGTTTTTTGGTGTGATGACTTTCTTGCATGTATAAACTCTTTGAGAAAAGTTGGGAGATAAAAGGACAGGGGAGAGTTTGGTTTAGAGCCACAATGTTCCAGACACCAAACATGGATGTCTCTGCCCTATGTCACTACATGTTCTTTTCTGAGAAACATTCAATTGCTGAATGTTGTTACACAATGCAGCTGAAAGAAATGATCTACTCACCACCATCCACCTTCTGTCATCCTCTTTGTGAAGCTCCCAATAGCAGAGACTGAAGACAGAAAGGTTGTTTCTGTTTCCTTGCACCAGTGATATTACTTGGTGACCTGATGAAAGGCATGGGCAAGGTAGCCCATGTTGCTGAAGGTGACCCCTGCCACAGAGATGTGGCCATCTTCTACCATGTAGATGGAGAACTCATTGGTCAGCTGCTCCACCTGATCAGGCTTTAGCCCTGTGAAACAAAACATGCCAATTTTGTCAGTTATGTGTTGCCAGATGTGGGTAGAACCCTCCTTCTTTAGGTTGGAGACCAGCTGAGTCTGCATGTTAATGATGTGGTTGGCCATGCTTTTCACTTCTTGCAACCATTGTTTTTGCAAATTTCGGTGTTAAGAATGGTAGAAGCAATCTGGGCTCCATTGAGGGGAGGATTATAATACATGGGACAGATCAAGATCTTCAACTGCTGACTCTACATTTTTGGCTTCATCTGTATCTTTGCAAACCACAGTGAAGGCTCCCACACACTTGCCAGATAACTCCATGTTCTTGGCTTATGATTGGTAGAGACAAAAATTAATGCTCTTTGATGAAGTGGTGCACAGCCCAGGCATCCTTGTTACAATCATCACTAGCAAACCCTTGCTAGGCCATGTCAAAGAATGCAAAGAGATTATTTTTCTTCACCACTGTTGCTATTTCTTTTCACTGCTCTAGACGAGGTTCCACTCCCATGGGATTATGGGCACAGGCATGCAGAAAAACACTTTGCTCTGGTATTTTTGAAATGTCCTCCATACGACCTGTGAAGTCAAACACCAAGTCTTGGGGTCATAGTAACAATAAATTTGTAGCTGCATGCCAGCATCCCTGAAGATGGGTGTGTGATTTCCCCAGGATGGTTTGGACATCCTGGCTGAGCTTAAAAAATCTTTGCAGAAAACAGGCTCTGATCGTTAAGGTCGCAGTTCCAGAAATGGTATGCACAGTGAATAACTGGACATTTTTCAACACTTCACTATTCTCACCCAGGGCTAGTTCTGCAGATGCCGTGCAAAATTCAGCCAGACCCCCAATGGGCAGGTATTCTTTGTCCAAATTTTTTGTGGCAATCTGGGCCTCTTCCTTGTTGACATTAAGCAGCATGTAAGGCTTTCCATTATCATCCCAGTAGACACAAACTCCCAGATTCATCTTTTTGCTATCGGTGTCCCTCTTAAAGGCTTTGGTGACTCCCAGGATGGGATCTGGAAGTCCCATCTCCACATAGGTCCACCAGGACCTCTGGCAGAGGCTGTGGTGGTGAGGCCTGGGTGGAAGGCAGTGGGGATCCTGGAGAGGACATGGCTGGAGTGCAGCAGGGCCACGCTGGACAGTAGGAGGGCAGTGGGCAGCCACAGGACAGAGTGGAGGGAGAGTGGGCCATATTTAGAATTGTTAAGTCTTGTTGAATTGAATGAATTGAACCTTTATCATCATGTATTGCTTTTCTTTTTTTTTAATCGTTGGTTTAAAGTCTATTTGGTCTGAAATAAGAATAACAACCCCTACTCTCTTTTGCTTTCTGTTTTCCTGATAAACCTATCTCCATTCCCTTACATTGAACCTATGGGTGTCATTTCATATGAGATGGGTCTCTTGAAGACAGCATACAGTTGTGTCTAGCTTCTTTATCCGGCTTGATACTCTGTGCCTTTTAAGTTGGGCATTAAGCCACTGTAATTTCAAGGTTAGTCTGATATGTGAGAAATTGGTCCTGTTATCATGTTGTTAGTTGGTTGTTATGTAGACTTGATTGCATAGTTCCTCTACAGTGTCATTGGGATATGTACTTAAGTGTGTTTTTGTGGTGCCACATACTGGTATTCCATTTCCACATTTAGCACTCCCTTAAGAGCTTCTTCTTTCTTCTTCTTCTTCTCCTTCTCCTTCTCCTTCTTCTTCTTTTCTCCTTCTCCTTCTTCTTTTTTTCTCCTTCTCCTTCTTCTCCTCCTCCTCCTCCTTCTTCTTTCCTCCTCCTTCTCCTCTTCCTCTTCCTTTTCTTCTTCCTTTTCTTTTTTTGACAGAGTTTCACTCTTGTTGCCCAGGCAGGAGTGAAATGGCATGCTCTTGGCTCACCGCAACCTCTGCCCCTGTGATCACGTGATTTTCCTGCCTCTGCCTCCCGAGTAGCTGAGATTATAGGCGTGCACCACCACACCTGGCTAATTTTGTATTTTTAGTAGAGACGGGGTTTCTCCATGTTGGTCAGGCTGGTTTTGAACTCCTGACCTCAGGTGATCCACCCACCTCAGCCTCCCAAAATGCTGGGATTACAGGCGTGAGCCACTGCACCCAGCCAAGGACTTCTTCAGAGGCAAGTTTTGTGGTACTGAATTCTCCTATCACTTGCTTGTATGAAAAGAATCTTATTTCTCCACTTATGAAGCTTAGTTTGGCAGGATATGAGATTCTTGGTAGAAATTTCTTTTCTTTAGTGATGCTTATAGGCCTCCAATGTCTTCTGGCTTGCAAGTCTCTGCTGAAAGACTCACTTAAGTTAGCTTAATGGGGTTCCCTTTGTACATGACCTGCCCCTTCTTTCTAGTTGCGTTTGTGATTTTTTTCTTTCATGTTAACTGGAGCATCTGATGACTATGTGTCTTAGGAATGGTCATCTCCTATAGTAATTTGCAAAGTTTTTTTTTTTGCATTTTCCTAAATTTGCATTTCAATCTCTCCAATGAAGTTGGAAAAAATTTCATGCACCGTATCCTGAAATATGTTTTCCAAGTTGCTTGCTCTGTCTTCATCTCTTTCAAGAATGCAATATGTCATAGGTTTGGTCTCTTTACATAATCCCATATTTCTTGGAGGTTTCATTCATTTTTATTCTTTTTTTATTCTGACTGCATTGATTTGAAGAAGCAGCCTTTGAGCTCTGAGATTTTTTCCTCGGCTTGGTCTATTTTATTATTAGTGCTTCCAATTGCATTCTAAAATTTCTGTAGTGAGTTCTTTACTTCCTAAAATTGTTTGGTTCTTTCTTAAAATAGCTACATCATCTTTCAACTCTTGGACCATTTTACTGTGTTCCTTAGAATGGGTTTCAACCTTCTCCTCTATCTTGATGAGCTTCTTTGCCATCCAGATTCTGTACTGTATGTCTGTCATTTCAGTCTGGTTAAGAACCATTGCTGGAGAGCTAGTGTAGTCATTTGGAGGTAAGAAGACACTCGGTTTTTAGAGTTGCCAGAGTTCTAGCACTGGTTCTCTATCATCTGTGTGGCCTGATGTTTCTTTAATCTTCAAAGTTGCTGTGTTTTGGATGTGGCTTTTTATTTGTATATTCTTCCATACTCTTGAGGGTTTGAATGTGGTATAATTTGGTTTTAGTCTATTGGCTTCATTTCTAGATACTTTCATGGAGCCAAGGCTTAGCTCAGCACTTTTGGACTGCATACTCTTACCCTGAGGGACTGGGACCTGGCCTACAGCTTTTTTCTCTGCTTCCTTGAGGTTAAGCACCAGCTGCACTGGTGGGGCCAGGGTTTCCCAGTCCTGCAGCAACAACAGTCTGATGGAGTCTGTTGGCAAAAGAGCTCTGGCAGGACAGTGGTGAGCCCCCTTGCACATGTGCATCAGTAGGGTGGCAGGGGTCCTCACACATGTGCATGTCAGTGGGGCAGTGGTGGGTCTGAGCACATGTGTGTGACTGCAGGTCTGCCTGATGCATGCACCAGAAGGGACAGTGGTGGGTGTGCCCAAACCGTCTCTCTTCTATGAATGTATTTAATTATATTTTCTTAGAGTTGACAAGAACCTTATCTATTCCTACTCTCTAATCAGTGCTTAAATCCTCTCTATAATATTTGTAACAAGTAATTCATTTGCTGTTGCAAGATGTTCTAGACTACTTTCAGTAATTTTTAGTCATTCCATTTCTATTCTGTCTATTCCACCAGGCAGGGCATTCTGATTGAATGAAGCATATCTCCATGCATTTATAACAGTAAAAATATGCTTAACCAGGGATTTAAAAATTGAAAAGGCCCATTTATTTGGGTATAGGGAACAAAAAGAAAAGAAAATAGCAAAAATTACCCATCCCCCATTTTCTCATTTCTGAATCCAAGGAGAAATTCTCACAGCCTGAGAGTCCTTCTTCAGATAAAATATGACTGATTAAAGGTATAAAACCTCTTGTAGCAGGCCTTGGTTGATGCTGCAACAGTGTCTCACTCCCCCCACTGCCCAACCCAGTTTATATTACCTGACTTCTTATAAAGGAAATAATGAGCAAGTTAAGCTGAGTCTCATAGCATCATCTGAAATGAAATATGCTTTTAAATAGTCCTATTCCATGGCTGGTATTCAACGTTTCTTCTATTCATACTGCATGTCTGTTCATGAGAACAAGAGCCAGATCTTAGCTGATCTTTTTCTCTTACATCTGTTACATCAGAAGTGGAGCAATACTAAGTGGTATTAGTATTCCCAAGACCCAGTCAAAGGAGTAAGTGTCAAATTATTATAAGCTAATTTATTTTATCTGGCTAAACATAATATGTTTTTATTTTTCTATTCCTGCATCTAAAGCTTCCTGGATGTGTAATCTTGAAAAAGTTATTTAATTTCTCTATGCATTAATTTTCTCATCTGTTAAATGAGAATAGTAATAGTGCACACTTTATAGGGTTGTTATAAATTAAATGAGTTTATGATAAACACTTAATGCCTGGAACAAAGTAAAGCCTCATTATGTGCCATTATTATTCCCAAAATTGATAAATTTAATAATATTCTGCATAGAAATATTCTGTGATTTTCTCATTATCAACCTCCAAAGTTACATAATTATAAACTAAACTTTAAAAAAATCACCAAGCAATTAACAATGAATAATCTGAAAAAGGAAATTAAAGAAACAATTCCATTTACAATAGCATCAACAATAATAAAATACTTAAGGATAAACCTAACCAAGGAGGCACAAGACATGTGCACTGAAAAATACCAAACATGGCTGAAAGAAAATAATGAAAACACAAATAAATGGAAACACATCTTGTGTTCATAGACTGGAAGACTTAATATTGTTAAGAAGCCACTACTACTCAAAGCAATCTACAGATTCAATGCAATCCTTATAAAAATCCCAACAGTAGTTTTTGCAGAAATAGAAAAATTCTTCCTAAAATTCATGTGGAATCTCAAGGGACCCTGAATAGTCAAAGCCATTTTCGAGAAGAACAACAAATTTGGAAGCTTCACAGTTCCTGATTTCAAACCTTAATATAGGTTACAGTGATAAAAACACTGTAGTACTGGCATAAAGACAGAAAAATATACCAATGTAACACAATAGAAAGCCAAGAAATAAACTGTTACATATATGGTTAAACGATATTTGCCAGGGGTGCCAAGACCACTCAATGAGGAAAGGACAGTCTCCTCAACAAATGGCATTAGGGAAACTGAATAACCACATGAAGAAGAATAAAACTGGACCCTTATCTTACACCATATACAAAAATTAATTCAAAATGGATCAAAGACCTAACGACCCAAAATTATAAAATTCCTAAAAAAAACACTGGGGGAAAGTTTCATGACATTGAACTTGACAATGATTTCTTGGATATGTCACCAAAAGCATAGGAAATCAAAACAAAAATGGACAAATGGAAGTACATCATACTTAAAAACTTATGTATCAAAGGACATGATCCAAAGACTGAAAAGGCAACTTATAAAATGGGATAAAATATTTACAAATAAAATATCAGATAAAAGGTTAATATTCAGAATCCATAAAAAATTCCTGCAACTCAGCAACAAAATGTGAAATACAAATGGGCAACTGACTTGAATAAACATTTCTCCAAAGATGATAAACAAATGACTAATAAGCATATGGAAAGATGTTCAACACCACTAATCATCAGAGAGATTCAAATTAGAACCAAAATGAAATATCACCTCACCTATTAAAATATCTACTATCAAAAGAAAAGCAGAAAATAGCATGTATTGGTCAGGATGCAGAGAAATTGGAACCCCTGTGCACTGCTGGTAGGACTGTACACCAACAGTGGTACAAGCCTTACGGAAAACAGCATGAAAGTTCTGCCCAAAATCAAAAATAATGCACCACATAATTTAGTAATCTCACTTTTGGGTGTATATACAAAAAAAATCAAAAGCAGAGTCTCAAAGACATATTTGTATACCTATGTTCATAGCAGTTTTATTCACAATAGCCAAGAAGTAGAAGCAACCCTAATTTCCACTTATAGACAAATGGATAAACAAAATGTCTTTGAATTAGTGAAGGTTATCCAGAGAAATAGAATAAATAGCATATAGACAGATAGATAGATGATAGATAGATAGATAGATACATAGATAGATAGATAGATAGATGATAGATAGATAGATAGATAGATAGATAGATAGATAGATAAATAGATAGATATTTATTAGAAGGAATTCGCTCATGTGATTAGGAAGGCTGAGAAGTCCCATGATGCTTATACAGATGAGATAGGTAATATATATGAGTAAACTGGCTGAGTGGGAACTATTGAAACTGGTCAGTGCATATCTCCTCTAAATGGATGCAGAAATAGAGCTCCAATATCACCATAAAAGCTGAACATTCTTATCCTTATATGGAATTTCTTGACTTTTAAATATTGGCAACTCATTGGAATAAAATAAAAACACTGTATGATTTACGTTCTAAAGCTCCTACATTCATTTATTCAATCATGTAATGAGTATTTCTTGATCACCTACCAGGTGCAACTCTAGGAGCTAAGGATACAGCAGTGAACAAGGAAGACTCTGTCCCTGTCTTCATAGCCCTTAAATTCTAAATATCAGAGACAAAGTCTTGGTATAGAACCTAACGAAATGCTGAGCAATACTGGGTGCCCAATCAGTACTCGAGCTTAATTAACTCAACAGCCTGAACTTTCTTACTCAATTATTACTCCCATAAAACATTTTTTGTTTGCTCAATTTATACCCCAGAAACATGGCAATGTACTCCTAAGTGCTTCCACTATAGCTTTTTCAATACACAGCAGTGAGAGTTACCTTTAAAAACATAAAGCAGATGACATCACTCCTCTGCTCAAAACCCTGTTATGGCTATCATCACACGTACAGTAAAACTTGGAAATCTTTATATTTGCTTACAAGGCCTTTCACGATCAGATCTCCTGACTCTTCTCTGACCTCATCTCCTACTACTATCACACATGCAGTGGCATTTTTTACTATTCTTCAAAAACTCTAAGAACACTCCTGCCTAGGACTTTTTTGCTTGCTGTTCTTTCTTCCTATAATTTTTTCACCCAGATTCTTGGCATGGCTTGTCCTTCTTGTCATTCATTTGTATGCTCAAATATCACCTTTTTTCCTCTTTAACAGCCTTGTTGAGTTATATGTACTATAAAGTTCACTAGCTTTAATAGTATAATTTAATAAGTTTTAGTAAATTTGAAGTTGTACAACTCTCATCACAATCCAATTTTATAACATTTCCATTACTTTAAAAAGATCCCTCATGCACATTTGCAGTCCTCCCTATTCTTACACACAGTACTAGTCAAACATTAATCTACCTTCTGTTCCTGTTCTGAACATTTCATATACATAGAATCATACAACATGTGGTTTCTTACATCTAGCTTCTTTCACTTAGCATAATGTTTTAAGGTTCATCCTGCCCACTGTTGAATATTATTCCATTGTACGGATATACTATATTTTGTTTAACCATCTGTCAGGTGATGAGCATTGAGATTTTTTCTGCTTCTTGGCTATTATGATTAATCCTGCTGTGAACATTCACATGTAAATATTTTTGTGGATATATATTTTCATTTCTCTTTAGTAGATATCAATATGTGGAATTGCTAGGGCACATGATAAATCAGTTTCGTCTTTTGGAGGAATTGTCAAACTCTTTTCCAAAGTGACTGGACTACTTTACGTTTCCACAAATAATGTTTGAAGGTACTGATTTCTCCACATTCACAACACTTATTTTTCATTTTTTTCTATTATGGCTATCCTGGTGAGTATAAAGTGGCTTCTCATTGTGGTTTTGTTTGCATTTTCCTAATGACTAAGGATGTGAGGCTTTCTCTCATATGGTCATTTGAATATCTTCTTTGGAGAAATGTTTATTCAAATCCTTTGTCTATTTTTTTGTGAAGTATATCATTTTAATATACAGGATCAGGAATTATAATGACATGGGATTTCTCACAGAGACCCAGCTTCTGTTGATCCTTTCCTTGTAGTAAGATGGTTTAAAGAAACAAACAAAACAAGTAAGATGTAGCTATTTTAATCTCTGGTTGGAGAAAAATATGTGCATTGCAGCACTATTCACAATAACAAAGGTGTGGAAACAACCCAAATTCCCATCAATGATAGACTGGATAATTTAATTGGGTTATCTGTCTTCTAATCACTGAGTTATAAGAGTCCTTTATATATTCTGGATCTCAGACTCCTTACAAACAGTATGATTTGCAAATACGTTTTCCTATTCTATGGGTTATTTCACTTACTTGAGTTTCTTCTGGAACACTAAAGTTTTTAATTTAGAAAAAAAATATATATGCATATATATATACATATATATATAATTTGATTGTTTGTTTGTACTTTTGGTGTTCTATCTAAAAAGGCATTGTCTAACCCAAATAACAACATTTACATTTATGTTTTCTTTTAAGAATTTTATAGTTTTTGCTCTTTACATAATTATATGTATGGTATGAAGTAAGGGTCCAATTTTTACATGTGGGTATCACGTTATCTCAGCACCATTTGCTGAAAAGATGATTCTTTATCCCATTAAATTGTTTTGGCACCTTTAATGAAAATCAATTGGCCATAGACACATGGGATTATTTCTGGGCTCAATTCTATTCCACTTATCTATATGTCTATCCTTATGCAAGTACCACACTATCTATTAATATAGCTTGATAGTGAGTTTTGAAATTGGGAAACATGATTCCCCTAAATTCTTTACAAGTTTGTTTTGGATATTCTGGGCCCTTTGTATTCAAATATTTATTTTAGGGTCACCTTATCAATTTCTGCAAAAAAAAAAAATCCACCTGGGATTTTGAGGGATTGTGTTGAAGCTGTAGATCAGTTGGAGGAGAAATGCCATCTTAAAATTGGGTATTCTCATCCATGAACACAATAATCTCTTCTTAGAAGGTTCCTCTGACTACTTTATTTACAATAGCTCAATGGGGCATCCTCACTTCCTGTCATTTTGTATCCCTGTACCCGGCTTTAATTTGCCTTGCAGCACTTACCACTACCTAACATTATTTGTTTCTCTGAATACTTTGCTATATACTCCTCGAGAATGTGAGCTCCAAGATGTCAGGCAGGAACCTCATCTTGTTCACTACTGTACCTGTAGTGTGATGTTTGATACACACTCGAACAACTACCTTATCTATGGAATGAATACCTAAGCCCTTAAAGTCAAGAGTACTAGAAAATGTAATCTTTGATGATGATTAGGGCACTGAACTCAGACTCACGTGGGTTTGAAATCTGACTTCACCACTTAGTTGTTATGTGAGTTTGAGCAAATCACAATCTCTATGCACCTCAGTTTTCTCATACAAAATATGGGGATATTAATAATGTCCACGTCATAAGTTCAACTGAGATAATGGCATTAATGCATTTATCACAGGGCCTGGCCCACAATAAATAATCTTTAGGTATTTGTGATGTGTTATAGAGGACATAAGTAAATATTAGCAGTCATAGTACCAGTGTCATCTTTAATCCCTGTGGGAGGCTGAATGAGGACCTCCCCCAAAGAAGCCCACATTCTAATCCCTGGAATCTATGAATATGCTACCTTACATGTCCAAAGGAATTTTACAGATGTGATTAAGAAAGGTGAAATTGCCAAATTATCCTAGATTACCCAAGTGGGTCCACTGTAATCACAAGAGTCCTTGTAAGAGGAAGGCAAGAGTCAGAGAAGATGTGACAACAGAGAGGTGGAAGTGATGCAGCCTTGTGCCAAGGAACATGAGTAGCCTCTGGAAGCTAGAAGAGGCAAGGAAACAAATTATTCCCTAGAGCCATCAGAAAGAATGCAGTATCCAACACTTTGATTTTAGGCGTTCTGACCTTCAGAACTATTAGATAATAAATGTGTTGTTTTAATCCACTAAGTTTGTGGTAACTTGTTACGGCAACAATAGGAAATTAATATAGTCCTTTTTAATGTTTTCTAAATAAATGAATAAGTGATTGGAGTCTGTTATTAAAAAGTATTTCTCTCTTCAACGTTTGCTGTAGGCTCTGTTCGTAGGCAACATATGGTCTCCAGTCACCTCCTCACTTTGCTGTAAAAATTGTCCATTACACATCTTAATCGTCAATTATTCCCGTTTGAGAAATGAATAAAGGCAGTAAAAATTGCAACAATGACAAAAAAGTATTTTTCCCTCCAAGAAATAGCTTACCAAATTATAGCAGGGAATGTCCTTGATATAAATGGATGGACTAACTGTTATCTTACTCAGCCAGGGTATAAACAAGAACTAAATAACCACTTGAGGCTCCCTCAGAAACACAACTCTGAAGCCGTGATTTTCAGCTGCAGCTGTGCATCTCAGTCACCTGGGGCAATTAAGAACAATCCCAGTGTCCAAAGTGTAACCTACACCAATTACATCAGAATGTCTAAGGATTGGGACCCAGTTATCACTATTTTTAATCCATCCCCCTCCAAGTTGTTTCCAAAGAGCAGCCAAGATTGAGAAAACCACTGTTCCTATATATATATATATTTACCAGATCTTTTAAGGTCCGTAAGCAGTCCTCACCCCCTCCAAAGCCGTAAGATATGTCCACATAATTAGCCACCAAGACTTGGAACTTCTTGAAGCCTCCTTCACTAGCCAAGAAACAAAAAATAATTCTCCCAGTCAGAATTTATCTCTCTTGCTCTCCTCATTCTTTCTCTCTCCTGGAGCTTTGCGTATCCCCATAGACCTATCACAATCTCTTTCTTTTTCTTTCTTTCTTTCTTTTTTTTTTTTTTTGAGACGGAGTTTTGCTTTTATGTTGCCCAGGCTGGAGTGCAATGGCATGGTCTCAGCTCACTGCAACCTCCACCTCCCGGGTTGAAGCGATTCTCCTGCCTCAGCCTCCCAAGTAGCTGGGATGACAGGCGCCCCCCACCACACCTGGCAAATTTTTGTATTTTTAGTAGAGACGGGGTTTCACCATGTTGGCCAGGCTGGTCTCAAACTCCTGACCTTAGGTGATCCACCCACCTCACCCTTCCAAACTGCTGGGATTACAGGCATGAGCTACCGTGCCCAGAGCCCACAATCTCTTACATACAACAAGCCTTCAATACATATTTACTGAATTGACCCAGCAGTACTTATTGCCATTTTGGTCTCTATGACTTTCTGTGAGTGTTACAGGAAAAGACTTTCTGGAAACTCTATGAACTCCCAACTCACTTCTATGGCAGATAATCTTGAACTATCACTGCAGGACAAATGATAGACCTCTGGAAAGAAGGAAAGTAAAGGCCAATGGCAGTGTCATAACATGACACCAACTGATGGTACTTATTGGTAAGTATATTTTAAATATAAACTAGTGCAATTTAATTCAGCTCAGTAAGTATTAAGTGCCTACCTTATGCAAGATTTTCTGTTAGTCTTTGTGGGAGACACATACACAATATCTCTACCCTCAAGTTACTTTCAGTCTAGCAGGAAGAGATTAGGCAAGTATATTTATAATTGTAAGAAACAGAAAAACAGGAAAAGTGCCATAAGAGAGGTTCAAAGTATCACCAGGGCATGAAGAAAAGTTTGGAGATAATCCTTACAGAATTAGTAGGATTTTTCCAGGGGCTTGCCTAGACAGGGTGATACTGGTGGAGGATTAATAACTATCACTTAGTGTTACTGTGCAAAGAGCGTTCATGCATAAGCTCATTTAATCCTCATAACAGCCCCCAATGATTTAAGTTCATTATCATCACCTTTCCTTTAGAGAGGAGGAGACTGAGATTCTGAAATGTTGAGCAACTTGCTTAAGGTTATGCACAGAAAATGAGTGGTAGAAGTAATACTTGAATCCGGGTCTGTTTTACTCTAGAGGCTTTGCTTTTAACTACTACATAATGCTGCTTTCCCTGATACTCTAACTGAGCCTCTAACTACTCATACTGCTGTTGGCCACTCTGAAATCTCCCGCTCTCTGCAGGACTAACTCATGACAACCAGCTCTTCTTCTTGGTGAAACATTACACCTCTCTATTAGATGTGCCACATGTTCATCTGTTCAAACTCTCAGCTGAGGATATCCTCATGCAGGTGGCCAGACTTTGGAAGGCAGTGTTCCTCTGGAACACTGCAGAAGGACATAATGACTATTCATAAAGAGCCAAAATACTTCAGTTCCAAAATTAAGGTAGATATGTAAGCTACATTACTTAGGTAGAGAAACTAATGGTTTTAAATCATGCTTTAATACTCCAGTTTGGAGACAGTTGTCATTTTATAATAATAATTGGCATATTATACTACTACTCAAACTTTAATACAGCATTTTTCAAACATTGATTGCTTACTTCCTGGTAATAAAGTTAACTTTTCCCATATTCACCTTAAACATATGGGTCCCAGAGCATTTGTCCCGGGAGAGTCCTGCAGGCATCAAAAGCTAAAGCTTCTTGTTTTCTTTTCTTTTCTTTTCTTTTTTTTTTTGAAACGGAGTCTCGCTCTGTCGCCAGACTGGAGTGCAGTGGCGCAATCTTGGCTCACTGCAACCCCTGCCTCCCGGGTTTAAGCGATTCTCCTGCCTTAGCCTCCCGAGTAGCTGGGACTACAGGCGCCCACCACCATGCCCAGCTAATTTTTGTATTTTTAGTAGAGACAGGGTTTCACCATGTTGGCCAGGATGTTCGTGATTTCTTGACCTTGTGATCCACCCCCTCGGCCTCCCAAAGTGCTGGGATTACAGGCGTGAGCCACCATGCCCGGTGCTTCTTGTTTTCTTGTCTGTGAGCTAAACCAAATAAACCAAATAAGTGCTCCAGAAACCTACCCCTTCCCAATTATTATCAACAGAGGATCCTCTACGAAAGTTGTATAACTTGACTAATTCTTTTAAAAGCATCACACACACACACACACACACACACACACACACACACACACACAGCATATGAAAACTGCCCACCAACTTGAGGCAAAACACATAGGTTTACCAAGGTCAAAAACAGTAAAGCCCTAGAGAAGTCTGCATTTGTAACAACTGTCCATGGGGCCTGGGAAAATGAGAAGTGGATTCATCAATAAAATATACTAACAAAGATTGGTTAATTTGAGTCGTAAACCATAATGTTTGCTTAAGCCTAATTTCAATGTCTTGATGTATTTGCCTTGCCCTGTAAAGCAAGAGTTACTCTAGCCTGACTAAAAGACATTCATCTAAGACTAGTATCATAGAAGATAATTTATTTGAGAGTTCAAACGCTGGACACATGAAAAAAGGGAACTGTCTAAAAGGACTTTTCCATTGATGATCTATTTAAAAATGCCATTGCCACAACTGAATAATTATTGCTAGAATAACAGATAATGCCTGTGGAGTGCTTACTAAGTACTAGTATTTTACATGTAAGAACTCATTTTATAGATGTGGAAACTGACACATTGGGAAGTTTAGTAAGTCACATGACAGTGGAAGAGTAAGAGCTAGGACTCAACCTCATAACTGTGTAGTTTCAAAGTCTGATCTTATAACCACTACACTAAATTGTCTCCCACTATATTGCAAGAGTGGTGATGGTATGATCTAACGGGCTCCAAAAACCTGTTGGTGATGTCTTGGTGGCCTTAAATGCTATGGGGTAGAACAGATTATAAAGAAATATTAAACAATAATCTGTAGACATGACTGCATCATCTATGGTGACTTTCACAAGTTGAAAAGATCCTCAGTTGCTATATGCTATATATGGTATGATATGTAACAACTGTTTTAAAGTATCTTTCTGCAATTGTAAGAACTTCTTAATTGGGAATAAATCAGGTCTGAGACATTCCAGGTAAAATGATCTTCTACAACAGGAGTGGGCAAACTATAAACTTGGCCAATTCCAGCTCTGTAGCTAGTTTCAGAAATAAAGTACTATTGGAACACAGCTGTACCTATTTGTCTATGTATGACATACAACTCTTCACTTTAAAAGGGTAGAGTTGCATTGTTGCAATAGAGACCATATGGCCTGCAAAGCCTAAAGTTTTATTGGTCATTTACAGAAAAACTTTGCTGACTTGTCTTCTACATTAACAACTTCTAGTGTGAGTGTAAAGAGTCGAGAATGTTAATCAGCTAATTACTGGTATTCCTTAAAAAGAAAATGAACTAGTTAAAAAATAAACCTGTTTGCAAGCACACTATCTTATTTGCTGGCATATGAGCTATACTTCCCAACTTCCAGCACCAAAAATGTATGCAAATATTTTCAACATCTAATACACCCATATACTGAGTAAAATACATAAAATAATGGACTGAGTTATTGGCACAAATAATTTCTCTGCATCTAATTGTACCTCTAGCAAAAATGTACACTGTATTTTCATGAGAAAAAGTTATGTTTCTAGAAACTATTTAAATACACTTAATGCTTTTTTAAAAGAGGAAATGTTTTTTAAAATATTGGGGCATGACTTATACACACATAAGAATCTTCTACATTATAATATAAAGCATTTATTTTGCAAGGCTTCTTAGAGCTCAACAGAAAGTCATGAGGGGTTAGACTTAGGCACAAAACTCAAAGAAAAAGATTGATTTGATTCTGCTCTGATCCCCAACACTCAAGGAGTCTATTGCATTTTTTTTATTACTATACTTTAAGTTTTAGGGTACATGTGCACAATGTGCAGGTTAGTTACATATGTATGCATGTGCCATGCTGGTGTGCTGCACCCATTAACTCGTCATTTAGCATTAGGTGTATCTCCTAATGCTATCCCTCCCCCCTCCCTCCACCCCACAACAGTCCCCAGAGTGTGATGTTCCCCTTCCTGTGTCCATGTGTTCTCATTGTTCAATTCCCACCTATGAGTGAGAATATGCGGTGTTTGGTTTTTTCTTCTTGAGATAGTTTACTGAGAATGATGATTTCCAATTTCATCCATGTCCCTACAAAGGACATGAACTCATCATTTTTTATGGCCGAATAGTATTCCATGGTGTATATGTGCCACATTTTCTTAATCCAGTCTATCATTGTTGGACATTTGGCTTGGTTCCAAGTCTTTACTATTGTGAATAGTGCTGCAAAAAACATACGTGTGCATGTGTCTTTATAGCAGCATGATTTATAGTCCTTTGGGTATATACTCAGTAATGGGATGGCTGGGTCAAATGGTATTTCTAGTTCTAGATCCCTGAGGAATCGCCACACTGACTTCCACAATAGTTGAACTAGTTTACAGTCCCACCAACAGTGTAAAAGTCTTCCTATTTTTCCACATCCTCTCCAGCACCTGCTGTTTCCTGACTTTTTAACGATCGCCATTCTAACTGGTGTGAGATGGTATCTCATTGTGGTTTTGATTTGCATTTCTCTGATGGCCAGTGATGGTCAGCATTTTCTCATGTGTTTTTTGGCTGCATAAATGTCTTCTTTTCAGAAGTGTCTGTTCATGTCCTTTGCCCACTTTTTGATGGGGTTGTTTGTTTTTTTCTTGTAAATTTGTTTGAGTTGATTGTAGATTCTGGATATTAGCGCTTTGTCAGATGAGTAGGTTGCGAAAATTTTCTCCCATTTTGTAGGTTGCCTGTTCACTCTCATGGTAGTTTCTTTTGCTGTGCAGAAGCTCTTGAGTTTAATCAGATCCCATTCGTCAATTTTGGCTTTTGTTACCATTGCTTTTGGTGTTTCAAACATGAAGTCCTTGCCCATGCCTATGTCCTGAATGGTAATGCCTAGGTTTTCTTCTAGGGTTTTTATGGTTTGAGGTCTAACGTTTAAGTCGACAATCCATCTTGAATTAATTTTTGTATAAGGTGTAAGGAAGGGACCCAGTTTCAGCTTTCCACATATGGCTAGCCAGTTTTCCCAGCACCATTTATTAAATAGGGAATCCTTTCCCCATTTCTTGTTTTTCTCAGGTTTGTCAAAGATCAGATAGTTGTAGATATGTGGTGTTATTTCTGAGGGCTCTGTTCTATTCCATTGATCTACATCTCTGTTTTGGTACCAGTACCATGCTGTTTTGGTTACTGTAGCATTGTAGTATAGTTTGAAGTCAGGTAGCATGATGCTTCCAGCTTTCTTCTTTTGGCTTAGGATTGACTTGGCGATGTGGGCTCTTTTTTGGTTCCATATGAATTTTAAAGTAGTTTTTTCCAATTCTGTAAAGAAAGTAATTGGTAGCTTGATGGGGGTGGCATTGAATCTATAAATTACCTTGGGCAGTATGGCCATTTTCATGATATTGATTCTTCCTATGCAAGAGCGTGGAATGTTCTTCCATTTGTTTGTATCCTCTTTTATCTCATTGAGCAGCAGTTTGTAGTTCTCCTTGAAGAGGTCCTTCACATCCCTTGCAAGTTGGATTCCTAGGTATTTTATTCTCTTTGAAGCAATTGTGAATGGGAGTTCACTCATGATTTGGCTCTCTGTCTGTTACTGGTGTATAAGAATGCTTGTGATTTTTGTACATTGATTTTTTATCCTGAGACTTTGCTGAAGTTGTTTATCAGCTTAAGGAGATTTTGGGCTGAGACAATGGGGTTTTCTAGATATACAATCATGTCATCTACAAACAGGGACAATTTGACTTCCTCTTTTCCTAATTGAATACCTTTTATTTCCTTCTCCTGCCTAATTGTCCTGGCCAGAACTTCCAACACTATGTTGAATAGGAGTGGTGAGAGAGAGCATCCCTGTCTTGTGCCAGTTTTCAAAGGGAATGCTTCCAGTTTTTGCCCATTCAGTATGATATTGGCTGTGGGTTTGTCATAGATACCTCTTATTATTTTGAGATACGACCTACAAAGAGACTTAGACTACCACACAACAATAATGGGAGACTTTAACACCCCACTGTCAACATTAGACAGATCAATGAGACAGAACGTTAACAAGGATACCCAGAAATTGAACTCAGCTCTGCACCAAGTGGACCTAATAGGCATCTACAGAACTCTCCACCCCAAATCAACAGAATATACATTTTTTTCAGCACCACACCACACCTATTCCAAAATTGACCGCATAGTTGGAAGTAAAGCTCTCCTCACCAAATGTAAAAGAACAGAAATTTTAACAAACTGTCTCTCAGACCACAGTGCAATCAAACCAGAACTCAGGATTAAGAAACTCACTCAAAACCACTCAACTACATGGAAACTGAACAACTTGCTCCTGAATGACTACTGGGTACATAACGAAATGAAGGCAGAGATAAAGATGTTCTTTGAAACCAACGAGAACAAAGACACAACATAACAGGATCTCTGGGACACATACAAAGCAGTGTGTAGAGGGAAATTTATAGCACTAAATGCCCACAAGAGAAAGCAGGAAAGATCCAAAATTGACACCCTAACATCACAATTAAAAGAACTAGAAAAGCAAGAGCAAACACATTCAAAAGCTAGCAGAAGGCAAGAAATAACTAAGATCACAGCAGAACTGAAGGAAATAGAGACACAAAAAACCCTTCAAAAAATTAATGAATACAGGAGCTGGTTTTTGGAAAGGATCAACAAAATTGATAGACCACTAGCAAGACTAAGAAAGAAGAAAAGAGAGAAGAATCAAATAGACGCAATAAAAAATGATAAAGGGGATATCACCACCGAACCCACAGAAACACAAACTACCATCAGGGAATATATAAACACCTCTACGCAAATAAACTAGAAAATCTAGAAGAAATGGATAAATTCCTCGACACATACACCCTGCCAAGACTAAACCAGGAAGAAGTTGAATCTCTCAATAGACCAATAACAGGCTCTGAAATTGTGGCAATAATCAATAGCTTACCAACCAAAAAGAGTCCAGGACCAGATGGATTCACAGCCGAATTCTACCAGAGGTACAAGGAGGAGCTGGTACCATTCCTTCTGAAACTATTCCAATCAATAGAAAAAGAGGGAATCCTCCCTAACTCATTTTATGAGGCCAGCATCATCCTGATACCAAAGCCTGACAGAGACACAACCAAAAAAGAGAATTTTAGACCAATATCCTTGATGAACATTGATGCAAAAATCCTCAATAAAATACTGGCAAACCGAATCCAGCAGCACATCAAAAAGCTTATCCACCATGATCAAGTGGGCTTCATCCCTGGGATGCAAGGCTGGTTCAATATACGCAAATCAATAAATGTAATCCAGCATATAAACAGAATCAAAGACAAAAACCACATGATTATCTCAATAGATGCAGAAAAGGCCTTTAACAAAATTCAACACTTCATGCTAAAAACTCTCAAGGAGTCTATTCCTATGGAAGGAACATTTCTATCAAAAAGAATAAAACAAAAACAGTGAATTTGTCATTGAACAAACAATTCTTAGAGTTCAATGCATAATTTTATCTGCAAACATCAGGGTTCACTCCCCTTGAAACCTCTACCCCATCCAGCAAACAGACTCCATGTGTGCAGGGTAGATTCGGAATGAGGTTCCAGAGATCACCTGAGTTCTCAAGGGAAAGCAGACAGCTGCAAACACAATGTTCCAAAGAAGTTGTTTTTAATTACAGCCATTTAGAATGCAGCTGAAAGGTGAAAGCAGATGAAAACCAGAGCAGTAAGCCATTGGCTTTCCTCCATAGCCTTACACTGAACAACATTTGCGTCCCACTTAAGTTTTCACCTCCTAGAGTTTCTTCCTTCCCCAAAGCCCATGCCTTCTTCACTACCTTACCAAGAGCTATCAGGAAGTCTCTGTGGCTAATTATTTTACCAAGGATAAGAAGCGAAATCTGAAGTTAAAATTCAGCTGCTAGTCATCAGAAACCTAGTCACCAACTTTCCTCTCACCTCCCGCCATGAATAGACTCATCAAACCAGTGAAGGCTTCTCATCTACCAGACTTTTAAATGTTGGGATGTCCTAGACTCAGTCTTCAAATCTCTTTTCTTCTCCCTGTACACCCTTTCTTTGGGTAATCTAATCTAGTACCGTGTTGTTAAATACCATCTCTATCCTAATGATTCCCAAATTTTTATTTCGAGCTATGCTGCTCTAGTGCTTCTACTTGGATATCTAATAAGCATTTCAAATTCAATATGACCAGCACTAAACTGTTAATTTTAGTTCCAAAATTCACTCCCCTTCTTCCTCATCTCAGTAAATAGCACCACCAACTGCTCTGTCACTCATGCCAAAAATTAAAAATAATCCTTTGTTCTTTTCATTCCCTCGCCGCTGTATTCACTCCATTAAGTCTGGTCAACTCTACTTCCAAAATGGATTCTGACACTGTCTACATTTCTGTCTCCACTGCTACCATCTAAGCTGAAGAATCATCTCTTTCTTGGGCCACAGTCTCCGGACAGGTCACAGGCATCCACAGAACATGCTGATATGCTTAAAATGTTTCAATGTCTCAGTGCTTTAAAGAACTCTCTTAACAATTCTCCATTACTTGATGACTATGCACCAGCCACATTGAACTTCTAGCTATTCCTCCAACAGTCTGAACTTGCCTTCAATTCAGGGCCTTTGCACTTGTTGGCTTCTCTGTCGGACATGCTCTTCTTCCATGTTTCACATGTCTAACTCTTTTCCATTATCCTAGGAACCAGCCTAAAGATGGCCTAATATAAAAACTTCCCTATGCAACCCAATCGAAACGATCTTCATTACATATACGTTCTAGTCGCTCACCCTTCATTATCCTGATTTATTTTCATTGTAATAGTGACCATAAGCTGCAATTATCTTGCCTATGCATTTGTTGACTAGATTCTTTTTTTATTAATTTTATTATTATTATACTTTAAGTTTTAGGGTACAAGTGCATGACGTACAGATTTGTTATATATGTACACATGTGCAATGTTGGTGTGCTGCACCCATTAACTCAACCTTTAACATTAGGTATATCTCCTAATGCTATTCCACCCCACCACCCCCCACCCCACAACAGTCCCTGGTGTGTGATGTTCCCCTTCTTGTGTCCATGCGTACTCATTGATCAATTCCCACCTATGAGTAAGAAAATGCGGTGTTTGGTTTTTTGTCCTTGCGATAGTTTGCTGAGAATGATGGTTTCCAGCTTCATCCATGTCCCTACAAAGGACATGAACTCATCATTCTTTATGGCTGCATAGTATTCCATGGTGTATATGTGCCACATTTTCTTAATCCAGTCTATCATTGTTGGACATTTGGCTTGGTTCCAAGTCTTTGCCATTGTGAATAGTGCCACAATCAACATACGTGTGCATGTGTCTTTAAGGCAGCATGACTTATAGTCCTTTGGGTATATACTCAGTAATGGGATGGCTGGGTCAAATGGTATTTCTAGTTCTAGATCCCTGAAGAATCGCCACACTGACTTCCATAATGGTTGAACTAGTTTACAATCCCACCAACAGTGTAAAAGTGTTCCTATTTCTCCACATCCTCTCCAGCACCTGTTGTTTTCTGACTTTTTAATGATCGTCATTCTAACTGGTGTGAGATGGTATTTCATTGTGGTTTCGTTTTGCATTCATCTGATGGCCAGTGATGATGAGCATTTTTTCATGTGTCTTTCGGCTGCATAAATGTCTTCTTTTGAGAAGTGTCTGTTCATATCCTTTGCCCACTTTTTGCTGGGGTTGTTTTTTTCTTGTAAATTTGTTTGAGTTCATTATAGATTCTGGATATTAGCCCTTTGTCAGATGAGTAGGTTGTGAAAGTTTTCTCCCATTCTGTAGGTTGCCTGTTCACTCTGATGGTGGTTTCTTTTGCTCTGCAGAAGCTCTTTAGTTGAATTAGATCCCATTTGTCAGTTTTGGCTTTTGTTGCCATTGCTTTTGGTGTTTTAGACATGAAGTCCTTGCCCATGCCTATGACCTGAATGGTAATGCCTAGGTTTTCTTCTAGGGTTTTTATGGTTTTAGGTCTAACATTTAAGTCTTTCATCCAACTTGAATTAATTTTTGTATAAGGTGTAAGGAAGGGATCCAGTTGCAGCTTTCTTCACATGGCTAGCCAGTTTTCCTAGCACCATTTATTAAATAGGGAATCCTTTCCCCATTACTTGTTTTTGTCAGGTTTGTCAAAGATAAGATAGTTGTAGATATGCAGCATTATTTCTGAGGGCTCTGTTCTGTTACATTGGTTTATATCTCTGTTTTGGTACCAATACCATGCTGTTTTGGTTACTGTAGCCTTGTAGTATAGTTTGAAGTCAGGTCATGCCTCCAGCTTTGTTCTTTTGGCTTAGGATTGACTTGGCAATGTGGGCTCTTTTTTGGTTCCATATGAACTTTAAAGTAGTTTTTTCCAACTCTGTGAAGAAAGTCATTGGTAGATTGATGGGGATGGCATTGAATCTATAAATTACCTTGGGCAGTATGGCCATTTTCACGATATTGATTCTTCCTACCCATGAGCATGGAATGTTCTTCCGTTTGTTTGTATCCTCTTTTATTTCATTGAGCAGTGGTTTGTAGTTCTCCTTGAAGAGGTCCTTCACATCCCTTGCAAGTTGGATTCCTAGGTATTTTATTCTCTTTGAAGCAATTGTGAATGGGAGTTCACTCATGATTTGGCTCTCTGTCTGTTACTGGTGTATAAGAATGCTTGTGATTTTTGCACATTGATTTTGTATCCTGAGACTTTTCTGAGGTTGCTTATCAGCTTAAGGAGATTTTGGGCTGAGACAATGGGGTTTTCTAGATATATAATCATGTCATCTGCAAACAGGGACAATTTGACTTCCTCTTTTCCTAATTGAATGTCCTTTATTTCTTTCTCCTGACTGATTGTCCTGGCCAGAAATTTCAACACTATGTTGAATAGGAGTGGTAAAAGAGGGCATCCCTGTTTTGTGCCAGTGTTCAAAGGGAATGCTTCCAGTTTTTGTCCATTCAATATGATACTGGCTGTGGGTTTGTCATAGATAGCTCTTATTATTTTGAGATACGTCCCATCAATAACTAATTTATTGAGAGTTTTTAGCATGAAGGGTTGTTGAATTTTATCAAAGGCCTTTTCTGCATCTATGGAGATAATCATGTGGTTTTTGTCTTTGGTTCTGTTTATATGCTGGATTACGTTTATTCATTTTCCTATGTTAAACCAGGCTTGCATCCCAGGAATGAAGTCCACGTGATCATGGTGGATTAGCTTTTTGATGAGTTGCTGGATTCCGTTTGCCAGGATTTTATTGAGGATTTTTGCATCAATGTTCATCAAGGATATTGGTCTAAAAATCTGTTTTTTTTGTTGTGTCTCTGCCAGGCTTTGGTATCAGGATGATGCCGTCCTCATCAAATGAGTTAGGGAGGATTCCCTCTTTTTCTATTGATTGGAATAGTTTTAGAAGGAATGTTACTAGCTCCTCCTTGTACCTCTGGTAGAATTCGGCTGTGAATCCATCTGGTCCTGGACTCTTTTTGATTGGTAAGCTATTAATTATTGCCTCAATTTCAGAGCCTGTTATTGGTCTATTCAGAGATTCAACTTCTTCCTGGTTTAGTCTTGGGAGAGTGTATGTGTCGAGGAATTTATCCATTTCTTCCAGATTTTCTAGTTTATTTGCGTGGAGGTGTTTATAGTATTCTCTGATGGTAGCTTGTATTTCTGTGGGCTCAGTGGTGATATCCCCTTTATCATTTTTTATTGTGTCTATTTGGTTCTTCTCTCTTTTCTTCTTTATTACTCTTGCTAGTGGTCTATCCATTTTGTTGATCTTTCCAAAAAACCACCTCCTGGATTCATTGATTTTTGAAGGGTTTTTTGTGTCTCTATTTCCTTCAGTTCTGCTGTGATCTTAGTTATTTCTTGCCTTCTGCTAGATTTTGAACGTGTTTGCTCTTGCTTTTCTAGTTCTTTTAATTGTGATGTTAGGGTGTCAATTTTAGATCTTTCCTGTTTTCTCTTATGGGCATTTAGTGCTATAAATTTCCCTCTACATACTGCTTTGAATGTGTCCCAGAGATTCTGGTTATGTTGTGTCTTTGCTCTCGTTGGTTTCAAAGAACATCTTTATTTCTGCCTTCATTTCGTTATGTACCCAGTAGTTATTCAGGAGCAGGTTGTTCAGTTTCCATGTACTTGAGAGGTTTTGAGTGAGTTTCTTAATCCTGAGTTCTAGTTTGATTGCACTGTGGTCTGAGAGACAGTTTGTTATAATTTCTGTTCTTTTACATTTGCTGAGGAGAGCTTTACTTCCAACCATGTGGTCAATTTTGGAATAGGCTTGGTATGGTGTTGAAAAGAATGTATATTCTGCTGATTTGGGGTGTAGAGTTCTGTAGATGTCTATTAGGTCCACTTGGTGCAGAGCTGAGTTCATTTCCTAGACATCCCTGTTCACTTTCTGTCTCATTGATCTTTCTAATGTTGACAGTGGGGTGTTAAAGTGACACACTATTATTGTGTGGGAATCTAAGTCTCTTTGTAGGTCACTAAGAACTTGCTTTATGAATCTGGGTGCTCCTGTATTGGGTGCATATATATTTCGGATAGTTAGGTCTTCTTCTTGAATTGATCCCTTTACCATTATGTAATGGTCTTCTTTGTCTCTTTTGATCTTTGTTGGTTTAAAGTCTGTTTTATCCGAGACTAGGATTGCAACCCCTGTCTTTTTTTGTTTTCCATTTGCTTGGTAGATCTTCCTCCATCCCTTTATTTTGAGCCTATGTGTGTCTCTGCACGTGAGATGGGTTTCCTGAATACAGCACACTGATGGGTCTTGACTCTTTATCCAATTTGCCAGTCTGTGTCTTTTAATTGGAGCATTTAGCCCATTTACATTTAAGGTTAATATTGTTATACGTGATTTTGATCCTGTCATTATGATGTTAGCTGGTTATTTTACTTGTTAGTTGATGCCGTTTCTTCCTAGCCTTGATGGTCTTTACAATTTGGCATGTTTTTGCAGTGGCTGGTACTGGTTTTTCCTTTCCATGTTTAGTGCTTCCTTCAGGAGCTCTTTTAGGGCAGGCCTGGTGGTAACAAAATCTCTCAGCATTTGCTTGTCTGTAAAGTATTTTATTTCTCCTTCACTTATGAAGCTTAGTTTGGTTGGATATGAAATTCTGGGTTGAAAATTCTTTTCTTTAAGAATGTTGAATATTGGCACCCCATCTCTTCTGGCTTGTAGAGCTTCTGCCGAGAGATCACCTGTTAGTCTGATGGGCTTCACTTTGTGGGTAACCCGACCTTTCTCTCTGGCTGCCCTTAACATTTTTTCCTTCATTTCAACTTTGGTGAATCTGACAATTATGTGTCTTGGAGTTGCTCTTCTCGAGGAGTATCTTTGTGGCATTCTCTGTATTTCCTGAATTTGAATGTTGGCCTGCCTTGCTAGATTGGGGAAGTTCTCCTCAATAATAGCCTGCACAGTGTTTTGTGACTTGGTTCCATTCTCCCCATCACTTTCAGGTACACCAGTCAGATGTAGATTTGGTCTTTTCCCATAGTCCCATATTTGTTGGAGGCTTTGCTCATTTCTTTTTATTTCTTTTACTCTAAACTTCTTTTCTCCCTTCATTTCATTCATTTCATCTTCCATCGCTGATACTCTTTCTTCCAGTTGATGAAATCAGCTACTGACGCATGTGCATTCATCACGTAGTTCTCATGCCATGGTTTTCAGTTCCACCAGGTCCTTTAGGTATTTCTCTGCATTGGTTATTCTAGTTAGTCGTTTGTCTAATTTTTTTTCAAGGTTTTTAACTTCTTTGCCATTGGTTCGAACTTCCTCCTTTAGCTCGGAGTAGTTTGATCTTCTGAAGCCTTCTTCTCTCAACTCGTCAAAGTCATTCTCCGTCCAGCTTTGTTCCATTGCTAGTGAGGAGCTGCGCTCCTTTGGAGGAGGAGAGTCGCTCTGATTTTTAGAGTTTCTGGTTTTTCTGCTCTGTTTTTTCCCCATCTTTGTGGTTTTATCTACCTTTGGTCTTTGATGATGGTGACATACAGATGGGTTTTTGGTGTGGATGTCCTTTCTGTTTGTTAGTTTTCCTTCTAACAGTCAGGACCCTCAGCTGCAGGTTTGTTGGAGATTGCTGGAGTTCCACTCCAGACCCTGTTTGCCTGGGTATCAGCAGTGGTCGCTGCAGAACAGCGGATATTGGTGAACTACAAATGTTGCTGCCTGATCGTTCCTCTGGAAGTTTTGTGTCAGAGGAGTACCCGGCCGTGTGAGGTGTCAGTCCACCCCTACTCTGGGGTGCCTCCCAGTTAGGCTACTCAGGGGTCAGGGACCCACTTGAGGAGGCAGTCTGCCCGTTCTCTGAGCTCAAGCTGCATGCTGGGAGAGCCACTACTCTCTTCAAAGCTGTCAGACAGGAACATTTAAGTCTGCAAAGGTTACTGCTGCATTTCGTTTGTCTGTGCCCTGCCCCCAGAGGTGGAGCTTACAGAGGCAGGCAGGGTCCTTGAGCTGTGGTGGGCTCCACCCAGTTCGAGTTTCCCGGCTGCTTTGTTTACTACTCAAGCCTCGGCAATGGCGGGCGCCCCTCCCCCAGCCTCACTGCCGACTTGCAGTTTGATGTCAGACCCCTGTGCTAACAAACAGCCAGGATCCATGGGCGTAGGACTCTCTGAACCAGGTGCAGGATATAATCTCCTGGTGTGCCATTTGTTAAGCCCGTTGGAAAAGTGCAGTATTAGGGTGGGAGTGACCCGATTTTCCAGGTGCCATCTGTCACCCCTTTCTTTGACTAAGAAAGGCAATTCCCTGACCCCTTGCGTTTCCTGCGTGAGGCAATGCCTCGCCCTGCTTTGGCTCACACACGGTGCACTGCACCCACAGTCCTGCACCCACTGTCTGGCACTCTCCAGTGAGATGAACCTGGTACCTCAGTTGGAAATGCAGAAATCACCCATCTTCTGCATCGCTCATACTGGGAGCTGTAGACTGGAGCTTTTCCTATTCGGCCATCTTGGCTCCACCTCGACTAGATTCTTACAAGTCTTTTACCACTAGAATACAACCTCCATGAGTGTAATTGCTTTTTTTGTCTTGTTCACCACTGTATACCCACCTAATATGTTCACAATCAATATATGATGAGTGATGAACTTTGGGGACTAGAGATTCTCCAGACTGGAGTGATACTGAAGGGGAGATGGTCATCAATCACAGATCACATATAAAGAAAAGATGATTTATTTAAGTAACTGAGGAGAGAAAATTTTAACAGGTTTAGTATTTCTCAGGTACCTATATTAATATGGCTGTGATACTATTAGATGCATTCTCTCTGGTAGATTATTTGAAAAAGAATAAAGAATAAAATAATGAAAATCCATGCAGCTAATTCTCAAGTTTGTCAAATTATAGCATGCTGCTATATTTGCTTAAGCTTTCAAACAAGTAAATGAAATATTATAAATATGCTTCAAGCCAGTGAATAACCCTCCAAGATCCCATTCCTCTCCATCCTAGAAGTAACTACTATCGTGAATTTGGTGGTTTTATTCCCATGTGTTTTTATACTTTTAGTATATATGTATAAATAGTATAACTGATATATTTTTAAGCCTTATATTTGGTGATTTTATTCCCATGCATGTTTTTATACTTTTAGTATATATGTATAAAAAGTATAAGTGATATATTTTTAAGTCTTATAAAAGTTATCACATTATATGCATTCTGCAATTTGTCCTCCACTCTAATATTATGTTTTTGAGATTTATCCATGTGGCTCTAGTTCATTTATTTAGCACTGCTATGCATACTATCAAAATTCCATAATTATCTATTCTCCTATTCACTGGTATCTGGGTTGTTTCTGTTTTTTGATATCATGAATATTCTTGAAAGAAAGAATATTCTTGAAACAAAGTCTCCTTGTTTACAAGTAAATAGTTCCTCTAGATGCTTCTCATACTTTAATGTGCATACAAATCACTTGATATCTTGTTAAAATTCAGATTCTGATTCTGTAGTTCTGGGGTGGGGCTTGAGATCACACATTTCTAACAAGCTCCCAGGTGATGTTATAGCTGGTCTATGGACCACATTTGGAGCAGGAAGGCCTTAAAGAGTCTATACCCAGGAGTGAAATTACTGGATCACAGATTATGCAGGTCTTCTACTTTACTAGTAATGCTAAACTATTTTCAAAGTACTTGTAACAATTAACATTGATACCAACAGTATGAGATTGTTCATAGTTCCCTACACATTCACCAGCACTTAGTATTAGTAATTAACAGCATTGCTAACATTTATTGAACACTTTTTATACGCCATGACTGTGCTAGGTAAGTATTAGTAAGGTTAGTATTAGTATGGTTAGTATTAGTATGAAACTAATCATTCTGTGCTCCACTCCAATCTGTTTTCATGGATATGCATATGGCTCCCCTTCAACTATAAAGTTATTTGGCCACTAGAAGAGTTGGATTTAACCCTAACTCCAACAAAACCAGGTTACTGTGGTCTCCTACCCTATTTTCCATGCTTTTCTCAGGAATATCCCAGTAACTCCCAGGAGCCTCACCATTCCCCACCAAGGGGGAGAAGTGGACAGGCAGCTGAGTCACACAATGAGTGTGGTGAGGAGGAATTTGATCAATTTTCAAACAATACTTTTCTTAATGGCATCATCCCTTGCACGAATAACATTGTGATTTCTGAGAGAGAAATTGGTTGAAGATATCAGCTAGAAGCTTACTGACTAATATTCTCAAATAGAGGAGTTAGACATTAGGGAGAGATGCTGACTAAATAGAGAGCAACTAAATACCACCATGCTCAGAAAGGAAGAAAGGTGAATGCTACTATTCAATGGAATAACTTTCACTGATTCAAAGTCTGGTGCTACTTACACTAGCATTCAAAGAGATGGCTGAAAGAGGGGCAGGTCTTCTCAGCACTTGGACATTCTGCTTCTGACAATTGCATCTTTGCTTATGTTTGATGGAATGCTGTAAATCCTTGAGATCTTTAACTTTTTCTATCCATGCCCCAGTTGCTTGATTCTTTTATTATTGATAAGTCTTTGGCTGCCCTATATAAAGCCCCATTATAGGTGCTAAGAGGAAAATATAGAAAATCTTAATTAAACCCCATTAAAAACATTTCTTGAGCACCTTTTATACACCATGACTCTGATAGGTAACAGAAATACAGTGGTTAGAATAGATTCTGCCCTCAAAAGAATTTACAGACGAAAGGCAAATGTAGATGTTCTAAGCCATTTGGCTAAACAGAATACTAAAGAACTTTACAAGAAAACTGTATACAATTTCTAAATGGATGAATTAAGTAGTACCATATTCCCTCAATTCTAGGATACACATTGTTGTTTGTTGTTTTTTACTTTTTAACAACTCTGAAATAAACATTTATCTTATAATTGACATAAACTTATAAAAGCTATGACCTATCCATGCTGCAATTTGGAATTCAAAGCATCTTCAGATTAAGGCAATATAGTAAATGTCACTCGAGTTCTCCATGGGTAGAAACAATATAATATAATTTGAAATGCAACCTTAAAAACAGGTTATACTTGGTAAGTAGAAAGGAGAATACAGTCCCTGGTTGGAAGGTGCACACAGTCAAGTCACAGCTAACAACTGTTTCTTCTTTACTCCATAAGACAGAAAAAATTGTGGGAAAGCATACTTTTGCACATGCATGCACACACTCATTAGTGAAGACAGAAAACTGTACTGTATAAAAATGATTGCTGAGTAATTCTAAATTATCAACAGAAATTCCAGTAAATTCCAAAATTTCTGAAAGAAATGCCTCAAAATCGAAATATTTTCTAAAAATATATAAGGTCAATGGATCATGATGGTGATATTATATCCCCTTAAACTGGTTGTTTAATAACTGATCATTTTAAATAATATAACAGGAATATTCTTTTTGTTTGCCATTATCTGTTTTGGGCCATAAAAAGCAGAGCTTTATTTCAGCAAGAGAAGCTTTCATAACATTGCCTACCACTTACGTAAGTAGATCTGATAAGGCACCTTAAAGCAGAAATTGTTTGTTCTGAGAAGACTAGAACATCTTGGTTGAGTATAATGGGTAGAAATGGACTATGTGTTTTAAATGGTGACTGGACAACCATATAGTCATATGGGAAAAGATAAAATTAAACCTCTTCCTTATGTTACATATACAAATGAGTCATAGGTACATTAAAGTATGAAAAGCAAAATGGCAAATATTTTGAAGAAAACATAAGAAAACTCTGATAAAACAAATCAGAACAAGGAAAGGTTTCTTAAGATGTAAAAATGTACAAAGCATAAGAAAAAAAAACATCCATTTGAGTATCTCAATAGTTAAAACATTTAAACACTGAAATGACATAAACAGAATTTTAAAAGAGTGTGCTATTAACATAAAAGATGGGAGCATTCCCCTTCTCCCAAGTGTAGGGTGCACTTAGTGACTTGAATGAAAAGGGAAAGTGTTTCCTGAAATACAGTGCACACCACAAAGATACTCCTCGAGAAGAGCAACCTCAAGACACATAATCATCAAATTCACCAAGACTGAAATGAAGAAAAAAATGTTAAGGGCAGCCAGAGAGAAAGGTCGGGTTACCCACAAAGGGAAGCCCATCAGACTAACAGCGGATCTCTCTGCAGAAACTCTACAAGCCACATGAGAGTGGGGGCCAATGTTCAACACTCTTAAAGAAAATAATTTTCAACCCAGAATTTCATATCCAGCCAAACTGAGCTTCATAAGTGAAGGAGAAATAAAATACTTTGCAGACAAGCAAATGCTGAGAGATTTTGTCACCACCAGGCCTGCATTACAAGAGCTCTGAAGGAAGCACTAAATATGGAAAGGAAAACCCAGTACCAGCCACTGCAAAAACATACCAAATTGTAAAGACCATCGATACTATGAAGAAAATGCATCAACTAACGGGCAAAATAACCAGCTATCATCATAATGACAGAATCAAATTTACACATAACAATATTAATCTTAAATGTAAATGGACTAAATGTCCCAATAAAAAGACACAGACTGGCAAAATGGATTAAGAGTCAAGACCCAACATTGTGCTGTATTCAGGAGTCCCATCTCACATGCAAACACACACATAGGCTCAAAATAAAGGGATGGAGAAATATTTACCAAACAAATGGAAAGAAAAAAAAAAGCAGGGGTTGCAATCCTAGTCTCTGATAAAACAGACCTTAAACCAACAAAGATCAAAAAAGACAAAGAAGGCCATTACATAATGGTAAAGGGATCAATGCAACAAGAAGAGCTAACTATCCTACATATATATACACCCAATACAGGAGTGCCCAGATTCATAACGCAAGTTCTTAGAGACTTACAAAGAGACTTAGACTCCCACACAATAATAGTGGGAGATATTAACACCTCACTGTCAATATTAGACAGACCAACGAGACAGAAAATTACCAAGGCTATTCAGGACTAGAACTCAGCTGTGGAAAAAACAGACCTAACAGACATCTACAGAACTCTCCACTCCAAATCAACAGAATACACATTCTTCTCAGCACCACATTGCACTTATTCCAAAATTGATCACATAATTGGAAGTAAAACACTCCTCAGCAAATGCAAAAGGACAGAAATCATAACAGTCTCTCAGACCACGGTGCAATCAAATTAGAACTCAGAATTAAGAAACTCACTCAAAACTGCACAACTACATGGAAACTGAACAACCTGCTCCTGAATGACTACTGGGTAAATAACAAAATTAAGTCAAAAATAAATAAATTCTCTGAAACTAATACGAACAAAGCCACAACATACCAGAATCTCTGGAACACAGCTAAAGCAGTGTTTAGATGGAAATTTATAGCACTAAATGCCCACAGGAGAAAGCAGGAAAGATCTAAAATCAACACCCTAACATTACAATTAAAACAATGAGAGAAGCAAGAGCAAACAAATACAAAAGCTGGAAGAAGACAAGAAATAACTAAGGTCAGAGCAGAACTGAAAGAGATAGAGATACAAAAAACCCTTCAAAAAAATGAATGAATTCAAGAGCTAGTTTTTTGGAAAAGATTAACAAAGTAGATAGACCACTAGGTAGAAGAATCAAATAGACAAAAAAAGATAAAGGAGAAATCACCACTGATCCCACAGAAATACAAACTACCATCAGAGAATACTACAAACACCTCTATGCAAATAAACTAAAAAATCAAGAAGAAATGGATAAGCTCCTGGACACACAAACACACACACACTCTGCCAAGACCAAACAAGGAAGAAGTAGAATCCCTGAATGGACCAACAACAAGTTCTGAAATTGAGGCAGTAATTAATAGCCTACCAACCAAAACAAAACCCAGGACCAGATGGATTCACAGCCAAATTCTACCTGAGGTACAGAGAGAAGCTGGTACCATTCCTTCTGAAACTATTCCAATAAATAGAAAAAGAGAGAATCCTCCCTAACTCATTTTATGAGGCCAGCATCATCCTGATACCAAAACCTGGCAGAGACACAACGTAAAAAGGAAATTTCAGGCCAATATGCCTGATGAACATTGATGCAAAAATCCGCAATAAAATACTGGCAAGCGAAATCCACCAGCACATCAAAAAGCTTATCCACCACGATCAAGCTGGGTTCATCCCTGGGATGCAAGGCTGGTTCAACATACACAAATCAGTAAGCATAATCCATCACATAAACAGAACCAATGACAAAAACCACGTGATTATCTCAATAGATGCAGAAAAAGCCTTCGATAAAATGCAACAGCCCTTCATGCTAAAAACTCTCAATAAACTAGGTATTGATGGAACGTATCTCAAAATAATACAAGCTATTTCTGACAAACCCACAGCCAATATCTCACTGAATGGGCGAAGGCTGAAAGCATTCCCTTTGAAAACCGGCACAAGACAAGGATGTGCTCTCTCACCACTCCTATTCAACATAGTATTGGAAGTTCTGGCCAGGGCAATCAGGTAAGAGAAAGAAATAAAGGGTATTCAAATAGGAAGAGAGAAAGTCAAATTGTCTGGGTTTGCAGATAGCATGACTGTATATTTAGAAAACCCCATCGTCTCAGCCCAGAAACTCCTTAAGCTGATAAACAGCTTCAGCAAAGTCTCAGGATAAAAAATCAATGTGCAAAAATCACAAGCATTCCTATACAACAATAACAGACAAACAGAGAGCCAAATCATGAGTGAAACTCCTATTCACAATTGCTACAAAGATAATAAAAAACGTAGGAATCCAACTTACAAGGGATATGAAGGACCTCTTGAAGGAGAACTACAAACCACTGCTCAGCAAAATAAAAGAGGACACAAACCAATGGAAGAATATTTCATGCTCATGGGTAGGAAGAATCAATATCGTGAAAATGGCCATACTGCCCAAGGTAATTTATAGATTCAATGCCATCAGCATCAAGCTACCAATGACTTTCTTCACAGAATTAAAAAAAAAACTCTTTAAATTTCATATGGAACCAAAAAAGAGCCCGTATAGTCAAGACAATCCTCAGTGGAAAAAAAAAAGAAAAAAAAAAAATCTGGAGGCATCATGCTACCTGACTTCAAACTACACTACATGGCTACAGTAACCAAAACGCCATGGCACTGGCACCAAAACTGATATATAGACCAATGGAACAGAACAGAGGCCTCAGAAATAACACCACACATCTACAACCATCTGATCTTTGACAAACCTGGCAAAAACAAGCAATGGGGATAGGATTCCCTGTTTAATAAATGGTGTTGGGAAAACTGGATAGCCATATTCAGAAAACTGAAACTGGACCACTTCCTTACACCCTATACAAAAATTAACTCAAGATGGATTAAAGACTTAAACGTAAGATGTAAAACCATAAAAACCCTAGAAGAAATCCTAGGCAATACCATTCAGGACATAGGCATGGGCAAAGACTTCATGACTAAAACACCAAAAGCAATGGCAACAAAAGCCAAAATTGACAAATGGGATCTAATTCAATGAAAGAGCTTCTACACAGCAAAAGAAACTATCATCAGAGTGAACAGGCAACCTAAAGAATGGGAGAAAATTTTTACCATCTCTCAATCTGACAAACGGCTAATATCCAGAATCTACACAGAACTTAAACCAATTTACAAGAAAAACAAAACCCATGAAAAAGTGGGCGAAGGATATGAACAGACACTTCTCAAAAGAAGACATTTATGCGGCCAACAAATATATGATAAAAAGCTCATCATCATTGGTCATTAGAGAAATGCAAATCAAAACCACAATGAGATACCATCTCACACCAGTTAGAATGGCGATCATTAAAAACTCAGGATACAACAGATGCTAAAGAGCATGTGGAGAAATAGGAATGCTTTTACACTGTTGGTGGGAATGTAAATTATTTCAGCCATTGTGGAAGACAGTGTGGTGATTCCTCAAGGATCTAGAACCAGAAATACCATTAGACCCAGCAATCACCTTGACTGGGTATAGACCCAAAAGATTACAAATCATGCTACTACAAAGACACATGCACACATATGTTTATTGCAGCACTGTTCACAATAGTGAAGTCCTGGAACCAACCCAAATGCCCATCAATGATAGGCTGGATAAAGCAAATGTGGCACATATACACCATGGAATACTATGAGGCCATGAAAAAGGATGAGTTCATGTTCTTTGCAGGGACATGGATGAAGCCAGAAACCATCTTTCTTAGCAAACTAAAACAGGAACAGAAAACCAAAAACCAAATACTACATGTTCTCACTCATAAGTGGGAGTTGAACAATGAGAACACATGGACACAGGGAGGGGAACATCACACATCAGGGCCTGTCAGGGGGTGGAGCACTAGGGGAGGGATAGCAGTAGGAGAAATACCTAATGTAGATGACGGGTTGATGGGTGCAGCAAACCACTATGGCACATGTATACCTATGTCACAAACCTGCACGTTCTGCACATATATCCCAGAACTTAAAGTATAATTAAAAGAAAAAAAAAGAAAAGGGAAAGTGGGGAAACTCAGCAGACAATCTAGACAATCTTAACCAAATGGTCAATGTTAACATCTCCAGTAAAAAGTCATGTAAATATCATGTACCCCCTAATATGACATGATGAGAAGGACACCTCACCTCTGTGGTATTCTCACCCAAAATCCATAATGTCAGTCTAACTATAATCAGACTCAGTCAATTTACATTCTTCAAAATATCAGAGCACTAACATTCAAAAATGTCGAGGTCATAAAAGATCGCAAAACTGTCACAGAGCAGAGGAGACTAAGGAGACATGAAGACTAAATACAGTCTGTATTCTGTATTGGATTCCAAAAGAGTAAAAAAGGCATTAATGAAAATATTGAGAAAACTCAAAATATGTAGTTCAGTTAGCAGTATTGTATCATATCAATGTTCACTGTTTAGTTTTGACAAATGTATCATAGTTAGGAAAACTGGGTGAAAGATATATATAGAAACTCTGTTGTATCCTCTGCAACTTTTCTTAGTATAGACAATCCACAGGCTGGGGAAAATATTTACAACACACATAATCAACAAATAGTATACAAAATATATTAAAAATTCCAAATCAATAAGATAAAAAACAAAAATAACTATAAAAAGGCAAATGAATGAACAGATCTTTCAAAGAAAAGAAAATCTGAATGACCAATCAACCTTTGAAATGATCCACAATCTTTTAGAAAGGAAATATGAATTAAAGCTATGCATTACCATTTTATAATCCCTAGACTGGAAAATTAATAGGTCTGACATCTGATAATTCCAAATAACAGTAGATACAGGGAAACAGCAACTACGATGCTGATGGCTGAGGTGAGGAATGGGGGGTTGAACCCCAAATTGTAACATCTACACTAAAGAGCCAACCCTGGTAAAGTTGAAAATATGTATATACCATGTCTCAAGTCTGCTTCTAGATTTCTGCCCTAGAAAAACTCTCACATATGTGCATAAGGAGAAAGAAACACATACAAGACACTCATCGCAGCACTATGCATGATAGAAGAGAAAGAGAGGACAGAGAGATTTGGATTTTTCATTGTCACAACGGAGGAGTTGCTACTGGCATATAGTGGGTAGAGGCCAGGGATACTGCTAAACATCTTACAATGGACAAGATAGCCCTCCAGAGGAAAAAATTATCTTGCTTAAAACATCAATAATGCCAAAACTGAGAAATCTACAGTTATCACATAAGAGTATAGGTATAATTGTTTTCTAACCCAAGAAAATATTTCCACTGGATTCTAAAACCTCTTTCTGATCACTTTTATATTCAGGGAGTGTTGGTTAGACTCCATAATTTGTACTTTCATTCTATTTGTCCTACTGTCTGCTTTGTACTTCAGTTTATTCATAATTTTGCACTGGCACTTCTACAGACCTCCTTTCTCTGTAGGAAATTTTATTCCACTTCCTACAACTCACTTTTTTTTTAGGGTTGTCTATCGGTATGTCTGAGCATGTGATCTGGCTTTGGAAGCTTCAACTGAACTATAATTCAAATTTGATTAATTAAATATCTAGTCTCTTTAGCCCTTGAGTTACAAAAAAAAATTGGGCTGCTTAATTATAAAGTACACTCCATGTTCCTAAAATTGCAAAAATGCTGTATTTATTCAGAGTCAAGTTTTAGTAGACTTCCTGACTACATTAACAGCAGGCTAAGGATATTTTTTAAAGGTATCATACAGTATATTTTAGTTTTAAAATACCCTAGGGCCTGATCCCAAGTGTTAGCCCCCATATGCAAAGTAAATTATCATATTCCCAACAAATACGAAAGTAAATATGTAAGAGAATGAATGGCAAGTGGGAAATTGAGTGCGTGAGTAAATACACAGACTAGTGTAATCAGGAAGTCTACTAAAAATTGACTCTGAATAAATAAAGCATTTTTGCAATTTTAGAAACATGGAGAGTACTTTATAATTAAGCAGCCCAATTCCTATCTGTAAATACACAGATAGGAAGCATGGAAAGACAGGGAGATGTATGGAAAGACAGGGAGATGTTATAGATTTACAAGGACAATCTTGGCTCAGCTCCCTAGTGCCTACGGCTTTCCTCTAAAGTTTCCTCAGAATCATAGGATTTGAATAGGGGGCATCCTAAAGGGCATCAGTGTCACAGGTATGCAAAATACTTTTTACAGCTTATCCTTATCTCTAACTACTCACACAGCAGAATCTGTGCTTCATCCAAACTTGTCTACTCAGAGGTTACACATCATGACCACAAATATTATCAACTTTCTACTAAGTGTCAGACCATGTACTAGGCACCAAGAATATGGTGCTAAAATAACTAAAGGAGTATAATTGGACTGTTTATAACACAAAGGATAATGCTTGATAGGATGAATACCCAATTTTCCATGATGTGATTATTACGTATTGCATGTCTGTACCAAAATATCTCATGTACCCCATAAATATACACACCTACTATGTACCCACAAGAATTTAAAAATGTTTTTAAAAGGCAGACATATTTCCTGTCTTCATGGAACTTATAGTCTAGCAGGCTGACTTTGGACCATCCCTTATCCCCACAAAAATTGCCAATCTCTCCTTTCTGCCCTTGATAAAATTTCATCTTCAAAAATGTAGCTCAAGCCTTTCCACCTCCTTGAGGTCTTTTCCAACCATCTTGTCCACTCTAATTGGTTTTAAATCTGGATTCCTGGAGCACCAGGTATCTTCCCTTCATGTTGGGCATTCTTCATTGCCTTGTATACCTATTTCTTTATGGGCCTCACCCACCGAATTGGATCATAAATATGTTTACAGCACAGATCAAGCCATATTCATCCCTTACCCTAGTGCTTGGCATGGTGCCTGGCATGTAGTAAATGCAACAGATGGTATTGTTGCTGCTGCTCCTAGTTAAGACAGTATAATATGTAGTGTGTGTGTGCGTGTGTGTGTGTGTGCATGCGTGTGTAGTGACAGAAATCCATGGCCTTTCATGCATTTGCACCCTTACATGTATTGCCCCCTTACCCTTTTGTCTGGTTAATACATAGGCTTCTTTCAAAAACAAGTGAAATGTTACCTCCTTTCCGAACTAAACTGTTAGCTCCTTGATGGCAGGGACCATAGTTTATTTACGGTAGAACACTTGGAGTACAAAAGTTGCTAAAAAAAAAAAAAAAAAAAAAATGAAACCACCAGGCCGGGTGTGGTGGCTCACGCCTGCAATCCCAACACTTTGGGAGGCTGAAGCAGGCGGATCACCTGAGGTCAGCAGTTTGAGACCAGCCTGGCCAACATGGGGAAACCCCATCTATACTAAAAAAAAAAAAAAAAAATTAGCTGGGCGTGGTGGCAGATGCCTGTAATCCCAGCTACTAGTGAGGCTGAGGCAGGAGAATCAATTGAACCCGGGAGGCGGAGGTTGCAATGAGCAGAGATGGCGCCACTGAGCTCCAGCCTGGGAGACAGAGCGAGGCTCCCTCACAAAAAAAAAAAAAAAAAAAAAAAAGCAAAAAACAAAACAAAACAAAAAAAAAACCACCACGAAACCACCAATCCTCCACATAATAATAGGAGAGACTTCAGTCACTTTGTTCCACTAGGAAATTTGCTGACACTGATTTTCACATGTGCTTTCACCCGATTCTTCCTGTTTGTGTTACAAAATCCCCAGGTATTTGAGTATCAAATGAAGTAATAATAAAGTCTCTGGCATTAAGTAGATGCTCTATAAAAGCCCTCTTCCTCTATGTTCATTCATTGCATGAAGAAATATTGACTGCCTAACATGTGCCATGCACTATTTTATGCTCTGGGAAAAAAATGCATCAAACAATAACAAACAAAAATCCAAGCCTTCATGAACCTTACATTCCAATAAGGGGAAATAGGCAATAAACAAAATAAATACATAATGGTCATAAACTGTCACATTTAAGAAAAAAAATGAAACACGCAATAAAGATTAATTAAGAATGTCAGGGCCGGGCGCAGTGGCTCAAGCCTGTAATCCCAGCACTTTTGGAGGCTGAGGCGGGCAGATCAGGAGGTCAGGAAATCGAGACCATCCTGCCTAACATAGTGAAACCCGGTCTCTACTAAAAAATAAAAATAAAAATAAATTAGCCAGGTGTGGTGGTGGGCACCTGTAGTCTTAGCTACTCGGGAGGCTGAGGCAGGAGAATGGCGTGAACCTGGGAGGCGGAGCTTGCAGTGAGCTGAGATCGCGCCACTGCACTCCAGCCTGGGCGACAGAGCGAGACTCGTCTCAAAAAAAAATGTTAGGGGTGCGTGGGGCTGAATTATTTTGTATAGAACCGTCAAGGAAGGCTTCTCTGAAGAGACAATATTTGAATAGAAATCTGAATGAAGACAGGGAGTAAGCCATGAAAATATCTGGGGTAAAGGGAAGAGTGTTAGAGTATAAGTGAAGGCAAAAGTCTTGTGGCAGGCATGTGTTTAGCATGATTAAGGAACATCAAGAAGGGCTTTTAGATGAGACCATAAGTATTTGCTGAATCCAAACCCATTTGCACACTATACATGAATGTTCTATGATGTACAGATATATATATATACATACACACAAATATATATGTGTATATACAGATATACACACACACACACACACACACACACACACACACACACACGTGGATCTTTAAGTGTTATGGGTTAAATTGTGACCCACCAAAAGATATGTTGAAGTATTAACCCTCGGTAACTGTGAATGAGGTTTATGAGAATTTTATACCAACAGAAACACTGCCAGTCTGGGCTGAAAAAGACAGAGATGAGAAAAACGCAGGAAGAATAATTTCTTGTTTCCTTTAGTTAGTTTTTTTTTTAATTTCCAACATTTATTTTAAGTTCAGAGGTACATGTGCAGGACATGCAGGCTTCTTACGTAGGTAAATGTGTGCCATGATGGCTTGCTGCACAGACCATCCTATCACCTAGGTATTAAGCCCAGGATTCATTCAATATTCTTCTGGATGGTCTCCCTCCTCCCACCCCTCACCTTCTGACAGCCCTTAGTGTGTGTTATTCCCCACCCCCCACCCATGTGTCCAGGTGTTTTCATCATTCAGCTCCCACTTATAAGTGATAACATGTGGTATTTGATTTTCTTTTTCTGTGTTAACTCGCTGAGGATAATGGCTTCCAACTCCATCCATGTCCCTGCAAAGGACGTGATCTTATCTCTTTTTATAGCTGCATAGTATTCCATGGTGTATATGTACCACATTTTCTTTATCCAGTCTATCATTGATGGGCATTTGGGTTGATTCCATGTCTTTGCTATTGTGAATAGTGCTGCAATGAACATATGCATACATATATCTTTATAAAATAATGATTTCTATTTCTCTGGGTATATACTCAGTAATGGGATTGCTAAGTCAAATAGTATTTCTGCCTCTACATCTTTGAGGAATCGCCACACTGTCTTCCACAATGGTTGAACTAATTTCCACTCCCACCAACAGTGCAAAAGAGTTTCATTTTCTCTAAAATCTCACCAGCATCTGTTGTTTCTGGACTTTTTAATAATAGGCATCCTGACTGGTGTGAGATGGTATCTCACTGTGGTTTCGATTTCCATTTCTCTAATGATCAGAGTGATATTGAGCTTTTTTTCATATGTTTGTTGGCCACATGTATATCCTCTTTTGAGAAGTGTCTATTCATGGCCTTTGCCCATTTTTTAATGGGATTTTTTCTTTCTTTCGATTTTATTTTAAGTTCCAGGATATGTGTGCAGGACGTGCAGGTTTGTTACATAGGTAAAAGTGTTCCATAGTGGTTTGCTGCACCTATCAACCCATCACATAGGTATTAAGCCCCACATGCATTAGCTATTTATCTTGATGCTCTCCCTCCCCCTGCTGTCCCCCTGACAGGTCCCAGCGTGTGTTGTTCCCCTCCCTGTATCCATGCATTTTCATTGTTCACCTCCCATTATAAGTGAGAACACGCAGTGTTTGGTTTTCCGTTCCTGTGTTAGTTTGCTGAGGATAATGGCTTCCAGCTCCATCCATGTCCTACAAAGGACAAGATCTCATTCCTTTTTATGGCTGCATAGTATTCCATTGTGTAATGTAGCATATTTCTTTATCCAGTCTATCACTGATGGATATTTCGGTTGATTCCATGTCTTTGCTATTGTGAATAGTGCTGCAATGAACATACGTATGCATGTATTTTTACAATACAGTGATTTATATTTCTTTGGGTATATACCCAGTAATGGGATTGCTGAGTCAAATGGTATTTCTGCTGCTAGGTCTTTGAGGAATTGCCACACTGTCTTCCACAATGGTTGAACTAATTTACATTCCCACCAACAGTGTAAAAGCATTCCTATTTCTCCACAGCTTTGCCAGCATCTGTTGTTTCTTGACTTTTTAATAATCATCATTCTGACTGGCATGAGATGTTATCTCATTGTGATTTTGATTTGTATTTCTCCAATGATGAATGATGTTGAGTTTGTTTTTGATATGTATGTTGGCCACATAAATGTCTTCTTTTGAGAAGTGTCTATTCATGTCCTTTACCCACTTTATAATGGGGTTTTTTTATTCTTGTACATTTGTTTAAATTCCTTATAGATTCTGGATATTAGAACCTTGTCTGAAGGATAGATTGCAAAAATTTTCTCCTATTCTGTAGGTTGTCTCTTCACTCTGATGAGAGTTTCTTTTGCTGTACAGAAGCTCTTTAGTTTAATTAGATCCCATTTGTCAATTTTTGCTTTCGTAGCATTGCTTTTGATGTTTTTGTCATGAAATCTTTGCCCATGCCTATGCCCTGAATGGTATTGCCTAGATTTTCTTCTAGAGTTTTTATAATTTTGGGTTTTAGAACAAAGCTGGAGGCATCATGCTACCTGACTGCAAACAATACTACAGCCGATAGTAACCAAAACAGCATGGTACCCATACAAAAACAGATACATAGATCAATGGAACATAATAGAGATCTCAGAAATAAGGTCACACATCTACAACCATCTTATCTTCGACAAACCTGGCAAAAACAAGCAACTGGGAAAGGATTCCCTATTAAATTAATGATGCTGGGAAAACTGGCTAGCCACATGCAGAAAATTAAAACTGGACCCCTTCCTTACACCTGATACAAAAATTGACTCAAGATGAATTAATGGGATTTTTTCTTATAAATTTAAGTTCCTTGTATATGCTGAATATTAGACCTTTGTCAGATGCATAGTTTGAAAGTATTTTCTCCAGTTCTGTAGGTTGTCTGTTCATTCTGATTATAGTTACTTTTTCTGTGCAGAAGCTCTTTAATTAGATCCCATTTCTCAATTTTTGCTTTTGTTGCAATTGCTTTTGGCGGCTTCATCATGAAATGGTTGCCTGTGTCTATGTTCTGAACGGTATTGCCTTGATTCTCTTCTACTAGGAATTTTATAGTTTGGGGTTTTACTTTTAAGTTTAGATGTCTAGCATGGCCGAGTAAGTTTTCTTTGATTATTCCCTCAAATATGTTTTTCAAACTTTTATATTTCTCTTCATCATCAGGAACACCAATTATTCTTAGGTTTGGATATTTAACATAGTCCCAAACTTCTTGGAGGCTTTGTTCATTTTTTAAAATTCTTTTTTCTTTGTCTTTGATGGACTGGGTTAATTCAAAAGTCTTGTCTTCGAGCTCTGAAGTTCTTTCTGCTTGTTTGATTTTATTGCTGAGATTTTCCACTGCATTTTGCATTTCTCTAAGTGTGTCCTTGATTTCCAGAAGCTGTGATTGTTTTTTATTTATGCTATGTATTTCACTGAAGAATTTTCCTTTCCTATCCTGTATCATGTTTTTGATTTACTTAAGTTGGACTTCACCTTTTTCTATTGCCTCCTTGATTAGCTTAATGACAGACATTCTGAATTCTTTTTCTCGCAGTTCAAAGATTTCGTCATGGTTTGGATCCATTGCTGGTGAGCTGGCAGGATATTTTGGGTATGTTAAAGATCCTTGTTTTGTCATATTACCAGAATTGTTTTTTTTGTATCCTTCTCATTTGGGTAGACCATGTCAGAGGGAAGATCTGGAATTCAAGGGCTGTTGATCAGATTATTTTGTCCCACGGGGTGCTCCCTTGATGTGGTGTTTTCCCCCTTCCCCTAGGAATGGGGCTTCCTACAGTACAGAGGAACTGTAGTAATTGTTTTTGCTCTTCTAGGTCTAGCCACCCGGGGGAGCTACCATGCTCTGAGCTGGTACTGGGGAGTTTCTGCAAAGACTCCTGTGATATGATTCATCTTCAGGTCTTGTAGCCGTGGATACCAGCATCTGCTCTGGTGGAGGTAGCAGGGAAGTGAAGTGGACTTGGTGCAGGTCCTTGGTTGTGTTTTTGTTTAGTGGGCTGGTTTTGTGTTGGTTGGCCTCCAGCCAGGAAGTGGTGCTTTCAAGAGTGCAATAGCTGCAGTCCTATAGGGAGGAGGCAAACTTGCCCTAGAGACACCTGGTTAAGTATTCAGGTTTCTCAGGCAGCAGGCAGGGCCACAGAGCTCCCAAAATATTATGACCTTTGCCTTCAGCTAGCAGGTAGAGAAAGACCACCAGGTGGGGGCAGAGATAGGCATGTCTGAGCTCAGCCTATCCTTGGGCCGGGCTTGCTGTGGCTGCTGTAGGGGCTGGGGTGTGGTTCCCTGTCTAATGGTGTTATATTCCCGGGGGATTATGGCTGCTTCTGCTGAGTCATACAGGTAGCCAGGGAAGTGCGGGACACCTGGCAGTCACAGGCCTCACCCAGCTCTCACACAGCCTGCAATCCTAAAAGCGGGTTTCACTTCCCCCATGCCCCCGCCAACATCACTGAGTCTATTTCGAGGCAGCCGGTGACCAGGGCTGAGAACTCGCCCCAGACCACGAACCTCCCTGTTGAGAGAGCAAGCAGGCTCACAGTTTTTCAGTGTCTCAGGAGTTTGCAGCGGTAATCCAGTTCCTTCAAAGGATCTCTGGATTTTCTTGGCTTTCCTGGTGTGTTCCTGTGGTAGTTCTTGGGAGCAAAAGTTCACGAAGTGAGTCTCCACACACTGCTCTATCAGTCTGACCAGGAGCTGCAAGCTAGTCATGCCTTCTATCCACCCTCTTAATCTGAAAACTCCATTGTATTTTGGGAGCAGCTAACTTTTTTTCTAGGTTTCACAGGTCCACAGAAGAGAGAAATTTTGCCCCAGGATGGACCACACCCTGAGTCTCATCCTTCCTTACGCAGATGAAGTAGAAGATGAGTTTTGGGACTCTTTGAGTTGATTAAATTTAGGTGAGATTTTTAAGACTTAGAATTGATGCCGGAATGGGTTAGAACTTTTGGAGATGTTGTGATAGAGTGAATGTGTTTTGCCCATGGGAAGGGCATAAATTTTGGAGGGCCAAAGGAAGACCATTTTGGGTGGTAATGTGACCTTTAAAATGATATGTTGAAGTCCTAGCCATCAGTACTTGTGAATGTGACATTATTTGAAAATAAAGTCTTTGCAAATGTAATCAAGATGAAATCATTAAGGTGGCCCTAATTCATTATGACTGGTGTCCTTATAAAGAAGAGGAAAGTGACAAGTGAAGACACACACACACACACACACACGGACACGCTCATATACACACAGACATAGCCATGTGAAGAGAGAGACAGAAATTAGAGTTATACTGCCACAAGCCAAGGAATATCTGGACTTACCAGAAGCTGAAAGAGACCAGGAAGGATTCTTTCTAGAGGTTTTCGATGGAGCATGGCCTTGCCAATACTTTTATTTTTTATTTCAGATTTCTAGCCTCAAGAACTGTGAGAGAATAAATTTCTGCTGTTTTAAGGCACCCATTTTGTGGTACATTTTACAGCATCAGAAAACAAATATGCCAAGTATTCATTTGTGTGGAGATATATCTTTATGAGTTTGCATGTATCAGGATTGGATGGCAATTTCTGAATGAGCATGTATATCTCTGTCTGGGTACCTATATGCATGATCTACATATAGTTGACCAGGAACATGAAAAATGATGTATAATCTGCCAGAAAGTCTCAAGATAGGTAGATAATTTCCCCAAACTCATTGATTGACTTATTCCCTCAACAAGTATTCACTGGGTTCCTTCTATGTTCTAGGCACTGGGGACAATCATGATTAAGATATCCTTAGACTGCTGAGTCTAGTGCTATGGGAACCCAGAGGTAGAAACAACTTCCTTTATCTACTTACTTTCTGGGGCTCCTGTTATCTCTCTAATCTTATTTCCATTCAAGGAAAGATAGTGAGAAGTTGAATTACTAAATAATACAAGAATACTTATAAAAGAGAGTTGCGACATTTGAGACTGTCCCCTTCCTAATTTATGTGTTTAAAAGCAGCATGATCTAGTACTTAAAGGCAAGGGCTCTGGTGTTAATTTTGTGTTGAGATCCCAGACGACAAATGCTAGCTGTGTGACTGAAAGCAAGTTATTTAGTTAACTTCTCTAATTCTATATTTCTTCATTTGTTAAAAGAAAAGGTGGCGGAGCAATAATATTTCATAGAATTGTACTGAAGAGTCAACAAAATAATCTTTATACAGGGCTAACACAGTTCTGGGCACTCAGAAGCCAGCCCTCTTCTGACCCTTGAATACTCAAGAAAAAGCTCTTTTGCTTGAGTACTTTTTCCACTATATGAGTGTACTGTTTCCTGCTAGCAGAAGAGTGAGTAGATGACAGGGTGTGAAATACAAATTTAAGATTCCCAAGGTCACTCTCTATTTAAACCCACACAGTTTATAAGGATGATATTTCCTGACTTTATTTTGAATTAAAACGGGATAACTTTAACACACCATCATGACCATTTTAGTATGTAGGCCTTGTCGAGAATTTAGAATAGTGTCTTGCACTTAGTAATTGCTCAATAAATGTTAATTATTATTGCTATTTGTGATAAATACTGCCTTCACCTGCCAACTAAAGAATTGGATAAAGGAGACAGGGGATCCAAAGTAAGAAACCCATATTCATTTTATTGGAACTTGAACTGACTTTATCAAAGAGGAAAGGGAAAGAAAACAATGTTTGCCTAGATTCCAAATGCTCCAAGTGAAATTACTCTTCCTAGGAAGTTGCTTCATTTTGGCTCTGGGTTCTTCCCATTTCACTTTGAAAAATGTAGACTCTCACTCTGGAAATAAGCAACTCTTAGCTTGAGGAAGTCAGAACAATTCTATTCTATTTATAAAAAGCAAAGCAGATTCCAGAGGAGGCAGCAAGACTTGAGCAGGGAGATTGGATTCCTTTGGAAAAAATCTATCCCAAGATCTTGAAAGTGGATAGTTTCAGCCAGATCAGCTTACTTTGGCATTTTGGAGGGTAGAAGAAGCTTCTCTCTCAACATTGTCTAAGGTTAGCAATCTCTGGAAGCCAACCTCTGACAACAGCTCTAAGGAAACTTTGCTGAGAGCAAAACTTCAAATATCAACTGCTACTTCAGTAAGGAGTGTCAGGAAGGGAACTTTAAAGTCACTGAAAAAAAATCATTGATACAAGAAGTATCCAAAGCCTTAGCAGGGAAGCATAAACCTTGGAAAGTTCCTGGGAGTAAGGGGACCCACAAACGGGAAACACAGTTAGTTAATCACTGTCACTATGTGTAGTTCTAAAGCCCAGGCATTACATTTATAAATGCAACTCTTGCTAATTCTCTAGGCCTGGGCACATTGGTATCAGCTGCTCTCCCCATGACTTCCCTCTTTTCCATCCATGCCTGTTACCCTTTGAGAATGCACTCACCAGCCTTTAGATCATTATGATGATTAATAAGATAAATTTAAGCCACTGAAGGAAGCCCTTTGGACTTCAAAGTGCAAAAAGAAAATTGGAGAAGGCTATTATGGCAATTTTGGCCTCAAATTGCTTTATACAGTAGTAGGAATAGATTCACTACAGGAAAGGACTAGGCCACTGGGAGCACAGTCAACCCTACATATTCTCAAAATAGCAGGACGTAGCCTGGCAAGCATATCAAGTAGGCCAGGGCTACGGGCAGTGAAACTTCCAAGAGAACACAAGAAGTTACTACAAAGTGGGTAGGGCCAAAATAATATTTCGTACAGGGGACACATTTGGAAATATCTGCTCTGTACATAGTGACCACCTTATAACTCCTCTTTGATTAGCAAAGGTGTTCCAATAGCTTATATTACATGACCCTAGCTTCCTGATCAGAGCTGGTTTATCTAGGTATAAGTAGCTGGCTCAAGCCTGGTCAATCGGTGAGTGTCCACTTCCTTGTGATTTGGGAATTGGAACAAACAGAACCAGTACCTGTTCATGTGACTGAACTGTAACTTATAAACTCGAGAGATGAGGGAGCTATCTCTTGCTCACTAGGTAATATAATTTGCTAAGAGAGAAGAAATAAGCAGATATGCCAAGGGAAGCATATATAAGACATAGAAAGAAAATCACCTTAGGTTGCTGACAACTTCCCATTTCCAAAACCCAGTCCACTCCTAAGATCCAGTCACATTGCTCTTGTGTTTAAGCTAGCTTCAGCTGGTTTACACCCTTTGCAACCAAAGGATATTAATGAATAAATAACATGTATAAAGGGGAAGCTGCTGCTTCAGCTTGTGTTAAGTGTCACCATGAGGCAGTATAGGCCCAGTGATGCCACACATTTCAAGTTTTTCAAGAAAACTGTGAGCTTATTTTATGTGAAATCATCTGCCTTTTACACACTGGCAATTAATTCAAATTTTGAAAAGAACATGGCTCAAGGCAAGTACATCTGTGGCCTGAATGTGACTTGTGAACCCTTGAGTTGTGACCTCGGTCAGCAAAATCTGTCTTACATGTTACTTCTTAGATCTTTCATCTATTTTTATCTTTTTCATATGTACCCATTTGTACATTGCATTACACTGCTTAACAGGACCCACAGTTACTGACTCACTTTGATTCTATTTCCTTTTTTGGTCTTACTGACTAGTTAGTTCAATATTTCATAATGATTAAAAATGTAGATTGTATAGCCAAACTATCTGCGTTCAAATTCAAATTCTACAAATTATTAGCAGAGTATTCCCAGTTTCTTTACAGCTATTGTCAGAGGTTTGGGGTACTGGAGTTTCCCCATTTATCAAATGGATATAGTAAATTCAATGCTTAGAGTAGTACTTGGTACATTTATTGCTGTATTATTAAAATTATTATTATTGCTTTGACTACTCTGACTAGTAATCATTTCTACCAGTCCAGACTCCCACAAAGTACCAGTCTCATCCCTTCTCCCTGATCAACAATGATTTTTGAGTCCTAAGGTTTCTGTCTACCTTCTGGTCCCAGTAATTTTTCTGGTCTTCATTGACTGACCCTCAGTGAAAAAAATCCCTCTAATTTCTGTGTACAGTACTGAAAGCAGCTGTTTATGCAATCTCTAATGTTTTGAATAGTAAAGAATAGCTTTCGGGTATAGTGTTCCTCATATCGTGCTTATAAAAAATAAGAGACTCTTATTTATGGTTGATTCCTGGGTTGTGCCTACTTTTCCAGTCTTTTTTCCTGCCACCAACTTATGTGTCAGCCATAATGAAACACTATTTCCTGAACATAGCATATCTCTGGTGTCTCCATTGATTTATACATAATGTTCCTTCCATCTGCCATGCTCCTTCTTTCTCAACTTGTGTATGTTGAAAACTCCTATTTATCCTTCAAGACTCAAATATCATCTCCTCTAGCAAGTCTTCTCTGACCGTCTAACCCCACAAATCACCCACATTTTACTTGCTCATATTAATAACTTTCTCACTTGGCAAGTTTGCCAAAACTCCTCTCCTGAAGTTGACTCAACTTTCCTCTAACCCTCAGTGTCCTTATCTAAAAAGTGAGCATAACTATTGTGAATTTTCTTAGTATGGTCCATGGCATATATTAAGTAATCAAGAAATGTTAGATGTTAGCTAGAGTTTTGTCTGTCTCCCAGCTGAGCTCCAGGGCAAGACTGAGGTCTCAGATTTTTGTATACCCAGGCTGTAGCACAGAGCTGACTACATAGAGGGTTCTCATGGCATATATATTGAACAAATAAATGGGATGAATAACTGAATGCTGCTTCCCCATTTCAAAAGCCATCTGCCTTACATAAGTGGAAATGGTTAATATATATGACCAGATTTAATTAAACCAAAGCTGCAGATCATATTTGAGTTATTATTCTTGTAAAAATGTACTCTGAACCCCTTTCCATGTTCTCTGTCCATTACATATGTATCATGCCATCACTGACCAGTAAAATGTTCCCAGCTCAGAGAGTTATTCCTAAGTTCAGCTTTCTAAGGAACAAAATATAGGCCATTTTAGCATTAGGAGGCATTAGCTAGATAATATTCTTTGAAACTTAGCTATTTCCCTGAAACACTAGGAGAAAGAATTTTAACCTTGCTGTTTTTCCAGCCACTGCTTTTACCCCATATGTATTACCACCACAAGAAAAAGTTCTCTTAAACTCACCCTTTCTCTAACCCTACCCTGTTCTTCTCCAACCCACATTATGTTAATGCCCATTACTTGCCTCTGGTAATAAGATTCTTCCTGCCTGGAATAACCTTTCCCCTCTACTCTGTATTCATTTCCGAGGGCTGCTATGACGAAGTGTCACCAACTGGTTCGTTTAAACGATGGAAATTTATTGTCCCACAGTTCTGGAGGCTAGAAGTATGAAATCAAGGTGTCAGCAGGGTTGGTTCCTTCTGAGGGCTGTGAAGGAAGAATCTGTTCTAGGCCTCTCCTTGGGTTGCAGATGGTTGTATTCTCCATGTCTCTTCACATCATATTCCCAATGTGTGAGTCTGTCTTTGTATCCAAATTTCCCTGTTTTATAAGGACACCAGTCATATTGAATTGGGGCCCACTTAATTTAATAAAGTTAAAATGATCTCATAAAAAAATAAAATGAGATCATTTTAAATTTTTACCTCTATAAAGACCCTGTCTCCAAATAGTCACATTCTGAAAAACTAGGAATTAAGACTCCAACATATATTGGGGAACACAATTCAACCCATAGCAAAGGACATACAGATTGGAGGCAGAGAGAACAATAAAGGAGCTATTATAATAAACTAGGTCAGATATAACAGCCTTGAATGTAGTAGAGAGGCAAGAAGGCTGAAGATCTAAAGAGAGAGCACTGAACATGACAGATCATTAAGTAACTTTGGCAAGAACAGTTTCAGTGATGGTTTAAATGGAAACTGCACAAAATAAATGGGAGTGGTAATTTAAATGAGTTCAAAGAAAGATTTAGAGAAGGGAAAAAATGTGCTTGTAAGCTTAAGATTAGGTAGTATGGCATAATAGTCAGGCACAGACTTCATACACTTGGGTTCAAATCTCAGCTCTGCCGCTTACTAGCTGTGTAAGCTTAGGCAAGTTGCTTGATTTTGCTGTGCCCCAAGTTCCTTAACTGAACAATGAGGAAAATAATAGTATCTACTTAATAGGACTGCTGTGAACATTATATACATTGATATCTGTAACATGCTCAATAGAGGGGCCTGATACAAAGGAGGTCTTCAATATATGTTAGCAATGTTAGGTGGATAGGGCTGAATGAGTGGGAAAATCAACGAATAAGAAGAAATTTAAGAAAATAAGAGAGAAGGAACCTAACTGATGAAACAACTTAGAAAGTACAGGAGACGATGGATCTCTTACACTTACTAGCTGTATGATCTTGGATAAGGTACTTTCTTTCCTGTGCCTCAGTTTTCTCAATTATAAAATGGCAATGATAATAGTGTCTACCTCACAAGATTATTGTGAGGATGAAGTGAAGTGATGCATGAAACTTGAGTGCTGAAATTAAAGGAAATAATGCATATAATTTAAAAAGCCATATACTCTAAAACAGTGATTGTAAATTCTGCAGTAGGGAATGGGAATGGGGATTCTGATATGGGATGGGAACAGGCATATTCCTTCTCCACCTTTCACAAACAGGGCACAGTGAGCCTCTGTTACTAATAGGAGTGTGTTATATTCCTTAGGTGTATTGGGAATGAAAAAAAATGAGAACCTCTAACCTCTAAGGTAGTCCTCAAACTTCAGTGTGTATCCAGGTCACCCAGATGGTGTATGAAAAAAGTACTGATTGTTTTATCACAATCAGTATGAGTTTCTGAATCAGTATGTCTGGGGTAGGGCCTGAAAATCTGCATTTCTAAGAGGTTCCCTGGTGATGCTGATGCTGCTGGTCCAAGCACCATACTAAGACAACCTCAACTCTAAGCAAGTGGTTCTCAACCTTTACTGCACATTAGAATTACCTAGGGAGCTCTTTTAAAAATCCATCTTCCAAGCTGTGCCCCAACCAATTACATCAGTATCTCTGAGGATGGACAAAGTTATCAGTATTTTTAAAATATCCTCAACTGATTCCAGTGTGTGGCCAAGGTTAAGAATTGTTTTAGGGGAAGCCTACACTAATCCACAAGTCTCCCTTTACACACACATCTAACATGCACACCTACCTTATCTCTAAAAGGGAGTCACAAGGACAAGTGGAAATTTCAAGGCCAGAAATGAATGGAACTTTCAATGTATGGAACAGAGGGGTTAAAACTTTGTATTTGTGTGACTTGTTCTTGTTCTTAGTGCACTGTCCTGTTTGGACTTCCTTGGCTTTTTTCTTCTTTCTCTCAATTCCCTTCCTCGCACTCTTCTCTCCTTCTGAGTTCCCTGAGGCTAATGAGGTGTTTTATACTTAAAGCTCCCACTGGGAAGGACTTGGGGGAAGCACAGTGCACAACTTAAAAGGAATCATGTGTGCCAGCAGGATGGAAAGTTTAAAAAAAGGTTTCCAAGCAAATAATTTTCACAATTTCTTGACAAAGAGTGCTACAAAATCTTGTAATATTTCCTTAAAGCAGATGAGACTTTTTCTAGTGCTAATAAATTTATTGTAATATATTTTGTTGAAGTACATTGAAGAGACTTTTTGTATTTAAGTATAGTTGACCCTTGAAAAACACAGGTTTGAACTGCAGGTCCACTTATACATGGATTTTCTTCCACCTCTCCCACTCCTGAAAAAGCAAGACCACACCCTGCTCTTCTTCCTTCTCAATCTACTAAACATGAAGATGGCAAGAATTAAGACCTTTATGATAATCCACTTTCACTTAATGAATAGTAGATATATTTTCTCTTGCTTACGATTTTCTAAACGTTTTCTTTTTTCTATCTTACTTTATTATAAGACCACAGTATATAATATGTATAACTTACAAAATGTATATTAATTAACTGTTTATATTATCAGTAAGGCTTCTGGTCAATTGTAGGCTACTAGTAGATAAGTTTTGGGGAATCAGAAGTTATATATGGATTTTCAACTGTGTGGGGTCAGCATCTCTAACCTCTGTGCTGTCAACAGTAGTTTCAAGTGCATTTGAAACCTTCTTCAGATATTTATTTTATAAAACAATGGTTGGTATGAAATTAAATTGTATTAATTGACATGAACAAGTTAGCAATAAGTTTACTAAGTTTTTCTTAAAGGAGCATTAGATTCCAAACATAAAAATACAATCCATCTTGATTGTATAAGATAAATAATTCAAGATTCATTCTCTTTAATGCAATAGAATTTCAAATAGAATGATTGTTACTTCTTTTTTTACAAGTGACTTCCTGTCTCATTCAGAATAAAAGTCAAAGTCTTTACAAGTTCCCATATGATCTAGCCCCCTCTATCTCACTGACCTTATATCCCGCACTCTTCCTCTTGTCCACTCCAGTGATACTGACCTTCTTACTATTCTTTGAACATACCATGCCTTTGCACTTGCTACTTCCTCTGTCTAGAACACCTTTCCCTCAGGTATTCTCACGGCTGGCTCCCTCACTTCATTCAGATATATTCTTTAAAATCACCCCAATTCCACATGCCCTGTAGCTTTTCTCCTATCTTATCCCCACTCAACGTATATGTTCATTGTTTTTTGTTAGTCCCCTCCACCAACACCTCCTCATTAGAATATAATCTCCAAGAAGGCATATTTTCCCCAGAGTCTTGTGTGGTGATGATACAGAGTAGATTCTCAGTATGTAATTGTCAAATGAATGAACGAATGAATGAATGAATATAATAACACAATGTAATTTTGTGTCAATACCTTGCTCTGTCACAGTTCCCTACCCTGGACCGCTGAGTAAGAACTAGGAAGGGACTCAAAACAAAGGAAATTGCAGAGCACCGGGAACTGTGGCATTCCATTGACCAAACAAAAACCTACAGAGTGAAATATGAACCCTAAAACCTCAAACATATTTTCATCTCTTCGACCTGTGGAGTATCATTAGGCTCTATCCACAGTCCTGCCACCCTCCCTGTGCAGAAACATAAGAGAGACAAATATGTAAGAGATGTCACTGGTCCATAAGAGACCCTTTCTAACAAGTTTCTGCCACACCAGCTCTTCTTTAACAGTGGAAGGGAGATGGTGAAGCCCTCTTTCCCAAAACAATCTCCCTTACTGGACATGGATAACGCCAAAGTGGCATTAGCTTTCCTACTGAAGTTTCCTGCTCTTTCCTCTCTGCATGCCATTTTGATTTGAGTTCCTATTTCTTCTAGCTGGAATTCCCAGTCACTTGGCTTTGAGCATATGGACACCTGGTACTGAACAGAAGACAATAAAAGTGAACCATTGAGCCATTCATGTAAGAAATGTTTGGTAAATGTTGGAATCAAATTCAACATTTGTCTCCATATCCTGGGAAGGCTACTAATCAGTTAAAAAGGGAGTCATTGACAACACTCTGCATGGCCTTGACATTTTACACAAACCTCCCAGCAGTGTGATCAGCCACAGGCAATGCACCTGGCATTCAATAAAATTTGTAGAATGAATTTGTTCAAGATACCTGCACTGCCATGGCGCCTTTCAGGAAATGGAAATTTTCCCTTTGAGCTAAAACAGCAGTCAACTGGCTGCAGTTAACTAATGTGTAACTTGGCAACATTGCCCACGGTGCACCTCCTAAGAACCACACGGATATTAGAACCAAGTATGGAAGCTGGTCTGAGTAAGAAAAAGCTGTCCTCGCCACACAAATTCCTTCCAACATAGAGGTACTGCCACCCTTCTCATAATTGAATTTCCAGTTAAATAGTGCACTGTCCCTTTAAGAAGCCAGGCAAGATGGAGCCCTCCTAGCTCACAGCTAGAGGCTTCAGGCAACCTGATAGGGTTGCTGCAGGGTGATAAAAAGAAAGAATGCCAGGAGGGAGGAAGTCGAGGCTCTAATACCTGGAGGAGAAATCAAGGATCCAACCACACAGCCATCGAACTGAGCGCGCCTGTCCCGCCCGTGGTAGCTCCCCTAGGCTCTAAAGCACCACCTCCCTTCCCCTCCCCTTCTTACCAACCCCACTCTGCTCCACCCTGAAAGGTTTTCCTTGAAAGAGGCTATTTCGCCGCCCAGAGAGGGTGATAAAAGGAAGGTGGAGTGGGAGGTGGCAGTTGGTAAGGCAAAATAAAAGGAACTTACTTTCGGATTCTGCGCCTCCGAAGGCATCCTCTCCTCCCAGCCCCGGGGCCTGGGCCGACGGGGCGGGGCCGGGATTGAGCTCTTGGACCCGGGGTCCTCACTCCCTCGGACTACACACGTAGTTGAGTGAAGAGTTAGGGGGAATGGGCACCGACTAGGGCCGGTGTACAGTCTATTTTAATTATCTCAAGGGAAGGCAGAAGAGTGTAAAGAGTGTTAGCCAGGGGAAGGAGTGGAGGTGAACTCTAAAACCTTCCTTTTCCCTACTTTCTCGTTAGCTTACCTCCCCCGGCATTAGCAATATCAAGAGCAATGGTTTTCTTTTTTCTTCCTTTTGGTATCTCTCAGCTGCCAGTCTCGACCCCACCCAGCGGCTCCACCCCATCTACTACTACACCATTCTGTCAATCACCAGCCCCTTTAAAGCTGCATCGCACAACTTGGTTGTTCGTCCCACTTAGGCTGGCGGACATAATCTTGGTCCTTCCGACCTTTTCAACAATACCCCGGACCTTTCTGCTGGATTTATGAAGCTGAGGTTGTTTGCTAGTGGCGGCCTCCCCGCCCCCTTTGTCCTGGAGCTTGAATACTGGGCTGCACCCAAACTTCTTCCGGCAGGGGGCAGGCCCCGCCACACCCCACCGCATCTCTTTTCATTACTTTGTTTCCGGTAAAACTGGTTCCCTAGGCTGCCAGATCCCTAAGAAAGTTTCTGCGACGCCCCCTTGGCGCCGCCCACGCCCATGCAGTCTTTGGACTGAAGTGGCTACAACAGCTCTAGAGTTTCTGGGGACTCTTCCTTCTGCCTATCCTGGGATGCTCAGTCTTCTCTGTCTCTCATCTGTGTGAGTCTGCATGTTTTTTGACTAGAATGGGGAAGGGGAAGGGAGAGAGGGTGGTGATTCCCAGAAATGTGCCTTATGCCTCTAATTCACCCAAACAGCAGTCCCTTACTACCGCCCCACCTCATAACTAGGCAGCTCAAAGTCAGAGAAGGGCCCTGAGGTTCCATCCCACAGGTATAACTGGAACTCCAGAATGACCCATGAGAAATCATGTTTAATGCCATCCCCCCCTTCAGTTAATGACAATACCTGGTTGCTTAGGCCAAAAATCTTGGAGCCATCCCTGATTCTTCTCTCACAAGTCTCATCCAATTATTGAGGAAATCCCGTTAGCTTTGTCCTAAAAGTGTGTTCAGCATCTGACCATTTCTCACCCTTTCCACTACTACTACCCTGACCCTGATCCTGACCATCACCATCTCCCAAATGGATGGCTAGAAGAGTGTCCTCACTGGTGACCCTTCTTCCACATCTGCCCTGCTAAAATCTGTTCAACAGCCAGCAAACAAATAGTCTTTCTAAAAGGCAAATCTGACCAGGTCGCACCTCTGTTTAAAACCTTTCAGTCATTTCCCATTGCAGTTAGCATCCAGATTGTCTTATATTATCAACAAGGCCCTCAAGATCCACCTGTCCCCTGCCTGTCTCTTTGACTTGATTTGTAAACACCTTGTTCACACTGCTGTAGCTATGCTGACCTCCTTTTCATTGCAATATATTAAGATCTCTCTCACCTCAAGGCCTTTGCATTCCTTTTCCTTCTGTCTGATTATGCCCATGGTGGGCTCCAATATCCTACACATCTCAGGAAAGCGTTCCCTTACCATGTGGATTAAGGTAACTCCCACAATCCAGGCACTCTCTATGACCTCATCTCATTTTATTTTTATCACAGCACAGATCACAATTTAATCTGTGTGTTTGTTTCTGTGACAAAGTAAGTCTCCCACTAGAGTATAAGCTCAGTAAGAGCAGGGACATCATCTATTTTGCTCATTGCTCTATCCACAGCATACTGAACAGTGGGTGTCATATAGTAGGGACTCAATAAAAATTTGTTGAAAGAACAATTAAAGGCAATATCATCAGGGATTTATCTGGGTGATATCTGTTTGTAAACAATAAACAAATCAAAACAGAAAACAAGAAAGAAATACACACCTGATATGAACTACTTCCCCTATTTATTCTTCCTTAGAACATCTGCTTGAATATCTTGCCTCTGGGCTGAGTTGGCAACATGATTGGAGCAGTGACATAGTAGAAGTGTGCTTTCAGGTTAGCTTTTAGGGTTGGCAGTGGATAGCTGATGGTTGACTTGTGTTCTTAATTTAAAGATGAAGGGAAGAATAAAATTAAGAGCATTGGTTACATAAAGCAAGAAGGGTGGTTTAAGCAATTTTGTAAACTATGACCTTGATACAGGGTCATAAGAAGCAGCCATTTTCCTTCACCACTAGAAGAGTATAGGGCTATTTAGTCTCAACAAGAGAAAACTTAGGAGGACAACAATCTTTTTTTCAGGGTTGTCTTGAGCTGTCATTAACATGTCATTGGTTGCTTATACCCACTGTGTCCTAACCTTAACTATCTGCCTGTTCATAGAGGTTACTCAGCCCAAATCTCTGGACCTCTAGCCATGAATGCCAGGCAGCTTTTACTAGGCTGCTACTTATACGTGAGCATAATATTATAGGGAGTTTTGACAGATACCATGGTTATATTCTCAGCACAATGCTAAGCACTGTGGACCATAGGCAAAGAAAGGACTCTTTCAATAAATTTCCCCTTTCTCTAACTTTTGTGTGTGTGTTTTTTGGGGTTTTTTTTTTTTTTTTTTTTTTTTTTTTTGAGATGGAGTCTCATTCTCTCGCCCAGGCTGGAGTGCAGTGGGGCAATCTTGGCTCACTGCAAGCTCTGCCTCCTGGGTTCACGCCATTCTCCTGCCTCAGCCTCCAGAGAAGCTGGGACTACAGGCGCCCGCCACCATGCCTGGCTAATTTATTTTATTTTATTTTATTTTGTTGTGCTTTAAGTTTTAGAGAACTTTTACACTATTTCTGAGAATCAAGGCAGGGTTATTTGTAAGGATGATGCAGAGGGGCTTAGTATTTGGCATCAGGCAAGCTAAGACTGGGTTGAAATTGAGACAACCCTGAAAATTGTGGAAATTGCTATACAATACAGGTTACAAACCAACAGTCCATAAGTTAAATTTGGCCAGCAGATAAATTTTGTTTGTCTGCAATGTATATGTATATGTGTGTGTGCATGTGTGCCTGTGCAGGTGTTGACTGAATAAATTATCAACATTGAAAAATGTAGGGATATATGAAAATCTGTGTTTTCATCCTTAAGCCTATTTTCCAGAGTGCTGTCAATCTGTCGGAAATCAGCAGTGCCTGGCCCCTCTAGAAGTGCCATGATCTCGTCAGCTTATTACAGCCCTCACCTGAACATTTCACTTATTTTTGTTACCAGTTTGGCCTGTGTATGCATTTTAGTTTGCAACCCTTGCTAAAGAAGAAATGATTAAGAGTTCATGGCAAGAGTACATAGTTAAATAGAGTATTTATCCTCTGGTTAAGGCAACACTTGAAAGCTCTTGATTATCCCTAAATGTCTAAGAGTGGTTTTCCAAGTATCTTACAAAATGGTTTTGGCTTCAGGATTATACACCCATTTTGAGGTCATATTTAATATGTAGTCTGGATTGCATTTACAGAAAACACCTCATCCACTCATGCTATATTTTTTTGTTACCTCCCCAACTAGAATGTAATTCCCTGAGGATGGGGACAGAAGTCACATCTAATTCGGTTAGGTTCAAGAAATAAATTATTGCACACTATTACATAGAAAAAGCTGCTAGGTTCCAAGCACATGACGTTAGATGGCTCATTTCTTCCCCTTAAGGAGCTTCTAGTCTGAAATTTTCCTGTGGATTCCATCTCCTGGGGTGACTTCAGACTTCCTGGGAATACCCATTTACTCTTAAATACATTCCAACCTGCCTTCTTTCTTCATGACTTCATGAATGAAATGGCTCTTTTGAAGGTCTCCAGTTACCTCCATGTTGCTAAATCAAATAGTTACTTTTCAGTCCTTAACTCACTGTACCTTTCAGCAATATTTGGAGTAGTCGATCACTGCTACTTTCTTGAAGCAGCCTTTTTCTCTTAACTTCTATGTGAAAAATCCATGGTTTTACTCTTATCCTACTGGCTGCTCCTTTTCAGTCTTCTTTTCTCCTCTTCTACCAAAGACTAAATATTAGAGTACCTTAGGGCTTCTCCTTAAACTTCTTTTCTGTCTATATTCTCTCCCTAGGTGATCTCATACAGTCCTGTGACTCTAAATATAAGCCGATGAATTCCTAACTTTATATCCCAAAACCAAACCCCTCTAAACTCTAGATCCATATGTGGTATCACTGTTAAAAAAGCAAGCTCTGAAGTCATACTACGTTTCTGTATATCATGGTTCTGTCATGTAGTAGCTGTGTAATACAGGAAAGTTACTTAACCTCTGTGAGGCTTAGTTTTCACATCTGTCAAATGGGGACAATAATTGCAACACCTTAAGATTGAATTTTTGTCACCTGTCTCAATCAACTGTTTGTAAGTATCCAGATTAATCTTTAGTAATTGCATACCAGATCATGTCGTTACCCTGCATAATGTCTTCCAGTGCACTTGTGATAAAAGTCTACATCTTTACCATGGCCTACAAGGCCTTGTATGATCTATCCCTTGGCTGCTTCTCCTAACTTGTCTTCTGTCACCCTTCCTCCAGGCCTCAGGACACCAGAGTCACTGACCTTCTTTTCTATAATTCCTCAAATTTGGTATGCTTTTTCTCATCCCAGGGCCATCACACATGCTGTTCTTTCACTCAAATACTCTTATACTCACAGTGCACCTAGCTTGTTTCTATTAATTATTCAGGTAAAAATTAACTACAAGTTAATGCAACACAATGGACAGATCTTAATACCAAAATATTGAGTGAACAGAGCAATTCTTAAAAGACAGTATATGGTTTAATATCAATTTATAAAGTTCAAAAACAAGCAGAAGTAAACAGTATATTGTCTGTTCATACATACATATAAGATAAAACTTTTTAAGGCAAGGGAAGTATTGATATAATCTCAGGATACTTCTGTTAGGGAGGTAGGAGAATGGGATAGAAAAGATACCACAGGTAGATATGAGTTATTGGTAATGTACTAGGTTTTGGGTTGGGTGATGGGTTCACATGTATTTGTTATATTATTTAAAAAGGAAATGACATAAATAGACCAATAATACTGTGTCAAGAACCATCGATTATCATTAATCCATTTTTTTAATATCTGAAGTCCATTAACAATGTTTTAAAAAACTATAAGGGATCAGAGGAGAATATATTTTTTAAATATTGGAATGTGAATACTATTTTAAAACATTTTCCCAGTAGCAAAAACCACAAAGTGGCAGATTTGTTTATGGACAAAATTTAAACATTCTACCACATATTGATATGGTTTGGCTGTATCCCCACCCAAATCTCATCCTGAATTGTAACTCACACAATTCCCACATGTTGTGGGAGGAAGCTGGTGGCAGGTGATTAAATTATGAGGGCGGGTCTTTCCTGCACTGTTCTCGTGATAGTGAATGAGTCTCACGAGATCTGATGTTTTTAAAAATGAGAGTTTCCCTGCACAAGCTCTTTTTGACTGCTGCCATCCATGTAAGATGTGACTTGCTCCTACTTGCCTTCCACTATGATTGTGAGGCTTCCCCAGCCACATGGAACTGTAAATCCATTAAACCTCTTTCTTTTCTAAATTTCCCAGTCTCAGATATGTGTTTATCAGTAGCGTGAGAACAGACTAATACACATACTATAAGTAAAAATAAAAGGCAAAAGACAAATTGGGTGAAAATTTTGCAGCAATGCAACAAAAGGTTAATGTCTTTAATATATAAAGTGTTCTTACAAATTTTAAGAAAAATAGCCATCAACCTGGAGAAAGTAAAAGAGTCATCTTAAAGTCAACTTTAAAAGTCAATACTTTGGAAAGAACTGCCTTTTTAACAAATGGTGCTGGGAAAACTGGATAACAGCATGCAAAAGAATGAAATTGGGCTTTTACCTTACACTATATGCAAAAATCAACCCAAAATGGATCAAAGGCCTAAACATAAGAACTAAAACTAATAAACTTTTAGAATAAAACGTGAGAAAAAAGCTTCATGTAATTGGACTTTACGATGGCTTCTTGGATATGACACCAAAGGAAAAAATTGATAAATTGGACTTCATCAAAATTAAAAACTTTTGTGCAGCAAAGAACACTATCAGAAGAGTGCAAACATGACCTCTAGAATGAGAGAAATATTTGCAAATCATATATCTGATAAGGAATTAATATTCAGAAATTATAAAGAACCCCTAAAACACCAACAGCAACAAAAAGCAACTCAATATAAAAATGGGCAAAGGACTTGAATAGACATTTCTCCAAAGGAGATATACACATTGCCAATATGCATATAAAAAGATGCTCAACAACATTATTCATTAAGGGAAATGCAAATCGAGACCACAATGAAATGGCACTTTAAACTCACTATGCTGGTTATAATTTTAAAAATTGGAAAGTAAGTGTTGGTGAGGATATGGAGAAATTGGAAACCTTATGCATTGCTCGTGGGAATGTAAAGTGGTGCAGTTGCTTTGGAAAACAGTATGATGGCTCCTCAAAAAGTTAAACATAGAATTACCACATATTCCAGTAATTCCAATCCTAGGTACAGTAATGCCCTGATACTCAGTTTTACTCTAAGCAGTTTCAGTTACCCATGGTTAACTGTGACACACAATTATTAAATAGAAAATTCCAGAAATAAACAATTCATTTGTTTTAAATTGTGTGCATTCTAAGTAATGTGATGAAATCTCATACTATCTCGAGCATTCCCACTCCCTCCCACCTGGGATGCGAATCATCCCTTTGTCCAGCTTATCCACACCACATATGCTACCCACCCATTAGTCACTTAGTAGCTTTCTTGGTCATCAGATTTAAAAAAATCAATATATATACTGTCCTCAGTTTCAGGCCTTTTGTAGTTCTGTAGTAATTACAGAACTTTTTTTTATTTTGTGAGAAAAATGCTGTTGGAATTTTGGTAATGACCACATTGAATCTTTACCTTGCTTTAGGCAGCATTAGCATTTTAACAATATTAATTATTTCAATCCACAGAACTACCATATGACCCATCAATAATCCCTCTTCTGTATATACCCAAACAAAATGAAATCAGCAGCTCAGAGATATGTGCACTCACAATGTTCATTACAGAATTATTCACAATAGCCAAGTTATCAAATCAACCTAAGTGTCCATTGACAGATGAATAAAGTAATTGTAGCATGTGTATACACACACACGTAATGAAATATTATTCAGCCTTTAAAAAGGAGGTTTTTTTGTTTGCAATAATGTGGATGAACATGGAAAACATTATGTTATGTGAAATAAGACAAACACAGAAAAAAGAATATTGCGTGATCTCTGTTATTTGTGGCATCTAGAAAAAGATCAAGTATAATACGTAGAAACACACAGTAGAATGGTGGTTACCAGAGGCAGTGGGAGAAGGGAGGAGGAGAGATGAGGGGATGTAGGTTAAAGGGTATGAAGTTGTAGTTGTGTAGGATGAATAAGTCTAGAGATGTAACGTACAGCATGAGGGCTATAGTTAATAATATTGTATACCAGAAATTTTTTAAGACACTACATTTTAGGTACTCTTTTTTATTATTATTATACTTTAAGTGCTGGGATACATGTGCAGAACATGCAGGTTTGTCACATAGGTATACACGTGCCATGGAGGTTTGCTGCACCTGTCAACCTGTAATCTACCTTAGATATTTCTTCTAATGCTATCCCTCTCCTAGACCCCCACCCTGCAACAGGTCCCGGTGTGTGATGTTCCCCTCCCTGTGTCCAAGTGTTCTCATCGTTCAACTCCCACTTATGAGTGAGAACATGCAGTGTTTGGTTTTCTGCTCTTGTGTTAGTTTGCCAAGAGTGATGGTTTCCAGCTTCATCCATGTTCCTGCAAAGAACATGAACTCATCTTTTTTATGGCTGCATAGTATTCCGTGGTGTATATGTGCCACATTTTCTTTATCCAGCCTATCATTGATGGGCATTTGGGTTGGTTCCAAGTCTTTGCTATTGTGAACAGTGCTGCAGTAAACATACGTGTGCATGTGTCTTTATACTAGAATGATTTATAATCCTTTGGGTATATACCCAGTAATGGGATTGCTGGGACAAATGCTATTCTGGTTCTAGATCCTTGAATCACCACACTGTCTTCCACAATGGTTGAACTAATTTACACTCCAACCAACAGTGTAAAAGTGTTCCTATTTCTCCACATCTTCTCCAGCACCTGTTGTTTCCTGACTTTTTAATGATTGTCATTCTAACTGGCGTGTGATGGTATCTCATTGTGGTTTTGATTTGCATTTCTCTAATGCCCAGTGATCATGAGCTTATTTTCATATGTTTGTTGGCTGTATAAATGTCTTCTGTTGAAAAGTGTTCATATCCTTCACCCACTTTTTGAGGGGGTTGTTTGATTTTTTCTTGTAAATTTGTTTAAGTTCGTTATATATTCTGGATATTAGACCTTTGTCAGAGGGACAGATTACAAAAATTTTCTCCCATTCTGTAGGTTGCCTGTTCACTCTGATGATAGTTTCTTTTGCTGTGCAGAAGCTCTTTGTTGAATTAGATACCATTTATCAATTTTGGCTTTTGTTGCCATTGCTTTTGGTGTTTTAGTCATGAAGTCTTTGCCCATGCCTATGTCCTGAATGGTATTGCCTAGGTTTTCTTCTAAAGTTTTTATGGTTTTAGGTCTTACATTTAAGCCTTTAATCCATTTGAGCTAATTTTTGTATAAGGTGTAAGGAAGGGGTCCAGTTTCAGTTTTCTGCATATGGCTAGCCAGTTTTCCCAACACCATTTATTAAATAGGGAATCCTATCCCCATTGCTTGTTTTTGTCAGGTTTGTCAAAAATCAGATGGTTATACTTGTGTGGTGTTATTTCTGAGGCCTCTGCTCTGTTCAATTGGTCTATATATTTGTTTTGGTACCAGTACCATGCTGTTTTGCTTACTGTAGTCTTGTAGTATAGTTTGAAGTCAGGTAGCATTGCTTCCAGCTTTGCTCTTTTTGCTTAGGATTCTCTTGGGTATGTGGACTCTTTTTTGCTTTCACATGAAATTTAAAGTAGATTTTTCTAATTCTGTGAAGAAAGTCAATGGTAGCTGGATGGGGATAGCATTGAATCTATAAATAACCTTGGGCAATATGGCCATTTTCACTATATTGATTCTTCCTATCCATGCACATGGAATGTTTTTTCCTTAGTTTGTGTCCTCTTTTATTTCCTTGAGCAGTGGTTTGAAGTTCTCCTTGAAGAGATCCTTCACATCCCTTGTATGTTATATTCTTGGGTATTTTATTCTCTTTGTAGCCATTGTGAATGGGATTTCACTCATGATTTGGCTCTCTGTTTATCTATTATTAGTGTATAGGAATGCTTGTGATTTTTGCACATTGATTTTGTATCCTGAGACTTTGTCAAAGTTGCTTTTCAGCTTAAGGAGATTTTGGGCTGAGACTATGGGGTTTTCTAGATATATAATCATGTCATGTGCAAACAGAGACAATTTAACTTCCTCTCTTCCTATTTGAATGCCCTTTATTTCCTTCTCTTGCCTGAATGCCCTGGCCAGTACTTCCAATACTATGTTGAATGGGAGTGGTGAGAGAGTGCCTCCTTGTCTTGTGCCGGTTTTCAAAGGGAATGCTCCCAGTTTTTGCCCCTTCAGTGTGATATTGGCTGTGGGTTTGTCATAAATAGCTCTTACTATTTTGAGATACATTCCATCTATACCTAGTTTATTGAGAGTTTTTAGCATGAAGGGGTGTTGAATATTGTCAAAAGCCTTTTCTGCATCTATTGAGATAATCATGTGGTTTTTGTCATTCGTTCTGTTTATGTGATGAATTACATTTATTGATTTGCATATGTTGAACCAGCTTTCCATACCAGGGATGAAGCCGGCTTGATCATGGTGGATAACCTTTTTGATGTTCTGCTGTCTTTTTTGATCTTTGTTGGCTTAAAGTCTGTTTTATCAGAGACTAGGATTTCAACCCATGCTTCTTTTTGCTTTCCATTTGCTTGGTAAATATTTCTCTATCCCTCTCTTTTGAGCCTATATGTGTCTTTGCACGTGAGATGGTTCTCCTGTATATAGCACAATGATGGGTCTTTACTCTTTATCCATTTTGACAGTCTGTCTTTTAATGGGGACATTTAGCCCATTTACATTTAAGGTTAATATTTTTATGTGTGAATTTGATCCTGTCATTATGTTGCTAGCTGGTTATTTTGCCTGTTAGTTGATGCAGTTGCTTCATAGTGTCAACGATCTTTACAATTTGGTATGTTTTTGCAGTTGCTGCTACCAGTTTTTCCTTTCCATGTTTAGCGCTTCCTTCAGGAACTCTAGTAAGGAAGGCCTGGTGGTGACAAAATCTCTCAGCATTTGCTTGTCTGTAAAGGATTTTATTTCTCCTTCATTTATGGAGCTTAGTTTGGCTTGATAAGAAATTCTGGTTTGAATATTCTTCTCTTTAAGAATGTTGAATATTTGCACCCACTCTCTTCTGGCTGGTAGGGTTTCTGCAGAGAGATCCGCTGTTAGTCTGACGGGCTTCCCTTTGTGGGTAACCCGACCTTTCTCTCTGGCTGCCCTTAACATTTTTTCCTTCATTTCAACCTTGGTGAATCTGACGATTATGTGTCTTGAGGTTGTTCTTCTCAAGGAATATCTTTGTGGCGTTGTCTGTATTTCCTGAATTTGAATGTTGGCCTGCCTTGCTACTTTGGGGAAGTTCTCCTGGATAATATGCTGAAGAGTGTTTTCCAACTTGTTTCCATTCTCCCCATTACTTTCAGGTACACCAATCAAATGTAGGTTTGGTCTTTTCACATATTCCTATATTTCTTGGAGTCATTGTTTGTTATTTTCATTCTTTTTTCTCTAATCTTGTCTTCACACTTTATTTCATTAAGTTGATCTTCAATCTCATATCCTTTCTTCCACTTGATTGGTTCGGCTATTGATACTTGTGTATGCTTCACGAAGTTCTTGTGCTGTGTTTTTCAGCTCCATCAGTTCATTTATATTCTTCTCTAAACTGGTTATTCCAGTTAGCAATTTCTCGAACCTGTTTTCAATGTTCTTAGCTTCCTTGCAGTGTGTTAGAACATGCTCCTTTAGCTCGGAGGAGTTTGTTATTCCCCACCTTCTGAAGCCTACTTCTGTCAATTCGTCAAACTCATTCTCCATCTAGTTTTGTTCCCCTGCTGGTGAGGAGTTGTGATCTTTTGGAGGAGAAGAGGCATCCTGGTTTTTGCAGTTTTCAACCTTTTTACGCTGGTTTCTTCCCATCTTCATGGATTTATCTACCTTTGTTCTTCGATGTTGGTGACCTTCGGATGGGGTTTTGGTGTGGACAATCTTTTTGATGATGTTGACACTATTGCTTTCTGTTTGTTAGTTTTCCTTCTAATAGTCAGTCTGCTAGAGTTTGCTGGAAGTCCACTCCAGATGCAGTTTGCCTGGGTATCACCAGTGGAGGCTGCAGAACAGCAAAGATTGCTGCCTGTTCCTTCCTCTGGAAGCTTTGTCCCAGAGGGGCACCCGCCAGATGCCAGCCAGTGCTCTCCTGTATGAGGTGTCTGTCACCCCTGCTGGCAGGTGTCTCCCAGTCAGTAGGCACGGGGGTCTGGGAGCCACTTGAGGAGGCAGTCTGTCCCTTTGCAGAGCTCAAGCTCTGTTCTGGGAGATCTGCTGCTCTCTTCAGAGGCAGGAACATTTAAGTCTGTTGAAGCTGTGCCTACAGCCGCCCCTTCCCCCAGGTGCTCTGTCTCTGGGAGATGGGAGTTTTATCTATAAGCCCTTGACTGGGGCTGCTGCCTTTCTTTCAGAGATGCCCTGCCCAGAGAGGAAGAATCTAGAGAGGCAGTCTGGCTGCAGCGGCTTTACCAAGCTGCGGTGGGCTCCATCCAGTTCGAACTTCTCGGTGGCTTTGTTTATGCTGTGAGGGGAAAACCGCCCACTCAGGTCTCAGTAATGTCAGACACCCCTCCCCTCACCAAGATGGAGTGTCCTAGGTTGACTTCAGACTGCTGTGCTGGCAGCAAGAATTTCAAGCCAGTGGACCTCAGCTTGCTGTGCTCTGTGGGGGTGGGATCCACTGAGATAGACCACTTGGCTCACTGGCTTCAGCCCCCTTTTCAGGGGAGTGAGCGGTTCTGTCTCGCTGGTGTTCCAGACACCACTGAGGTATGAGAAGAAACTCTTGCCGCTAGCTCAGTGTTTGCTCAAACGGCCACCCAGTTTTGTGCTTGAAACCCAGGGCCCTGGTGGCATAGGCACCGGAGGGAATCTCCTGGTCTGCAAGTTGTGAAAACCTTCAGAAAAGTGTAGTATCTCGGCTGGAATGCACCGTTCCTCATGGCACAGTCCCTCATGGCTTTCCTTGGCTAAGAGAGGGAGTTCCCAGACCTCTTGTGCTTCCTGGGTGAGATGACGCCCCACCCTGCTTCTGCTCGTCCTCTGTGGGCTGCACCCACTGTCTAACCAGTCCCAATAAGATGAGCCAGGTACTTCAGTTGGAAATGCAGAAATCACCCACTTTCTGCATTGATCTTGTTGGGAGCTGCAGACCAGAGCTGTTCCTATTTGGCCATCTTGCCAGCCATCCTAGGTACTCTTACAATACAAAAAAAGAAAGGAAAGTATGTGAGATGATAGATAAGCAAATTGGCTTACTGTAGTAATTACATATTTAATTATATATATATATATATATATATATATATCTCAAGGCATCATGTTGTACACCTTAAATAGATACAGTAGAAATAAAATTTTTAAAAGTGAAATAACCCAAATATTCCTTGATGGATGGCTAAAGGTAATATGTATACACATACAAAGAATATTATTTTGCCTTAGATAGGAATGAAATTCTGATACATGCTACAACATGGATGAATCTTTAACAAACACAAATGAACAAATACTGTATGACTCCACTTATATGAGGAACATAGAATAGGCAAATTTATAGAAACAAACAGAAAACAGAATACAGGATTTCAAGGGCTCAGGAAAAGGAGGAATGGCAAGTTATTTTTAATGGGTAGGTCATTTCTCTTTGGGATAATGAAAAAGCTCTGAAAATGAGTAGAGTTAGTGCAACATTGTGAATGTACTTAATTGTAGTCTTGAAAATGGTTAAAATGGTAAATTTTACAGTTCATATATTTTACCACAATTTTTTAATGGGTTATAAAATATCACTGGTACATGGATTGATATCAGTATTTGACAGTACCTGTTTGAAAAATAATGAAAATTTTCAAATAATAAAGTCTCATTACAAATCAGCATTGACAAACATTTTCAATTAATTTTGATGATAGAGAACACTAAGTTTGAACTCAAATTAAGTGACATATTATCTTTAAAAATTTTGATTCTGCTCAACAGTAAACCTGTATGACAAAAAATGTATTGAACTAAACTAATAATAATCATATCAAATTATAATTAGAATTTCATCAATAAAACATTTATGGAAAAATTCAATAAATTGCCCCTTGCTCTCTCCTTCATCTTGAGAATCAGTGAGCCCACAGGGAGTAGGGTAACTGCTCTGCCATTTGGTTAAAAGATGGCCTTTGTCTATGGGAGAGAATAGTTTTTCCAGTGCTCTGTACTGCCAAGTAGCCACCAGTACATGGAATTCTTGCCATTAGAAATCCAACCTTTCATTGTAAAGCATGAAGTCTCTAAGTATGTCCTGCTAAAAATTAAATGCCTGGAGAACTTTCAGTCTGGACAAGATGGCATAGATCCAGTTCTCCCTGCTCCAACCCACTAAGTGGAACTATAAACCCATGAAATACTGCAGGAGACATCCAAATGAGTACTATGTGGTAAGAAGGTTGTAGGAAAAACGTAAACTGGTTTGTGATCTCAGGAATGAAGAAACAACATACCACCTGGGCATCTTATGCCCCCTATCCCACAAATGAAGAAGGTGACCCAGACCCAGCATTTCCTAACCTCCTTACCTAGAAACAAAAGACAGCCCAAGTGGGATCATTCATTATATGGATCCAAAGGTAATCTCTGTCACAGCACCAGCAAGGTGGAGGGTACGTTGGGAGTCCTACTAAATATAAGAGATCAGGGGAAGTGCTCTCCTTCCCTGAAGGTCTTGAGACTGCTGAGAGATAACCACATGGGCAGGTCTAACCAACAAGAGAGACCCAGTTACAAAACAGCCCAGCCTTGGAGGCCTATTTTTACACATGTGTACTGAGATTCTCTTCACTCTGAGACTGTCGGACAAGGCAATCAGATTTTTCTTGAATCCTACAGGGCTAACACTCCCCTCACATGCCTAAAGACACTACAGCATTGTCATTGTAACCTTAGCCAATAAAATTTTAGGATGTAATAAAAATCACTTGTAATCTCAAAAGCCAAGAAAATCACAACTCGAATGAACAAAGACAATCAAGAGATACCAACACTGAGATGTTGACTTAACTATAACAAAGAGACACAAATAGAGGAATTTCACCACAAGTGTCTGGCTCAAGAAATTCTCTCCACTACACACACTGGTGGTGGTGGTGGTGGTGGTGGTGAGGGTGCAGGCAGTTTTTGCTACAACTACCTGCCAAGGAAGCATCTTGGACCATGCAATATGAGACTCCTTCTCCACCTGCAGATTTCCAGAAAACTAGAGATATTCAGGGACTTGGCCTGGGGAAACCAGTCTACCATCCCAAGCAGCAGCAGCTGAAACCAATGGAAGCCCAGACAGTACGAAATCACTCAAAATATCACCAAAAAGGCTCTGCACTTAAATTGTCATTGTAACCTCAGCCAACAAAAGTAAGCCAGGACCTACATGCTAAACCTAAACAGGGCAACTGCCTTCTAAAATAAAAGATTTAAATGAGACCCTGGGACTACTTATATAATACACAAAAGTTTAGGATGTAATCAGATATCACTTGTAGTATCAAAACCCAAGAAAATCACAACTTGAATGAGTAGAGACAACATAGATATGCCAACACTGAGATGTTGACTTAGATTTATCTAACAAAGATTTTTAAGAAGCCATTAGAAAAATGCTTCAGGCTGGGTGCCGTGGCTCACACTTGTAATCCTAGCATTTTCGGCAGGGAGATAACTTGAGGCAAGCAGATAACTTGAGGCCAGGAGTTTGAGACCAGCCTGGCCAATATGGTGAAACCCCATCACTACTAAAAATACAAAAACATTAGCCAGGCATGGTGGCAAGCACCTGTAATCCCAGCTACTCAGGAGGCTGAGACAGGAGAATGGCTTGAACCTGGGAGGCGGAGGTTGCAGGGAGCAGAGATCGTGCCATTGCACTCCAGCCTAGGCAACAAGAGTGAGACTCTGTCTCAATAAAAAAAAAAAAGCTCCAATAATCAATTATGAATTGTCTTGAGACAAATGAAAAAAATAGAAAATGATAGCAAAGCATTAGAAGTTATTAAAAATGGAAAATATAGAACTGAAAAACATAATAGCAGAATTTTGAAAAAACATAGTGAGTTGGATGGGCTCAGTAGTAAAAAGGATATGGCAAAAGATAGAATCAGCGAACCTGGGGACAGAAAAATAGACTTTACCCAACATGGAAAACAAAGATAAAATAGACAAAAACACACAAGTGCACGAATAGAGCCTCAGGAACCTATACAACACCAAAATTTCAATATTGGTATGATGAGCATTCCAGAAAGAGTGGAAAAGCAAGTGTAGCTGAAAGAGTATTTGAAGAAATAATGGCCAAACACTTCCCATATTTGTCAAAATATATAAACCTACAGATTTAAAAAGTAAATGAAACCCAAACATGAAAAGCCCAAAGATTTACATGCCAAGACAACATTTTGATTGAATTTCTGAAAACTAAAGTCAAAGAAAAAAACCTTGATAGAAGCCAGAGAGAAAGAACATATTGCCTATAGAGGAACACCAATTCAAATGACAGTGAACTTCACATCCAAAACCATGGAGACTACAAAGGAGTAATGCTTTAATATTTTTCAAGTGCTAAAAGAAAAGAATTGCTAACTATGTGATATAGTTTGGCTCAGTGTCCCCACCCAAATCTCATGTTGAATTATAATCCCCAATATTGGAGGAGGGGCTTGGTGGGATCATGGGATCATTGGATCATGTGGGTGGACTTCCTTCTTGCTGTTCTTGTGATAGTGAGTTCTCATGAGATCTGGTTGTTTAAAAGTGTGTAGCACCTCCTCCTTCTTTCCCTTTCTCCTGCTTCCTCCATGTAAAACATGCCTGCTTTCTCTTTGCCTCCCACCATGACTCTAAGTTTCCTGAGGCTTCCGCAGCCATCCTTCCTGTACAACCTGCAGAACTGTGAGTCAATTAAACCTCTTTTCTTTGCAAATTACCCAGTCTCAGGTAGTTCTTTATTGCAATGCAATAACATACTAATACACCATGATTTATGTATCTGGCAAACTATTCTTTAGTAATTATGAGAAAACAAAGACATTCTTAAAGGAAAACTAAAAGAATTTGTTTCTAGCACATGTACCTTTAATCATGGCTAAAGAAAATATTTCAAACCAAAAGGAAATAATAAGTGGAAGAATCTTGGAGCATCAGTGGGGAAGAAGGAATAACAAAATGAGCAGGAATGTGAATACATACAACAGAGTATTCTTTTCCTCTTGAGTTTTAGAATTCATATTTGATGATAAGATAAAATTCATGATGCCATCTGATAAGGTAATGATATTTAAAAGTGGGGATAAAGGTATCTAAATGAACATGAAGTTTTCACTTTACTCAAAGTGGTAAAATATTGATGTCAGTAGTCTATGATAAGTCACATATGTATATTTTAACACCCTAAACAACCATTATGAAAGCTATACAAATAGATTCACTCATAAACACTATACATAAATCAACATGGAATCCTTAAAAAATGTTTAGCTCGCAGGAAGGCCAGAAAAATGAGAACCACATGAAACAAAAAGAAAACAAGTAATGAAATGGCAGACTTAAGTGTTAACATATAAATAATTATCTTTAAAGTAAATTGCCTAAATGCACTAATCAAAACATAGGGATAGGCAGAGTAGATTGAAAAACAAAAAAAGTGTACTCAACTGTATGCTGTTTATAAGAAACTCACATCAAATTCAACAGCATAGGTAGGTTGAAAGTAAAAGGATGGTGTTATGGGTTGAATTCTGTCTCCCAATAAGATAGGTTAAAGTTCTAAACCTCAGAACCTAAACCTATGCATGTAACCTTATTTGGAAATAGTGTATTTTCACATGTAATCAAGTCAAGGTGAAGGCATACTTGATTAGGGTGAACCTTAATCCAATGACTGGTGTTCTCACAAGTAGAAGGAAGTTTAGACACAGGCACACAGAGGAGGAGGCCATGTGAGGTGAAGCAGAGATTGGAGTGATATATCTACAATCCAGGGAACACCAAGGGTTGCCAGCAACCACCAGAATCTAAAAGAGGCAAGTAAGAGCTCTTCCCTAGAACTTTCATAAAGAGCACAGCCCTGCTAACACCTTGATTTTAGACTTGTAGAGTACGTCTATATCTATAAGAGTGTAAGTTTTCTTGTTTAAAGTCACTCAATCTGTGGTATTTAGTTATGGCGGCTCTAGGAAACTAACACAGATGAAAAAAGACACAATGCAAACATTAATCAAAAAAAGGCAGAAGAAGCTATACTAATATCTGACAAAGTAGACGTCAGGAAAAAGAAAATTACTAGAGACACAGATGGCATTTCATAAAAGTAGAATAATCTATCTACCATAAAGACATACCAAACAAGAGCCTGTGTATACCAAACAAGAGCCTGAAAATGTAGGAAACAAAACTAATAGAAATAAAAGGAGAAATAGACAAATCCACAATTATACTGGGAAACTTCACTACCTTCTCTCAGAAACTGATGTAATTACTAAGCAGAAAATCAGCAAGGATATAGAAGTACCAAACATGATCAACCAACAGTACGTAATTGACATATACAACGCTCCATAGAAGAGCAAAATACATTATTTTCAAATGTCTGTGGAAAATTCACCAAGATAGAACGTACTCTGGGTCACAAAACAAATCTCAACAAACTTAAAATAACTGAAATTATACAGAAAGTAATACAATCAAACAAAAACATTGATAAAGGAAAGAAAACAGAAAAGTCTTTAGATACATGGAAATTAAATAACACAAGCCTATAAGCTGTGACTAAAGAGGAGGCTTTTATGCAAAAAAACACACAGAATTAAATGAAATGAAAATATAGCACATTGAAATATGTCGAAATGGAAATAAAAATGTATAGCCCTCAAGGATTACATTAGAAATGAAGTTTTCAAATAAAAAAAATCAAAATTTCTACCTCAAAAACCAAGTAAAAGAACAAAAAAAATCAAAGCAAGCAGAGAAAAAGAAATAATGTAAATCAGAGTACCAATCAATAAAATTATAATAAAAGAGACAAAATTAATGAAACCAAAAGTTGATTCATCAAACAAAATAAAGGTGATAAGCCTCTAGAAAGATTTATAGAAGTTAAAAGGGAGGGTGGCTCCAAGATGGATAAATAGGAACAGCTCCAGTCTACAGCTCCCAGCATGAGCGATGCAGAAGATGGGTGATTTCTGCATTTCCAACTAAGGTACCAGGTCCATCTCACTGGGACTTGTCAGACAGTGGGTGCAGGACAGTGGATGCAGTGCAATGAGCATGAGCCAAAGCAGAGCAAGGCATCACCTCACCCAGGAAGCACAAGAGGTCAGGGAATTCCCTTTCTTAGCCAAGCAAAGCTGTGACAGAAGGCACCTAGAAAATCTGGTCACTCCCACACTAATACTGTGCTTTTCCAATGGTCATAGCAAACGGCACACCAGGAGATTATATCCCGCACTTGGCTCACAGGGTCCCATGCCCACGGAGTCTCACTCATTGCTAGCACAGCAGCCTGAGATCAAACTGCAAGGCAACACTGAAGCTGGGGGAGGGGCACCCAACATTGCTGAGGCTTCAGTAGGTAAACAAAGTGGCCAGGAAGCTTGAACTGGGTGGAGCCCACTGCAGCTCAAGGAGGCTGCCTGCCTCTGTAGACTCCACCTCTGGGGGCAGGGCATAGCTGAACAAAAGGTAGCAGAAACCTCTGCAGACTTAAATATCCCTGTCTGACAACTTTGAAGAGAGTGGTGGTTCTCCCAGCACGCATCTGGAGATCTGAGAATGTACAGACTGCCTCCCCAAGTGGGTCCCTGACCCCCGAGTAGCCTAAATGGGACGCACTGCCCAGTAGGGGCAGACTGACACCTCACACGGCCACGTACTCCTTCCAGATGAAACTTCCAGAGGAACAATCAGGCAGCAACATTTGCTGTACAGCAATATTTGCTGTTCTGCAGCCTCTGCTGCTGATACCCAGTCAAAGAGGGCCTGGAGTGGACCACCAGCAAACTCCAACAGACCTGCAGCTGAGGGTCCTGACTGTCAGAAAGAAAACAAACAAACAGAAAGGACACCCACACCAAAACCCCATCTGTACGTCACCATCATCAAAGACCAAAGGTAAATAAAACCACAAAGATGGGGAAAAAACAGAGCAGAAAAACTGGAAACTCTAAAACTCAGAGAACCTCTCTTCCGGCAAAGGAATACAACTCTTCACCAGCAGTGAGATTAAGAAACTCACTCAACACTGCTCAACTACATGGAAACTGAACAACCTGCTCCTGAATGACTACTGGGTACATAACGAAATGAAGGCAGAAATAAAGATGTTCTTTGAAACCAACGAGAACAAAGACACAACATACCAGAATCTCTGGGACACACTCAAAGCAGTGTGTAGAGGGAAATTTATAGCACTAAATGCCCACAAGAGAAAGCAGGAAAGATCTAAAATTGGCACCCTAACATCACAAATAAAAGAACTAGAGAAGCAACAGCAAACACATTCAAAAGCTAGCAGAAGGCAAGAAATAACTAAGATCAGAGCAGAACTGAAGGAAATAGAGACACAAAAAACCCTTCAAAAAATCAATAAATCCAGGAGCTGGTTTTTTGAAAAGATCAACAAAATTCATAGACCACTAGCAAGACTAATAAAAAAGAAAAGAGAGAAGAATCAAAAAGACACAATAAAAAATGATGAAGGGGATATCACCACCGAGCCCACAGAAATACAAACTACCATCAGAGAATACTATAAACACCTCTAGGCAAATAAACTAGAAAATCTGGAAGAAATGGATAAATTCCTCGACACATACACCCTCCCAAGACTAAACCAGAAAGAAGTTGAATCTCTGAATAGACCAATAACAGGCTCTGAAATTGAGGAAATAATTAATAGCTTACCAACCAAAAAAAGTCCAGGACCAGATGGATTCACAGCCGAATTCTACCAGAGGTACAAGGAGCTGGTACCAGTCCTTCTGAAACTATTCCAATCAATAGAAAAAGAGGGAATCCTCCCTAACTCATTTGATGAGGCCAGCATCATCCTGATACCAGAGCCTGGCAGTGACACAACAAAAAAAAGAGATTTTTTACCAATATCCCTGATGATCATCGATGCAAAAATCCTCAATAAAATACTGGCAAACGGAATACAGCAGCACATCAAAAAGCTTATCCACCATGATCAAGTGGGCTTCATCCCTGGGATGCAAGGCTGCTTCAACATACACAAATCAATAAATGTAATCCAGCATATAAACAGAACCAATGACAAAAACCACGTGATTATCTCAATAGATGCAGAAAAGGCCTTTGACAAAATTCAACAGCCCTTCATGCTAAAAACTCTCAATAAATTAGGTATTGATGGGACATATCTCAAAATAATAAGAGCTATCTATGACAAACCCACAGCCAATGTCATACTGAATGGACAAATCTGGAAGCATTCCCTTTGAAAACTGGCACAAGACAGGGATGCCCTCTCTCATCACTCCTATTCAACATAGTGTTGGAAGTTCTGGCCAGGGCAATCAGGCAGGAGAAAGAAATAAAGGGTATTCAGTTAGGAAAAGAGGAAGTAAAATTGTCCCTGTTTGCCGATGACAGGATTGTATATCTAGAAAACCCCATCGTCTCAGCCCAAAATCTCCTTAAGCTGATAAGCAACTTCAGCAAAGTCTCAGGATACAAAATCAATGTGCAAAAATCACAAGCATTCCTATACACCAATAACAGACAAACAGAGAGCCAAATCATGAGTGAACTCCCATTCACAATTGCTTCAAAGAGAATAAAATACCTAGGAATCTAACTTACAAGGGATGTGAAGGACCTCTTCAAGGAGAACTACAAATCACTGCTCAACGAAATAAAAGAGGATACAAACAAATGGAAGAACATTTCATGCTCATGGATAGGATGAATCAATATCGTGAAGATGGCCATACTGCCCAAGGTAATTTATAGATTCAATGCTATCCCCATCAAGCTACCAATGACTTTCTTCACAGAATTGGAAAAAACTACTTTAAAGTTCATATGGAACCAAAAAAGAACCCGCATTGCCAAGTCAATCCTAAGCCAAAAGAACAAAGCTGGGGGCATCATGCTACCTGACTTCAAAGTATACTACAAGGCTACGGTAACCAAAACAGCATGGTACTGTACCAAAACAGAGATGTAGATCAATGGGACAGAATAGAGCCCTCAGAAATAATACCAGACATCTACAACTATCTGATCTTTGACAAACTTGAGAAAAACAAGCAATGGGGAAAGGATTCCCTATTTAATAAATGGTGCTGGGAAAACTGGCTAGCCATATGTAGAAAGCTGAAACTGGATCCCTTCCTTACACCTTATACAAAAAGTAATTCAAGATCAATTAGAGACTTAAATGTTAGACCTAAAACCATAAAAACCCTAGAAAATCTAGACAATACCATTCAGGAGATAGGCATGGGCAAGGACTTCATGTCTAAAACACCAAAATCAATGGCAATGAAAGCCAAAACTGACAAATGGGATCTAATTAAACTCAAGAGCTTCTGCACAGCAAAAGAAACTACCATCAGAGTGAACAGGCAACCTACAGAATGGGAGACAATTTTTACAATCTACTCATCTGACAAAGGGCTAATATCCAGAATCTACAAACAACTCAAACAAATTTACAAGAAAAACCACACAACCCCATCAAAAAGTGGGCAAAGAATATGAACAGACACTTCTCAAAATAAGACATTTGTGCAGCCAACAGACATATGAAAAAAGGCTCATCATCACAGACCATCAGAGAAATGCAAATCAAAACCACAGTGAGATATCATCTCACACCAGTTAGAATGGCGATCATTAAAAAGGAAATAACAGGTGCTGGAGAGGATGTGGAGAAATAGGATCACTTTTACACTGTTGGTGGGACTGTAAACTAGTTCAACCATTGTGGAAGAGAGTGCAGGGATTCCTCAGGGATCTAGAACTAGAAATACCATTTGACCCAGCCATCCCATTACTGGGTATATACCCAAAGGATTTTAAATCATGCTGCTATAAAGACACATGCACATGTATGTTTATTGCGGCACTATTCACAACAGCAAAGACTTGGAACCAACCCAAATGACCAGCACTGATAGACTGGATTAAGGAAATGTGGCACATATACACCATGGAATACTATGCAGCCATAAAAAATGATGAGTTCATGTCCTTTGTAGGGACACGGTTGAAGCTGGAAACCATCATTCTCAGCAAACTATCACAAGGACAACAGAAACAAACACTGCATGTTCTCACTCATAATTGGTAATTGAACAGTGAGAACACTTGGACACAGGGTGGGGAACATCGCACACTGGGGCCTGTTGTGGGGTGGGGGTTGCGGGGTGGGAGAGCATTAGGAGATATACCTAATGTTAAATGAAGAGTTAATGGGTGCAGCACACCAGCATGGCACATGTATACATATGTAACAAACCTGCACGTTGTGCACATGTACCCTAGAACTTAAAAATAATTTAAAAAAATTATGGCAATCATTAAAAAGTCAGGAAACAACAGGTGCTGGAGAGGATGTGGAGAAATAGGAACACTTTTACACTGTTGGTGGGACTGTAAACTAGTTCAACCATTGCAGAAGTCAGTGTGGCGATTCCTCAGGGATCTGGAACTAGAAATACTATTTGACCCAGCCTTCCCATTACTGGGTATATACCCAAAGGACTATAAATCATGCTGCTATAAAGACACATGCCCACGTATGTTTATCGCGGCACTATTCACAATAGCAACCCAAATGTCCAACAATGATAGACTGGATTAAGAAAATGTGGCACATATACACCATGGAATACTATGCAGCCATAAAAAATGATGAGTTCATGTCCTTTGTAGGGACATGGATGAAACTGGAAATCATCATTCTCAGTAAACTATCGCAAGAACAAAAAACCAAGCACCGCATATTCTCACTCATAGGTGGGAATTGAACAATGAGAACACATGGACACAGGAAGGGGAACATCACACTCTGGGAACTGTTGTGGGGTGGGGGGAGGGGGGAGGGATAGCTTTAGGGATATACCTAATACTAAATGACGAGTTAATGGGTGCAGCACACCAACATGGCACATGTATACATATGTAACATGCACATTGTGCACATGTACCCTAAAACTTAAAGTATAATAATAATAAAATAAAATAAAATAAATTTAAAAAAGAAGTTAAAAGGAAGAAGACTCAAATTGGCAATATGAAGAATAAAATGAGAAACAACACTACAGATCCTATGGCCATTAAAAGGATATTAAGGAGATAGTATGAATAACTTCATGGTCAAATATTTGACAATTGTTCCACTGAAATAAAGGGAACAATTTTTCTAAAACCACAAACTGTAAAAACAACCAAGAAGAAGTAGACAATAAATAAATAGTCTCATAAATATTAAAGAAATTTAATAGTAAAATTTCTCCAAAAAAAGAAAATCTGCAGACCCATATGGTTTCACTGGAGTATTTTACTCATCACTTAAAGAATAAACAACAATTTTACACAATCTCTTCCAGATAATAGAAGAAAAACCTTCCCCCACTCATTTTGTGATGCCAGTATCATCCTGCTACCAAAATAAAAGATAGTACACACAAAAAGAAGCCTTCAGATCAATATGTCCTGTGAATTTAGCCACAAAAAATTGAATCCAGTAATAAACAAATGTTATAATACACCACAACCATATAGGATTTATTTGTGGTGTGCAAGACTGGTTCACCATTATTTTAACCTTTATTTTAGGCTTGGAGGTACATGTGAATGTGTTTTACATAGGTAAACACATGTCACAGGGGTTTGTTGTAAATATTATTTTATCACCCAGGTATTAAGCTTAGTACTCAATAGTTATCTTTGCTGCTCCTCTCCCACCTCCCATCTTCCACCCTAAAGTAGAAGCCATTGTCCGCTGTTTTCTTCTTTGTGTTCATAATTTCTCATCATTGAGCACCCACTTATAATTGAGAACATGTGGTATTTGATTTTCTGTTCCCTCATTAGTTTCCTAAGGATAATTGCCTCCTGCTGCATCCATGCTCTCACAAAAGATATGATCTTGTTCTTTTACATGGCTGCATAGTATCCCATCATGTATATGAACCACATTTTCCTTATCCAATTTGTCACTGATGGGCATTTAGGTTGATTCCATGTCTTTGCTATTGTGAATAGTGCTGCCATGAAAATTCGTGTGCATATATCATTATGGTAGAGTGATTTCTCTTTCTCTGGGTATATATCCGTAATAGGATGGCTGGGTCAAATGGTAGCTCTGTTTTTAGCTCTTTGAGGAATTGCCATACTGCTTTTCACAATGGTTGAACTAATTTACATTCACACTACCAGTGTATAAGTGTTCCCTTTTCTCTGCAACCTCATCAGCATCTGTTATTTTTTGACTTTTTATAGGCATTCTGACCGGTGTAAGATGGTATGTCATTGCGGTTTTGATTTGCATTTCTCTAACAATCAGTGATATTCAGCTTTCTTTTCATATGCTTGTTGGCCACATGTATGTCTTGTTTTCAGAAGTGTATGTTTATGTCTTTTGCCCATTTTTTAATGGGGTTGTTTGTTTTTTCTCTTGTAAGTTTAAGTTTCTTATAGATGCTGGATATTCGAACTTGGTCAGATGCATAGTTTGAAAATATTTTCTCCCATTCTATAGGTTGTTGTTCACCCTGATTATAGTTTCTTCTGCTGTGCAGAAGCTCTTTAGTTTAATTAGATCCCATTTGTCAATTTTTGCTTTCATTGCTTTTGCCATTTTCATCAGGAAATCTTTGCCTGTGCCTATGTTTTGAATGGTATTGCCTAGATTTTCTTCTACAGTTTTTAAAGTTTTAGATTTTACATGTAAGTCTTTAATCCATCTTGAGTTGATTTTTGTATATGGTGTAAGGAAGGGGTCCAGTTTCAATTTTCTGCACATAACTAGCCCATTCTCCCAGCACCATTTATTAAATAAGGAATTCTTCCCCATTGATTGTTTTTGTCAGGATTGTCAAAGATCAGATGGTTGTAGGTAGACAGTCTTATTTCTGAGTTCTCTATTCAGTTTCATTTGTCTATGTTTCTGTTCTTGCAGCAGTACCATGCGGTTTTGGTTACTGTAGCCTTGTAGTATAGTTTGAAGTCAGGTAGCATGATGCCTCCAGCTTTGTTCTTTTTACTTAGGATTGTCTTGGCTATTGGAGATCTTTTTTAGTGAATTTTAATTTTTTTTTCTAATCCTGTGAAGAATGTCAATGGCAGTTTAATGGGAATAGCATTGAAACTATAAATTGCTTTGAGCAATATGGGCATTTTCATATTGATTCTTCCTATCCATGAGCATGGAAAGTTTTTCCATTTGTTTATGTCCTCTCTGATTTCCTTGAGCAGTGGTTTGTAGTTCTCTAAGAAGAGGTCCTACACTTCCCTTGTTAGCTGTATTCCTAGGCATTTTATTCTCTTCATAGCAATTGTGAATGGGAGTTCATGAATTGGCTCTTGGCTTGCCTATTGTTGGTGTATAGGAATGGCAGCAACTTTTGCACATTGCTTTTGTATCCTGAGACTTTGCTGAAGTTGCTTATCAGCTTAAGAAGCTTTTGGGCCAAGACAATGAGGTTTTCTAGATATAGGATCATGTCATCTGCAAACATAGATAATTTGACTTCCTCTCTCCCTATTTGAATACCCTTTATTTCTTTCTCTTGCCTGACTGGCCTGGCCAGAACTTCCAATACTGTGTTGAATAGGAGTGGTGAGAGAGGGCATACTCATCTTGTTCCTGTTTTCAAGGGAAATGCTAGCAGCTTTTGCCCATTCAGCATGATACTGGCTGTGGGTTGGTCTTATATGGCTCTTATTATTTTGAAGTATGTTCCTTCAATGCCTAGTTTATTGAAAGTTTTTAACATAGAGGGATGTTGAATTTTATTGAATGACTTTTCTTCATCTATTGAGATAATCATGTGGTTTTTGTCTTTAGTTCTGTTCATGTGATGAGTCACATTTGTTGATTTGCCTATGTTGAACCAACCTAGCATCCTGGAGATGAAGCCAACTTGATCATGGTGAATAATCTTTTTGATGTGCTGCTGGATTTGGTTTGCTACTATCTTATTGAGGATTTTTACATTGATGTTTATCAAGGATATTGGCCTGAAGTTTTCTTTTTTTCTTGTATCTCTACAGGTTTTGGTATCAGGATGATGCTGGCCTCACAAAATGAGTTAGGGAGGATTTCATTCTTTTCAAGTTTTTGGAATAGTTTCAGTAGAAATGGTATCATCTCTTCTTTGTACCTTTGGTAGAATTCAGCTTTGAATTCATCTGGTCCTGGGCTTTTTCTGGTTGGTAGGCTATTTGTTACTGCTTCAATTTCAGAACTTGTTATTGGTCTATTCGGGGATCCAATTTTTTTCTGGTTCAGTCTTTGGAGGGTGTATGTGTCCAGGAATTTATCCATTTTTTCAGTGTGTTCTAGTTTATGTCCATTGAGGTGTTTATGGTATTCTCTGAAGGTTGTTTGTATTCCTGTGGGGTTGGTGGTGATACCCCCCTTATCATTTCTGATTGTGTTTATTTGATTCTTGTCTCTTTTCTTCCTTATTAGTCTAGCTAGCAGTCTGTCTCTTTTATTAATTTTTTCAAAGAACCAGGTCCTGGATTCATTGATTTTTTTGAAGAGTTTTTTTATATCTCTATATCTTTCAGTTCAGTTCTGATCTTGCCTATTTATTGATTCTGCTACCTTTGGGTTTCTTTTCTTTTGGTTCTCTAGTTCTTTTAGTTGAGATATTAGGTTGTTACCTTATCTTTCTAGCTTTTTGATGAGGCATTTAGTGCTATAAATTTCCCTCTCTTAGCATTGCTTCAGCTATATCCCAGAGATTCTGGTGCATTGTGTCTTTGTTCTCATAAGTTTCAAAGAACTTCTTGATTTCTGACTTAATTTTATTATTTATCCAGGAGTCAATCAGGAGCAGGTTGTTCAATTTCCATGTAATTGTGTGGTTTTGGGTGAATTTCTTAATCTTGAGTTCTAATTTGATTGTGCTGTGGTCTGAGAGACTGTTTATTATGATTTCAGTTATTTTGCATTTGCTGAGGAGTGTTTTACTTCTGATTATGTGATCAACTTTAAAGTATGTGCCATGTGGTGATGAGAAGAATGTGTATTCTGCTGTTATGGGGTGAAGAGTTCTGTAGATATCTATCATGTCCACTTGATCCAGAGCTGAGTTCAGGTCCTGAATATCTTTGTTAATTTTTTGTCTCAATGATCTGTCTAATATTGTCATTGGGCTAAGTACTTCCACTATTATTGTGAGGGAGTCTAAGTCTCCTTGTAGGTCTCTAAGAACTTGCTTTATGAATCTGTGTGCTCCTGTATTGCATGCATATATATTTATGATAGTTAGGTCTTCTTGTTGAATTGAACCCTTTACCATTATGTAATACCCTTCTTTGTCTTTTTTTTTATCTTTCTTGGTTTAAAGTTTTATCAGAAACTAGGATTGAACCCCTGCTTTTTTCTGTTTTGCATTTGCTTGGTAAATTTTCCTCTATCCCTTTATTTTGAGCCTGTGTGCCTCTTCAAATGTGAGATGGGTTTCTTAAAGACAGCGTACCAATGGTCTTGGCTCTTTATCCAGCTTGCCATTCTGTGTGTTTTAATTGGAGCGTTTAGCCCATTTACATTTACGGTTAGTATTGTTGTGTGTGAATTTGTTCCTGTTATCATGATGGTTGGTTATTATATCATGATAGTTGGTTATTCTGAAGACTTATTTTGTTGCTTCATAGTGTCACTGGTCTGTGTAAAATGTGTTTTTGTAGTGGCTGGTAATTTTGTTTTGTTTTGTTTTGTTTTTTCTGTATTTAATGCTTTTTTGAGGGGGCTTTTGCAAGTCAGGCCTGATGGTAATGAATTCCTTAAGCATTTGCTTGTCTGAAAATGTTCTATTTCTCCCTGCTTATGAAGTTTTCTTTGGCTTGATATGAAATTCTGGTTTGGAAATTCTTTTCTTTATGCATGTTGAATATTGGCCCTTAATATCTTCTGGCCTGTAGGGTTTCTGCTGAGAGGTCCACTGTTAGTCTGAGGGGTTTTACTATGTAGGTGACCTGGCCTTTCTCTTGGGTTACCTTTAACATTTTTTGTTTCATTTCAAACTTGGAAAATCTGATGATTATGTGTCTTGGGTTTGATCTTCTCATGGAGTATCTTACTGAGGTTCTCTGCATTTCTTGAATTTGAATGTTGGTCTGTCTTGCTAGGTTGGGGAAGTTCTCCTGGATGATATCCTGAAGTATGTTTTTCAACTCGGTTCCATTCTTCTTGTCTCTTCCAGGTACCCCAGTCAGTCATAGGTTTGGTCTCTTTATGTAATCCCATATATCTCCGAGGTTTTGTTCATTCATTTTTATTCTTTTTTTTCTCTATTTTTGTCTGCCTGTGTTCTTTCAGAAAGACAGTCTTCAAGCTCTGAGATTGTTTTTCTTACACTTGGTCTATTCTGCTATCAATAGTTGTGATTGCATTGTGAAATTCTTGTGTTATGTTTTTCAGCTCTATCAGGTCAGTTATGTTCCTCTCTAAACTGGCTATTCGGATTATCAGCTCCTATATTGTTTTGTCATGATTCTTAGCTTCTTCGCATTGAGTTACAACCTGCCCCTTTAGCTCAACAAAGTTCATTATTACCCACCTTCTGAAACCTACTTCTGTCAATTCATCCATCTCAGCCTCAGCTCAGTTCTGTGCCCTTGCTGGAGAGGTGTTGTGGTCATTTGGGGGAGGAGAGTCTCTCTGGGTTTTTGAGTTCTCAGCATTTTTTATTGATTATTTTTCATCTTTGGGGGTTTGTCTATCTTTGATTTTTGAAGTTGCTCACCTTGTTTGGGGCTTTTGGGGGATCTTTCTTGTTGATGTTGTTGTTTTTTGTTTTTTTCTTTTAACATTCAGGTCACTCTACCATAGGGCTGCTGCATATTGCTGGGGTCTGCCCCAATCCCTAGTTGCCTTGATTTTTCCTATACCTGGAGGTATCACCAGTGAAGGCTGCAAAACAGCAAAGATGGCAGCCAGCTCCTTTCTCTGGAAGCTCTGATCCACAGTGCTATTGACCTGTTGCCAGCCCACATGCACCTGTAGGAGGTGGCTGAAGACTCTTGTTGGGAGGTCTCACCCAGTCAGGAGGAACAGGATCAGAGACTTACTTTAAGAAACAGTCTCACTGCTTTTAGGTAGAGCATGTGTGCTTCACTGGGGGGACCCATCCTTGTCCGGACCATTTGTATTCTCTAAAGCCAGCTGAATAGAACCACTGAGTTAACTGAACTGCAGAGATGGCAGCCGCACCTCCCCCCAAAAACTCCATCCCAGGGAGAGAACAGAGCTCTATCAGTAGAACCCTGGCTGGGGTGGCTGAAGCCCCCAGAGGGAGCTTCCTCCCAGTGAGGAGGAATGGATTGGGGTCCTGCTTAAAGAAGCAGTCTGGTCACAATATTTGGCAAGGCAGCTGTGCCTCATTGTGGGGGACCCTTCCTTGTCTGCACTATTTGTATTCTCCAAAACCAGCAGGCTGGAACAGCTGAGTCTACTGAACTGTAGAAATGGCAGCTACCCTTCCCCTCAGGGGCTTCATACCAGGGAGAGATCAGAGCTCTGTTTGTAGAACTTGTGCTGGAGTGGCTAAAAACCCACTACCGAATGTTTTGTATCTTGAATGTGGTGGCGAATGCAGAAACCTACACGTGACAAAATTGTGTAGCACTAAATACACACAGACTGTAATCCAAGCAGCAGAGAAAGATGGCAGAGTTAGACTTTTCAGCAATTGTCACTCTACAGAAACATAAATTTAAACAATTATTTATGCATGAAAGTACCTTTACCAGATCTCCGGAAACCAGTTGAGAGGTTACAGTACCTGGATGTGGTACAATAATAAGAAAAGATGCATTGAAGATGGTAGGCAGGACAGTTTAGCATCATCCCTGTCACCCCATTCTCAACCCCAGGCATCACAGCACAGAGAGAAATATAGTCTAATTGGGGAAAAGGGAGGGAAGTGGTGCTATAGTAAAACCCAGCACTGGACAGCCCCCTACAGCCCCAGACTCCAGACTGGCACCACACAGGAAGCTTTCAGACCCGTTCTGGTGTCAGACAGGACCATGCATCCACAAGCATCAAGCTTGCATGGTGGAATTGCTCTCTAGCTCACCCCAGCTCTATATAAATTTGAACACCCCTAGCCTTGGGGCATGCCCCAGCACCAAGACAGCTATAGTGGCTCTTTGCACTTGGCTTATACCAGCAGTGTGCCACCTTCAGTTGTATCCCAGTGTTGTGCAAGCCACAGCAAACCCCAGGCTTCTGGTGCCTCAGTGCCATCCAGCCACAGCAGCATGGTCTTTAGGTCTTCCTTAGTGCCATGCCAGCTGCAATGGGTTTGGGCTTTGGGCTCATCCCAGTGCCATGTCATTCTAGGAGCCCTGGGTTTGGTGACCACACCAGACAGCCTACCCAGAAGATCTGACAATTGAAGGACTTTCTCAGACAAAGCCACCCTGTGAAGACAAGAGTAAGCACCATACTTACTCTATGTGCAAACAGTGATGCATGACCACACAAGTCAAGAACAATCAGGGAAACTTGACATCACCAAAGGGACAAAATAAAGTGCCAGTGACAGACACAAAAGAAATGGAGATTTGTGAATTGCCTGACAAGAGGATCCTGAAATCATCAAAAGAAAAGAAGCAAATAACATATAAGGGGATGGGCAAAGTGGCTCATGCCTGTTATCCTAGCACTTTGGGAGGCTGAGGTGGGAAGATTACTTGAAGCCAGGAGTTCTAGACCAGCCTTGGCAACATAGAAAGTCCCCATCTGTACAAAAAATTCAAAAATTAGCTGGTTGTGGTGGCATGTGCCTGTAGTCCCACCTACCTTAGAGACTGAGGCAGGAGGATTAATTGAGCCCAGGAGTTGGAGGCTCAGTGAGCTGTGATCATCACTGCATTTCAGCCTGAGTGATAGAGTAAGACTCTGTCTCTCTCATATATATATATATATATGAAGATCCAATGCAGCTATCAAGCCTCTCACCAGAAATCTTATAGGCAAGGAGAGAGAGGGATTATATATTCAAAGTGCAAAAGGAAAAATTAAAAAAAACACTTGCCAACTGAGAATACTGTACCTGGCAAAGCTGCCTTTCAGAAATAAAGGAGAGATAAGGATTTTCCCAGACAAAGTAAAGATGAGGAGGTTCATCATCACCAGAACTGTCTTACAAGAAATGCTAAAGTAAGTTATTCAAGATTAAAGAAAAAGATGCTAATGAGTAACATGGAAACATCTGATAATATAAAACTCACTGGAAATTTACTACACAGGAAAATTCACAAGACTTTGTTATTGTAATGTCCATGTGTAAATCAATTATATCTTTAGTATGAAGGTTAAAAGACAAGCATATTTTTAAAATAATAATGGCTGCAATAATTTGTTAAGGGATATGCAATGAAAACCTTATAAATTGTGGCATCAAAAATTCAAAATGTTGGAGGGGAGTGGAGTAAAAGTGTAGATATTCTTGCAATCAAAGTTAAGTTATCACCTTAAAATAATCTATTATGACTGGAAGAGGTTTGCTGTAAGCCTTATCATAACCACGAAGCAAGAAACTATGTAAATACACCAAAAATAAAAAGCATGGAATCAAAACGTACTACTAGAGAAGATTACTTAACCATAAAAGAAGACAGCAAGAGAGGAAGAAAGAAACAAGAGATCTAGGAAACAACTAGAAAACATTTAACAAAATAGCAGTAGTGAGTCCTTACCTATTAATTATGACCTTAAATGTAAATGGATTAAATTCTCCAACCAAAAGACATAGAGTGGCTAAATGGATAAAAATCAAGGCCCAATTCTGTGCTGCCTACAAGAGCCTCATGTCACTTATAAAGATACTGTATTAGGGTCAGGCACAGTGGCTCACTCCTGTAATCCCAGCACTTTGGGAGGCCGAGGAGGGCAGATCATTAGGTCAGGAGATCAAGACCATCCTGGCTAACATGGTGAAACTCTGCCTCTACTAAAAATACAAAAAAATTAGCTGGGCATGGTGGCATGTGCCTGTAGTCCCAGCTACTCAGGAGACTGAGGTAGGAGAATCACTTGAAACCAGGAGGCGGAGGTTGCAGTGAGCTGAGATCGTGCCACTGCACTCTAGCCTGGTTGACAGAGTGAGAATCCTTCTCAAAAAAACAAAACAAAACAAAACAAAAATCAAAAAAGATACTGTATTAGTCAATTCTCACACTGCTAGAAAGGAATACCTGAGACCGGGTATTTTATAAAGGAAAGAGATTTAATTGTCCTACAGTTCCACAGGCTCTGCAGGAAGCACGGATGGGGAGGCATCAGAAAACTTATAATTATGGCAGAAGGCAAAGGGGAAGCAGGCACACCAACTTACATGGCCAGAGTAGGAAAAATAGGGCCTAGCAGGAGGTGCTGCACACCTTTAAACAACCAGCTCTCCTGAGAATTTACTCACTATCATGAGAACAGCAAGGGGGAAATCTGCCCCCATGATTTAATCACTTCCCACCAGGACCCTCCTCCAACATTTGGAATTACAATTCAACATGAGATTTGAGTGGGGACACAAATCCAAACCATATCAGATACGCACAGACTGAAAGTGAAATAAGGAAAAAGATATTTCATGTAAATGGGAACCAAAAGAGAGCAGGAGTAGCTATACAGTTGACCCTTGAACAACGCAGATTTCAATTGCATGGGGTTCCATTTATAAGTGCATTTTTTTCAATAAATATATTGGAAACTTTCTGGAGATTTGTGACAATTTGAAAAAGTCTTGCAAATGAACTGCATAGCCTAGAAATATTTTAAAAATTAAGAAAAAGTTAGGTATGCTATAAATCATAAAATACATGTTGATACTAGTGTATTTTATCATTTTTCTACCATAAAATATACACAAATCTATTATTAAAAAGTTAAGATTTATCAAAATGTATGCACATTAACACTTACACATAATGCCATTTGCAGTTCAGAGAATTGTAAACAAAGAAAGTATTAAGTCATATCTGCATAAAATTAACTGCAGTACATACTGTACTACTGTAATAATTTTGTAGCCACTTCCTCTTTCTATTGTGGTAAGCTGTTTACTAAATTGTGTATCATGGTAAAAAGTGATCTATTGCAATTCTTATATACTTTTTGTTGTGTTTAGTGCAATACTGCCTACCTTAAAAAACACTATGAGACCCATATGAAGTGCCACTAGTGACACTGGAAGTGTTCTAAAGCAGAAGAGAAAAGTCATGACATTATGAGAAAAAAGTTGAGTTGCTTGATATATGCCATAGAGTGAATTCAATGTAAAGACCTTTGTAAAAAAAAGTAAAGGAAATTTGTAAAGCCATTGCTGCAGCTATGTGAGCAGGTGCAAAAACCTTGCACTTTTTGTGAAATATCCTTCTTCTGTTGTTGAAAATGCAATTTTCATGTGTGTGCAGGATTGCTATAAGGCATACCTATAGACTTCAATGTGATTCTAGAAACAGTGAAGTCATTATATGACAATTTAATGAAAAAGGAAAGTGAAGGATCTAAAGCTGGTTAATTTAATATTAGCAAAAGGTGTTCAATAATTTTAGAAAAAAAAACTTGGCTTGAAAAATTTCAAGATAACAAGAAAAGCAACTTCTGCTGAACAAAACGTAGCAAACTAGTTCCCAGGTGACATTAAGGAAACCATTGAGAAAAAAGATTATCTGTTTGAATGTGTTTTTAATGCAGATGAAAGTCCCCTATTCTGGAAAAAGAAAATGCCACAAATGACACTTATTAGTAAGGAAGAGAAGTGAACACTAGGCAAGAGGAGACAGACTAACTCTACTGTTTTGTACAAATGCAATCAGGCTTATTATCAAGACCGCCTTTATTAAGTAGCTAACCCCAAGCCTTGAAGAAAAGGTAAACACCAACTGTCAAGACTTTTGTTGTACAAGAAAGCCTGGAAAATAACCCTTTGCTGGATTGGGTCCATTAATGCCTTGTCCCTAAAGTCAAAAACTACCTTGCCAGTAAGGGGCTGCCTTTTAAAGTTCTTTTGATATTGGACAAAGCCTTTGGCCACCGAGAACCCCATGAATTCAACACCAAAGGCATTGAAGTTGTCTACCTTCTCCCAAACACAACATCTCTACTTCAGCCTCTAGATCTAGGGGAATCATAAGAAACTTTAAGCCTTATTACATATAGTACTCCATGGAAAGGATTGTCAATGCTGTGAGAGAACCTCAATACAGAGAAGATCATGAAAATTTGGAAGGATTACACTATTGAAGATGTAAACATTGTTATTAAAAAAAAAGCTGTGACAACCATCAAGCCTGAAACAATATATTCTTGCTTAAAAAAACTGTTTTGAGATGTTGTATATGACTTCACAGAATTTACAACAGAGTCAATCCAGAAAATTATGAAAGAGATTGTGAATGTGGTAAAAAAGATGGGGAGTGAAGGGTTTCAAGATATGGATCTTGGAAAAATTCAGGAGGGAACACACACCATACCAGAAGAATTAACAGAAGACAACGTGATAGAGTTGAGTGCATCTGAACCAACAGCAGACGATGAAGAAGAAGATGTAGAAAAGGCAGTGCCAGAAAACAAAACTTCATTAGACAAGCTGTTATGAAGGTTCTGATTATTCGATACAGCTTTTGACTTCATTTACAACATGATACCTTCTGTGATATGGGCACTGAAATTAAAACAAATGTTGAGAAAATATTGGTACTGTATAGAAACATTTTTAGAGAAACGAAAAAGCAAAAATGTCAGGCAGGAATTACAATGTATTTTCATGAAGTTACACTGAGTGTGCATGCCTCTCCTCTCTCCTCTTCCACCTATTCCATCTCTTTCATTTCAGCCACCCCTGAAACAGCAAGACCAACCCCTCCTTTTCTTTTTCCTCAACCTACTCCTTGTGAAGATGATGAGAATGAAGACCTTTATGATGATCCTTTTCCATTTAATGAATAGTAAATATATTTTCTCTTGCTTATGATTTTCTTAATATTTTTTTCCTCTGGGTTATTCTAATGTAAGAATACAGTACATGATACATATAATATACAAAATATGTGTTAATTGAATGTTTGTATTATTGATTTAGATGACTTTTGTTTCTTTTTTTATCTAATTGCTCTGGTGGGACTTCCCAGCTTTTATTATGTTGATATGTAATGATCTGTTGAATAGAACTGGCAAGTGCCTTCAACCAGACCTCAGAGGGAAAGCTTTCAGTTTTTCCTCATTCATTAAGATGCTAACTGTGGGCTTTTTATAAATATCCTTTATTATGCTCAGGTAAGTTTCTTCTATACCTACTTTGTTTACAGTTTTCTATTATAAATAGATGTTGAACCCAGTCAAATGCTTTTTCTGTGTCTATTGAGATTATTACATGGCTTTTGGTTTATATTATGTTACATTACATTGATTGATTTGCATATACTGAACTCGCCTTGCTTCTCTGGGAAAACTTTACTTATTTATGTTGTATAATCTTTTTCATGTACTTTTGAATTAAGTTAGCTAGTCTTTTATTGAGAACTGTTCTATCTATATTCATCACAGATATTGGCTTCTAGATTTGTTTTCTGTGGTGTCTTTGTCTGGCTTTCACATGAAAGTGATGCTAGCCTTATAAAATTAGTTTTGAAGCGTTTCCTCTTCTTTTTTTTTTAAGGCTTTAAGTAGCTTTGGTATTAATTATTTTTTTGAGTATTTGGTAGAATTTACCCATGAAACCATCTGGTCCTGTGCTTTTTTTGGTTAGGCAGTATTTTATTAACATTTCAATCTCTTTACTTGTTATTTGTCTGCTTAGGCTTTATATCTATTCATTATTTCAGTCTTGGTGGGTTTCCTGTTTCTAGGAATGTATCCACTTATTTTATCAAATTTGTTGGCATATAATTGTACATAATACATTCTTATGATCCTTGTTATTTCTAAGGCCTCTGTTTTAATGCCTTCTCTTTACCATCGATTTTATTTATCTGAGACTTCTCTTTTTTCTTAAACTAGCTGAGGGATTGTTAATTTTATCTTTTCAGAAAACTACATCTTGGCCACGCCTATAATCCCAACATTTTGGGAGGCTGAGGCGGGCAGATCATGAGGTCAGGAATTCGAGACCAGCCTGGCCAACATGGTAAAACCCTGTCTCTACTAAAAATACAAAAATTAGCTGGGCGTGGTGGCAGGCCCCTGTAATCTCAGCTACTTGGGAGGCTGAGGCAGAAGAATTGCTTGAACCTGGGAGGCAGAGGCTACAGTGAGCCGAGATCTCACCACTGCCCTCCAGACTGGGTGACAGAGCAAGACTCAGTCTCGGGGGAAAAAACTAGACCTTGATTTTGTTGATTTTTTTCAATTTGTTTTATTTCTGCTCTGATTTTTATTATTCATTTCCTTTCTGCTAAGTTTGGGGCTTAGTCTTCATTTCTTTTTCTAGTTTCTTGATGTGTAACATTAGATTGTTTATTTGAGATCTCTCTTGCCTTTTAATGTAGGCATTTATTGCTACAAATTTTCCTCTTAATACTGCTTTTGCTACATTCCACATGGTTTTGGTATGTAGTAATTTTGTTTTCATTTGTCTTGAGACACTCTTTTAATTTCCTTTTGATTTCCTCTTTGACTGAATGGTTTTTCAAATCTTGTTAATTTTTACGTATTTATGAATTTTCTCATTTTCTTACTGTTCCTGATTTTGAATTTGATTCCACTGTGGTCAGAAAAGTTACTTGGTATAATTTCAAACTTACCCATTTTGTTAAGACTTGTTTCATTGCCCAATGTGTTATCTATCCTGAAGAATGTTTTATGTGTGCTGAGAACAATGTATATTCTTCTGCTGTTGGGTGGAGAGTTTTGTCTGATAGGTCCATTTGGTCTGTAGTGTTATTCAAGTCTACAGTTTCTTAATTTATTTTCTGTTTGGATGCTTTATGCATTATTGAAAACGGAGTTTTGAAGTTTTCTACTAGTATTGTCTTGCAGTCAGTTTCTTCTTTCATATATGTCAATATTTGCTTCAAATATTTAATTGCTATAATGGTGGGTGCATATGTATTTAAAATTATGTCTTCTTATTGAATTGACTCTTATGTCATTATACAATTACTGTCTTTGTTTCTAAAAAGTTTTTAAAGTCTATTTTGTTTGATATATGTATAGCCTCTCTTGCTTTCCTTTGCATAGAATATCTTTTTCCAACTCTTTACTTTTAATTCATTCAGCCATTGTATATCTTTTGATTAGAGAGTGTAATCCATTTACATTTACATTGATTAGAAAAGACTTATTGTTGCTATTTGTTCATTGTTTTCTGTTTGTCTTATAGTTCATGTGTCTCTTTTCTTCTCTTTTGCTGTCTTTATTATTATTATTATTATTGTGTCGATAGGTTTTGTTTTTTATTTTTGCATATGTAACTTCTGTAAGTATTTTCTTTATGATCAACATGGAGCTTACATAAAATATCTTGTAGTTTTACAATGGTCTATTTCACACTGATAACAACTTAGCTTCACTTGTGTAGAGGAACTCTACATGTTTACCTCTCTTTACCCCACATTATTACGTGTCAAGAATGTCACAATTTAGATTCATTTATATTGTGTAACCATTAACATAATTTACTTATAACTATTTTTAATAGTTTTGTCTTTTGACTTTTATAATTGAATTAAGCGTGATTTACCCACTACTTTTATAGTAATACAGTATTCCCTCTATTTGTCTATGTATTTACCTTTACCAGCAAGTTTTATACTTTCTTATGCTCTCACATTTCTGTTTAGTATCTTTTTGTTTTAACTTGAAGAATTCACTTTAGCATTTCTTGCAAGGCAGGTCTAGTGGTACTAAACTCCTTCAACTTTTGTTTGAGAAAGTCTTTGTCTCTCTTTCCTTTGTGAAAGACATATTTGCCAATTGTAGTATTATTGCCTGGCAGGTTTTTTTTTTCTTTTTTTCCTTTTAGCACTTTGAATCTATCAACCCACCTACTCCTTCTGGCCTGCAAGGTTCTACTGATAAAAACACTGATTGTTTTATGAGGGTTTTCTTGTAGGTAACAAGTTACTTTTCTCCTGCTGCTTTCAGAATTCTCTCTTTAAGTTTTAAGAATTTGATTATAATGTGTCTCACTGTGGATCTCTTTGTATTCCTCTAGTTTGGTGTGCTTTGGGCTTTTTTGGATCTGGATGTCTTTTTTCTTTCCCAGGTTTGGGAAGTTTTCAGCCATTATTTGTTTGAATAAGCTTTCTGCCCTTTACTCTTTTTCTTCTTCTACTGAGACTTCTATATGTCCTATAAGTCCCTTAAGCTATCTTCACTTTTTCATTCTTTTTCTTCTCTTTGCTCATCTGACTGGATGATTTCCAGTGAACTCCCTTTGAGTTCACTGACCCTTTCTTCTGCTTGATCTAGTCTACAGTTGAAACCTTGTATTAAATTTTACATGTCAGTTATTACATTGTTTAGTTCTGTAATTTCTTGTTGGTATCTTAAAAATATTTTCTGTCATTTTGTTGAAATTCTTATATTGTTCCTGTGATTCTCTCCTAAACTAGGTGAGCTTCTTCATGACCATTATTTTGAATTTTCTGTTAAGTAAATCACATATCTCCATCTCACTATGGTCAGTTTCTTTAGATTTATCTTGTTTATTTATTTGGAGAATATTTTCCCGTTTCTTTATTTTTCTTGACTCTGTTGGTTTCTATGCATTGAATGAAATAGACACCTCTTTTACTCTTCACAGGCTGGGCTCGTATACGAAGTAAACCTCACCAATTATTCTGGCCAGCTATTCTTGGTGCCTCTTAGACCTTTGTGTTCATTTTCTTGGTGGCCCTCAGGAGGTTAGAATATGCCACATTTCATATGTAGAAACCAGTGACCATATGTCTCTTTGTTTTTAATTTTCCTTTAATATTCACAGCAGCTTTTGTGTAGCAGCTAGGAAAATGCATAACTCAAATCTGGAATTTGCACACAATTAAGCAGCTGAAAGCCAGGAAACAGAAATTCACACCCAAATCTCTCTAACTTGGAAGACTTTATTCTTTACTGTGTGGAAGGAAAATAAATCTTGGGACCCCAAAATCTCTAAGCTAAAAGGAAAAGTCAAGCAGGCAACTGCCTAGGAAGACCTGCCTCCCATTCTATTCAAAGTCATCCTTCTGAGGCTCACCAGAGACAAATGCATATCTGATTCTTCTTCTCCCCTATTGTTTATGTAAAAAATGCAGACTCACTGAGCCAGACTAAATTGTGTATTAAGTGGAAGGACTCAAAAGAATGCAGCATTTTGTCTCTTATCTACTTCTAACCTGGAAGCCCCCACTTCCCGTTGTCCTGCCTTACTGGAACTAGACTGAACCACTGTACATCTTACACATATTGATTGATGTCTCTCACTCGCGTCCGTGTGAAGAGACCACCAAACAGGCTTTGTGTGAGCAATGAAGCTTTTTAATCACCTGGGAGTAGGCAGGCTGAGTCTGAAAAGAGAGTCAGGGAAGGGAGACAGGGGTGGGGCCGTTTTATAGGATTTGGGTAGGTAAAGGAAAATTACAGTCAAAGGGGGTTGTTCTCTGGTGGGCAGGGGCGAGGGTCACAAGGTGCTCAGTGGGGGAACTTTTGAGCCAGGATGAGCCAGGAGAAGGAATTTCACAAGGTAATGTCATCAGTTAAGGCAGGAACAGGCCATTTTCACTTCTTTTGTGGTGGAATGTCATCAGTTAAGGCAGGAACCAGCTATCTGGATGTGTACCTGCAGGTCACAGGGGATATGATGGCTTAGCTTGGGCTCAGAGGCCTGACAGTCTCATGTCTCCCTAAAATGTATAAAAGCAAACTGTACCCCCTGACCACCTTGGGCACATGTCTCAGTACTTCCTGAAGCTGTGTCACAGGTGAATGCTTAACTTTAGCATAATAATCTTTCTAAATTGACTGAGATCTGTCTCAGATGTTTGGAGTTCACAACTGTATTATTAAACTGCCTGTCTCTAATAATAGCCAGCCATAAGATGCCCACAAGATTAGTAATAAAGGGAAATAATTAGAAAGAAAATTGGAAGTCCTGGGTAATTTTGCTGTCTCTACATTTATAGTCTCACCTAGTGCCCCTTTCCTTATGAGTATTTATGGCATGAGGGGTTAGGTTAGAGTATGTCATAATGAAACTGGCCTGGAGAAAAATTATACCCAGGCCTGAAATATAAGCAATTTAGACAACTGTACCAAGCAGAATATATTTTAAGGACACCTAAACAATTTTGGTCTAAGTCAGTGGTTCTCAAACTTGAGCATGCATCAGTCACCCGGAAAGTTTATTAAAACACAAGTTTTTGGATCTCATTCCCAGAGTTTATGATTAAGCACATATGAAATGGGCCTTAAGAATTTGCGTTTCTGAGAAGTTCCCACATGATGCTGATGATGATGGCCTGAAGACTTCACTTTGAGAATCACTTTCCTAGGTTAGTTATTTAAGTTTCTGCCTGCTTCATTCTTAGAAAACAGACATTACTGTGGTTTGGCTCACAGCCAATGCACTGAGTATTCTTATTTTTCAATAGCATCAGTGTCATGTGATTTCCCAATTTACCTCTGGGTATCCACTAGCCAGGGCTAGTGCTTAAAAAATTGCCTAATCACAATGGTAGGGGAGAGATCATATAACTTAGTCCCATGCCTGAAGAGTGTAAACCAAAAATGAAATTCTAAGGCCTCCCCCACCCCAACCATCTGAATGGACTTCCTCCTCAGCCAGGGCTCTTTTACAGTTTAACCTGAAAGACAGTTTCAGGCCATTAGGGAAAGTGGGGGGTCAAACATGCCTCATTATACCTCTCTGGCATTAACATCAACACAAACCTTAAGTTCCATAAGAAACATTTACAACCTATTCTCTCTGAAGCCTACTATCTGAAGGCTTCCTCTGCAAATAAGAACTTTGGTCTCCATAACCTCTTATTGTAATGCCCAACCTTGTTTTTACTAACCCTGTTTTTAGACTCCCCCTTTTCCTTTAATCACCTAGCCTTGTTTCCACCTGCTTTGACTCTCCCTTAGCTAAGAGAGCCAGACAGACTCCATCTTGGCTCTTTCACTGGCAGCCCCTTCCTCAAGGACTTAACTTGTGCAAGCTGACTCCAAGCACATCCAAGAATGCAATTAACTGATAAGATACTGTGGCAAGCTATATCCGCAATTCCCAGGAATTCGTCTGATTGATAACGCCCAAAGCCCCGAGTCTATCACCTTGTAATAGTCTTAAAGCCCGTGCACCTGGAACTGTTTACTTTCCTGTAACCATTTATCCTTTTAACTTTTTGCCTACTTTATTTCTGTAAAATTGTTTTAACTAGACCCCCCTCCCCTTTCTAAACCAAAGTATAAAAGGAAATCTAGCCCCTTCTTCGGGGCCAAGAGAATTTTGAGCGTTAGCCATCTCTCGGTCGCCGGCTAATAAAGGACTCTTAATTCGTCTCAAAGTGTGGCGTTTTTCTAACTCGCTCGGGTATAACATTATCTTAACCCAGACATTCTTTTCTGTTGATCTTAGGTCTTTAGATAAACTCAATCAATTGTCAACCAGAAAATTTTTCAATCCACCTATAAGCTGGAAGCCCCCACTTCAAGTTGTCCCCCCCTTTATGGACCAAACCAATGTATTTCTTAAATGTATTTGATTAAAGTCTCATGTCTCCCTAAAATGTATAAAACCAAGCTGCACCCCGACCACCTTGGGCACATGTTCTCAGGACTTCCTGAGGGCTGTGTCAGGGGCCATGGTCACTAATATTTGGCTTGGAATAAGTCTTTTCGAATATTTTGCAGAATTTGACTCTTTTTATCAATAAGAGGTTAATAATTTCATGTTACTTTATTTTTCCTCCTCTATCTTTATTTATTTTTTATAACTTTTATGTTAATTTCAGGAGTACATGTGCAGGTTTGTTACATAGGTAAACTTGTGTCATGGGGGTTTGTTGTACATATTATTTCATCACCCAGGTATTAAGCCTAATACCCATTAGCTATTTTTCCTGATTCTCTCCCTTCTCCCACCCTCCACCCTTCAATAGGCACTAGTGTGTGTTGTCCTCTGTGTCCATGTGTTCTCATCATTTAGTTCTCATTTATAAGTTAGTACATGTAGTATTTGGTTTTCCGCTTCTGTGTTAGTTTGCTAAGGATAATAGCCTCCATCCATCCACATGGACACAATCCCATTCTTTTTTTTTATGGCTAAATAGTATTCCATGGTGTATATGTACCATTTTTTTTAATCCAGTCTACCATTGATGGACATTTATGTTGATTCCATGTCTTTGCTATTGTGAATAGTGCTGTAATGAACATGCATGTGTGTGTGTCCTTACAGTAGAATGATTTATATTTCTTTGAGTACATAACCAGTAATGGGATTGCTGGGTCAAATGGTATTTCTGTTTTTAGGTCTTTGAGGAATTGCCGCACTGTCCTCTACCATGGTTCAACTAATTTACCTGCACACCAATGATGTATAAGTGTTTATTTTTCTCCACAACCTCACCAGCATTTGTTACTTTTTGCCTTTTATTAATAGCCATTTTGACTGGTGTGAGATGATATCTCATTGTGGTTTTAATTAGCATTTCTCTAATGCTCAGTGATGTTAATCTTTTTTTTCATATGCTTGTTGGCCACATGTAAGTCTTTTTTTGAAAGCTGCCTATTCATGTTTTTTGCCCACTTTTTAATGGGGTTGTGTGTTTTTTCTTGTAAATTTGTTTATGCTTTTTTTTTTTTTTTCCGGAGTCTCATTCTGTCACCCAGGCTGGAGTGCAGTGGTGCAATCTCGGCTCAGCTCACTGCAACCCCCACCTCCCGGGTTCAACCGATTCTCTGCCTCAGCCTCCCGAGTAGCTGGGACTACAGGCGCACGCTACCACACCCAGCTAATTTTTGTATTTTTAGTAGAGACGGGGTTTCACCATATTGGCCAGGCCGGCCTCGAACTCCTGACCTTGTGATCCACCCACCTCGGCTTCCCAAAGTGCTGGGATTACAGGCGTGAACCACCACGTCCAGCCGTTTATGTTTCTTATAGATGCTGGATATTAGATCTTTGTCAGATGCATAGTTTACAAATATTTTCTTTCATTCTGTTCACTTTGTTGATAGTTTCTTTTACTTTGCAGAAGCTCTTTATTTCAATTAAATCCCATTAGTCAATTTTTACTTTTGTTGCAATTGCTTTTGACATCTTCATAATGAAATCTTTGCCCGTTGCTATGTCCAGGATGGTATTGTCTAGGTTGTCTGGTCCAGTGATTTTATTGTTTTGGATTTTACATTTAAGTCTTTAATCCATCTAGAGTTAGTTTTTGTATATGGTGTAAGAAAGGGGTACATTTTTAATCTTCTGCATCTGGCTAGCCAGTTACTTCAGCACCACTTATTGAATAGGAAGTCCTTTCCCCATTGCTTTTTTTGGTCAGGTTTGTCAAAGAGCAGACAGTTAGTTGTAGGTATATGGCTTATGGTCTATTTCTGGGTTCTCTGTTCTGTTTCATTGCTCTATGTGTCTGTTTTTCTACCAGTACCATGATGATTTGGTTACTGTAGCCCTGTAGTATCATTTGAAGTCAGGTAGCATGATGCCTCCAGCTTTGTTCTTTTTGCTTAAGATTGCCTTGGTTATTCGGTCTCTTGTTTGGTTCCATAAGAATTTTTAAATAGTCTTTTTTTTTTTTTTTTTTTTTTAGTTCTGTGAAGAATGTCGTTGGTAGTTTAATAGAAATAACACTGAATCTATAAATTGCTTTGGGCAGTATTGCCCTTTTAATGATATTGATTCTTCCTATACATGAGCATGAGATGTTTTTGAATTTATTTCATCCCTGTTTTCTTTGAGCAGTGTTTTGTGGTTCTACTTGTAGAGATCTTTTCCCTTTCTGGTTAGCTGTATTTCTAGGTATTGTTTATTTGTGTCAATTGTGAATGGGATTGTGTTCCTGATTTGGCTTTCAGAGTGCAGATTGACTGTTGTTGGTGTATAGGAATGCTAGTGATTTCTGCATATTGATTTTGTATCCTGAGACTCTGCTGAAGTTGTTTATCAGCTTAAGGAGCTTTTGGGCCGGGACTATGGGATTTTCTACATATAGGATCATGTCATTTGCAAACAGGGATAGTTTGACTTCCTCTCTTCCTATTTAGATGCTCTTTATGTTTTTGTCTTGCGTAATTGCGCTGGCCAGGACTTTTATTACTACATTGAGTAGGAATGGTGAGAGGGAATTCTTGTCTTGTGCTTGTTTTCAAGGAGAATGCTTCCCAGCTTTTGCCCATTCAGTGTGATGCTGGCTGTGGCCTTGTCATAGACGGCTCTAATTATTTTGAGGTGTATTTCTTCAACACGTAATTTATTGAGAGTTTTTAACATGAAGAAGTGTTGAATTTTACAGAACACCTTTTCTGCATCTATTGAGATAATCATGTGGTTTTTGTTTTTTGTTCTGTTTTCATGTTAGTTTCAATGCAACCATGAAGCAAAGAAGTTAACTGAATGTACATACATCTAGTCAATATATAATTTATTGAGGATCTGTTATTTGCCAGGTAGGCTTAAACAATAAACAAGACAAAGACCTTACCATCATGGTTTTTACAGACTCTGGGACAAGTAAATAGAAAATGACACAGCAGTATGATAGGTGAGTCTTCTGATGGAGGGAGAGATGAGTGAGGTTTACCTACCTAAACTAGCCTGGGTCACGGAGGAGCAGTGATCAGGTTAACCTTTAGAGGACTCAATAATTTCAAACCCAAATTAATTTCCTGATTCACGGTGAAATCAAGAGAAACTTTTTCCACCAAACCATGCTCTGTGATATTGATAACAATGACTAATATTTATATAGCACTTTCTATGTGCCAAGCCCTGGTTTCTAAGTGAAACCCACAAACTGTGCAGTACTATCATTATTGTCTTCCAATTTACAGATAGGGAAACTGAGTGCCAAAATTTAAATAATCTCCTGGAAGCATTTATTAACAAATGATAGAGCCAGGATTTGAACGCAGGTAAACTCATTTCGGGGCTACACTTTTAACCATGTCATAACTGCTCACAAGGAAATTTAGGATTGAAATAGTATGAAAATGCCACCATGTAGCTTCTTGCTATTATTTTAACCTCATATACATGCTCACAAATTGTACCCAGTAGGACAGAATCTTCAAGGCTAACAATTTTAGCTTTCGAACAATGGATTTGCTTTCAGAAAACTTCATGTAGTACTGATAAAATACACTGCACCATTTAAAATGTAACATTTAAAGAGACAGTGTATATATATTGGGATCTAATTACAAAATAGGTCAAGATGATGAAACCTCTACAATTCAGGTGTTTCCCCCAGTTTTGAATCCTCAGAACCACAATTTTGGCAACGCATTAGGCTCTGGGAAACACATAATCACAAACCAGGATCATCATGTCACTCCTGCCTTTATCCATAACCTGCCTCTCCTGGATTCTCCATAATATTAAATGGCAACACCAACCACCCAGTTACCTCAACTATAAACAAAGCTAGGAGTAAAGGTAAGCTCCTTTTCTCCCTTATACTCCACATTCAGTAAGTAACCAAATCCTTTTAACACTACCACTTTTTAATATCAAGCCTGCGTTGTTTCTCATCTGAACGTTAGTACCCTAGATCCACCCCACATTCCACATTAAATTCAGAATCATCATAATAACCACCATTTATTCAGTTCTTACTATATACTGGACACTGTGTTAAGAATACTATATGCATTATCTTATTTAGTCCTCCCAAAATCTCAGGATTTGGGTACTATTGTTATGCCATTTTTCAGATTAAGAAACAAGCTCAGAGAGGTTGTTTGCTAAAAATGACATGACTAATAATTGGCAGATTTATGACTCAAAACAAATCTGACTCCAGTGTCCATGTTTTTAACCACTATGTCATACTGGCTCCAAATATTTTTCTAAAATACAGAGATTTTTTTTTTCCTGTTACTCTCTTAAAAATTTTAAATCACTTCCCACTGGCTTTAGGACAAAAATCAAAACTCCTTAAAATTACATATAACATTTATCATGAACCTACTCTTCAACTCACATTTCCCATCCTAATCCCCAACTCCTGTGAAATGTATGCTATTGTCATGCCTAAATTCTTGCTATTTCTCAAACATACCGGACAATTTTAGGCTTCTATTTGCTAATGCCTTGTCCTCTGCCTCTAGTTCCCTTCACCTTTTCTCCAACTGGAAAATTCCAACTCATATGTTAAGATTTGGGTAAAATACAATCTTCTCTGTGTTGTTTCATATGATTACCCACACATGGAGTTGTTCCTTCAAATTCATTTTATGAAAAGGAATGTATATAGACCCACACAATAGTGCTTCTAATGTTATATTGTAACTACTTGCAATTAGGCCTCCACTTAACACACACAGAGAAGTTTGAACTTACATACTCTTACATGCCTTTGAACATCTTAAAATCAGAAACCATGTCTAATTCATGTCTGTGTCCTCATAACCTAGAAACATTACTAACAGATGTAGGTGTTCAATAAATGTTAAATGAATGATACACACAATAGATGCTACATAAGGTTCTTTTTTTTTTTTTTTTTTTTGGCCCTTGAGAATTCTGGAAGTCTTCTTGACTAGCTTAAACTAAAAGCAAAGGGTTCTGTTGCATATTTCATATATACTATACCAGAACTCATTGTTACAATTCTAGTGACCAAATGTATATAGCTTCTAGGCTCCAACTGTAAATGTATACATTGACAAATTCTAATGTTATTTTAATCTACTCGGTGCACAGAAACACCTTTATATGTGCATGTGTTATTATGATAGCCCTCTTCCTCACTTGAGCAGAATTTTATTTTTGTCCCTTACCATGCTCCAACTCCTATCTCTGCTCTTCTAGATATACCCACAGGTATCTGCAGGCTGTGCCACTCTCCTGAATACAGTAAACTTGGCAGTGGAACAGACATGACTGGCCTGTGCTTAAAGGCAGAAGGGCTATGGAATGCCGGGATCTTCACCACTTACCCTAAACTCCACAATGCTCTTCAATTATCTCATGGGCTTTCTTGTTTTTCTCTAGGGTACTGGAACCTGGAGAGAAATTCCACCATGACTTCCAACAACATATCTGGTTGCTATCTGGCTATGTTTCTGTCAGCCTTCTATGGGGTTGAATTGTTTTTGTATCATCCTTGAGCTGAACTTCTGACACAATCCTGACTTCTAACATTCGGTTTAACCAATCTATATGGCATACCCAAAATCATGATTTGTGGCATAACTTGGTTTCATAAGTTGTCAGAATCATAATAGAGTCATTTATGTTTTTTTAAAAAAATACAAAAACAAACTAACAAACTAAGCCCATCATATAGAGCCAAGGAAGACCATAAAGGGATGGCTATCATGCCCAAATACCTGCTAACAAAAACTATTACAAAAGACTCTGCAAAAGCCAAAACACTGCACAAAGACCAGCACAAATTTAAAAAGAAAATACTTCTGAAATGATATCTGCCCAGCATCTGCCTGTTTAACCTCAGGCTAGTGCCACTCTTGTTATTGATCCTTGTAACCAAGGATAGTTATCTCAAAGCAATCATATAATCTCCATTTTTAAAAAAATAAACCCACTTGCTTCCTTTACCTCCCTGAAAACTCATATGGTTTTATTGTGGAATGCAAATTCTCACTGCACTATATTCCCCTAAAAGTATTATTTTATTTTGGAGAACATCTCTCTGTTTGTTATTTAGGATGACAGTTTTGGATCGCTCTTGATTGGCCTAGGATTTTTTCCAATGTGTTCTACTTTAGGTGGACACAGAACTTCTGGCCTCTTTTTTGTGGAACGTAGCAGTTTATTGTACATATTTCAATGAGTTTAACCTAGCAGCTTCCCTCAACCCCAAAGTACTGTGACACCTGTTGGGGACAAATTGTGGAATTCATGTGTTTTGAAATCTCCTTGTTGACAGATTAATTATCTTAGATTGGGTTATCTCTTGTCTTCCCCAGCCTTACCCAAACTGTCTGTGATCACTCTCTGTACTGACCAGCATTACTGGAACCAGTAAGGACCCATCCAAAAAAAAATAGTAGAAGTTTCCTTCTCATTAACAAGAAGGATGATTTGGGGCTAGTAATAGTTTATGGTTGATATGGTTTGGCTGTGTCCCCACCCAAATCTTAACTTGAATTGTATCTCCCAGAATTCCCACGTGTTGAGAGAGGGGCCCAGGAGGAGGCAATTGAATCATGGGGGCTGGTCTTTCCCTGCTGTTCTAGTGATAGTGAATAAGTCTCACGAGATCTGATGGGTTTATCAGGGGTTTCTGCTTTTGCTTCTTCCACATTTTTCTCTTGCTGCCACCATGTAAGAAGTGTCTTTTGCCTCCCACCATGATTCTGAGGCCACCCCAGCCATGTGGAACTTTAAGTCCAATTAAACCTCTTTTTGTTCCAGTTTCAGGTATGTCTTTATCAACAACATGAAAATGAACTAATACAGTAAACTGGTACCAGAAGAGTGAGGTGTTGCTGAAAACATATCGGAAAATGTGGAAGCAACTTTGGAAGTGGGTAACAGGCAGAGGTTGGAAGAGTTTGGAGGGCTCAGAAGAAGACAGAAATGTTTGGGAAAGTTTGGAACTTTTTAGAGACTTGTTGAGTGGCTTTGCCCAAAATACTGATAGCAATATGGACATTAAGGTCCAGGCTGAGGTGGTCTCAGATGCAGATGAGGAACTTGTTGGGAACTGGAGCAAAGGTGACTCCTGTTACATTTTAGCAAAGAGACTGGTGGCATTTTGCCCCTGCTCTAGAGATTTGTGGAACTTTAACCTTGAGAGAGATGATTTAGGGTATTTGGTGGAAGAAATTTCTAAGCAGGAAAGTATTCAAGAGGTGACTTGGGTACTACTAAAGGCATTCAGTTTTATAAGGGAAGCAGAGCATAAAAGTTCAGAAAAATTGCAGCCTGACAATGTGATAGAAAAGAAAAAAACATTTTCTGGGGAGAAATTCAAGCTGGCTGCAGAAATTTGCATAAGTAGCAAGGAGCCTAATGTTAATCCCCAAGACCACAGGGAAAATGCCTCTATGTCAGAGACCTCCAGGCCATGTCAGAGACCATCACAGACCCAAAGGCCCAGGAGGAAAAAGTGGTTTTCTGGGCCAAGCCCAGGGTCCCTGTGCTGTATGCAGCCTAAGGACTTGGTACTTTGTGTCACAGCCTCTCCAGCCATGGCTGAAAGGGGCCAATGTAGAGCTCGGGCTGTGGCTTCAGAGGGTGAAGCCCCAAGCCTTGGCAGCTTCCACATGTTGTTGAGTCTGTGGGTGTACAGAAGTCAAGAATTGAGATTTGGGAACCTCTGCTTAGATTTCAGAAGATGTATGGAAACACCTCAATGCCCAGGCAAAACTAGCTTGCTTTTGATTTTACAGGCTCATAGGCATAAGGGACTTGCCTTGTCTCAGATGAGACTTTGGACTGTGGACTTTTGGGTTAATGCTGAAATGAGTTAAGACTTCGGGGGACTGTTGGGAAGGCATGACTGATTTTGAAATGTGAGGACATGAGATTTGGAGGGGCCAGGGGCAGAATGATATTGTTTTACTGTGTCTCCACCCACATCTCAACTCGAATTTTATCTCTCAGAATTCTCATGTATTGTGGGAGGGACCCCAGAGGAGGTAATTGAATCATGGGGGCTGGTTTTTCCTTTGGTATTCTTGTGATAGTGAATAAGTTTCACAAGATCTGATGGGTTTATTGGGGGTTTCCACTTTTGCTTCTTCCTCAGTTTTCTCTTGCCGCTGCCATTTAAGAAGTGCCTTTCGCCTCCTGCCATGATTCTGAGGCCACCCCAGCCATGTGGAACTGTAAGTCCAATTAAACGTCTGTTTGTTCCCAGTTTTGGGTATGTCTTTATCAGCACCGTGAAAAAATAACTAATACAATGGTTGTCTGGAACCCAGTGCCAGAAGAGTATGTAGAACCTGACAGCCTTGTAGATAATTGGGCTGTAGCCGCCCACCTTAACCCCCTTCCCTCCCATATGGGGCTAAGAATCATGAACTGGAGGCTTAAGCTCTGAACTCTACCTAATGAGTTAGGAAACTGGAATATAGTATACTTATCCCATTCCTGACATCTTTCTTTTTCCTGTGTGTAGTTTTCCTCACTTAGAGGCCAGCCCTATGGCCTGGCTGGTGGGTTTAGGGGAATTCCAAGGCTTATCAGGGATAGTGATGATGATGGTAATGGTAGTGGTGTATACAATTCTTGTGGTTATGGTAATGGTAGCCATGGCAATGATAGCAGTGACTATGGAGATGGTCATGATGGTGATGGAAGCATTTACTTAGGTTTTTTTTTTTTTTTTTTGTAAAATTTTTGGAAGACTATCTCCCTTGAGTAGAACTTTGTTTTACTTTCATCTTGTATGGAATTGCTGTCTCTGTCAAAGATCAATTTTTCCCATATAATGAGTACAGCTGCTTCTCACAAATAACAATAACATATTCTAAACTACTACTTTAGATCAGGCTTATCTCTAAGAGCGGCATATGCCTGGATTATACTTGAGTTTTTCCCACAATCCTTGGATTTTATTATCCCCCTATTGCCCAGTCTCCAGAGAGGAGGTTGGGGTCTCCTGCCCTTTTCTCAGTTTCAGAGTCTCTAAATCATACCAGCCATACTCTTGGACCACAGTGCAATAATAATAAAGCTCAATATGGGAAGAAAATTGCTCAAAACCATGCAACTAAATGGAAATTAAACAGCCTGCTCATGAATGACTTTTGGTTAAATAACAAAATTAAGATATAAATCAATAAATTCTTTGAAACTAATGAAACAAAGACACAGCATACTGGAATCTATGAAACACAGCTAACACAGTGTTAAGCAGGAAATTCTTAGTACTAAATGTCTACATCAAAAAGTTACAGAGGTCTCAAATTACCAACATAACATCACAACTAGAGAAACAAGAGCAAACCAACCCTAAAGGTAGCAGAAGACAAGAAATTAACAAAATTATAGCTGAACTGAAGGAAATTGAGATGTGAAAACCATACAAAAGAACAACTACTCGAGGAGTTTGTCTTTGAAAATAATTAATAAGATAGATAGGTAGCTAAAAAGAAAAAAGAGAGAAGATCCAATTAAACACAATCAGAAATGACAAAGGGGATGTTACCACTGACCCCACAGAAATACAGAAAAACCCTCAGACACTACTACTATAAATACTTCTATGCACACAAACTAGAAAACATAGAAGAAATGGATAAATTGCTGGGATAATATAACTCTCCAAGTTTTAACCAGAAAGATTATTTAGTCCCTGAACAGACCAGTAATGAATTACAAAATTCAACCACTAATAAAAAGCCTGCCAACCAGAAAATTCTAGGACCAAGTGGATTCACAGCCAAATTCTACCAGATCCATAAAGAAGAGCTGGTACAATTCCTACTGAAACTATCCCTTAAAATTGTGGAGCAGGAACTCTTCTCTAACTTATTCCATGAGGCCAGTTCATAGCAAAACTATGCTATAATCCTGAGAGCAAAACCTGGCAGAGACACAACAGAAAAAGAAAACTTCAAGCCAGTACGCTTGATGAACACTGATGCAAAAATACTCAGCAAAATACTAATAAACAGAATCCAACAAGACATCAAAAAGATAATCCACCATGGTAAACTAGGCTTTAACCCTGGGATGCAAGATTGGTTCAACATACACAAACTAATAAATGTGATTCACAACATGAACAGAACAAAAAACAAAAACCACGTGATTATCTCAATAGATGCAGAAAAAGGCTTTCGATAAAATTCAATATCCTTCTATATTAAAAACCCATAAAAAACTAGGCATTGAAGGAACATACCTCAAAATAACAAGAGCCGTGTATGACAAACCCACAGCCACCATCATACTGGGTGGACAAAAGTTGGAAGCATTCCTTTTGAAAACTTAAACAATATAAGTATGTCCTCCCTCATCACTCCTATTCAACATAGTACTGGGTGTCCTGACCAGAGCAATCAGGCAAGAAAAAGAAATGAAAGGCACCCAAACAGGAAGAGAGGAAGTCAACATATCCCTGTTTGCAGACAATAGGATTCTGTACCTAGAAAATACCTAGTCTCGGCCCGAAAGCTCCATGATCTGATAAACAACTTCAGAAAAGTTTCATGATACAAAATCAATGTACAAAAATAATATCTATACACACACACACATCATCAAAGATGGGAGCCAAATCAATAGTGTAATCCCATTCATAGTAGCCACAAAAAGAATAAAATACCTAGGAATTCAGCTAACCAGGTAGATGAAAGATCTCTACTAATGAGACTTATAAAACACTACTCAAATAAATCATAGATGACAGAAACAAATGGAAAAACATTCCATGTTCATGGATGGAAAAAATCAATATTGATAAAATGGCAACACTGCCCAAAGCAATTTACATATTCAATGCTGTATTTATCAAACTGCCAATGATGTTATTCACAGAACTAGAAAATAACTATTTTAAAATTCATATGGAACCAAAAAAGAGCCCAAACAATCAAGGCAATCCTAAACAAAAAGAACAAAGCTAGAGGCATCACATTACCCAACTTCAAACTATACTACAAGGCTACAGTAATCAAAATAGCACGGCACTAGTACAGACACAGACACATAGACCAAAGGAACAGAATGGAGAGCTCAGAAATAATGCCACACACCTAAAACCATCTGACCTTCGACAGAGCAACTCAAGATGGATTAAAGAGTTGTAAAACCTAAAACTATAAACACTTCTGAAGACAACCTAGACAACACCATGCTGGACATAGGAATGGGCAAATATTTCATGACAAAGATGCCAAAGGGAATTGCAACAAAAGCAAAAATTGACAAAGGGTATCTAATTAAACTTAAGAGCTTCTGTGCAGCAAAATAAACTATCAAGAGAGTAAACAGGCAACCTATAGAATGGTAGAAAATATTTGCAATATTTGCATCTGACAAATGTCTAATATCCAGAATTTATTAGGAACTTAAACCAATTAAGAAGCAAAAAACAACCCCATTAAAAAACAGGCAAATGACATGAACATACACTTTTCAAAAGAAGACATATACACAGCCAACAAGCATATGAAAAAATTATCAGCATCACTAAAAATTAGAGAAATGAAAATCAAAACCACAATGTGATACCATCTCACACCAGTCTGAATGACTATTATTTTAAAAAATCAAAGAAGAACAGATGCTGGCAAGTTTGTTGAGAAAAGGGAATTCTTACACACTGCTGGTGGGAATGTAAATTAGTTCAGCCATTGTGGAAAGCAGATTGGAAATTTCTCAAAGAACTTAAAACACAACTACCACCCTACCCAGCAATCCCATTACGGGGTACATAGGCAAAGGAAAATAAGTAATACTACCAAAAAGACACATGCATGCGTATGTTCATCACAGCACTATTCACAATAGCAAAGACATTGAATCAACCTAATTGCCATCAATGGTAAACTGGTTAAAGAAAATGTGGTACATATACACCATGGAATACTACACAGCCATAAAAAAGAACAAAATCATGCTCTTTGCAGGAATATGGATGGGGCTGGAGGCCATTATCCTAAGCAAACCAAAGCAGGAAAACAAAGCCAAATATCACATATTCTCACTTATAAGTGGGAGCTAAACACTTTGTGCATTTGGACACAAAGAAGGGAACAACAGGCACCAGGGCCTACTTAAGGGTGGAAGGAAGGGAGGAGGATGAGGACCAACAAACTACCTATCATCAGGTACTATGCTTATTACCTGGGTGATGAGATACTCTGTACATCAAACTTCTGTTACACACAATTTACCTATATAACAAACCTGCACATGCACCCCTGAACCTAAAATAAAAGTTTAAAAAATGATGGTAACTAGTATTGATGAAGGCCATGTCATACAATAATGATAGGAAGTTAAACTGTTGCATTGCTAAAGAATATTTGTTAGTGGCATTAAGAAGCAATAAAAATATGAATGCCTTTTTCAGGGTATTTTTACAATATTCATTCACAATAACTGAAAAGTTACTTTTAAAAATTATGGTTAGAATATCACATCATCACTAGAACTCATGTTGAAAAAGGATAAGGATATGGAAATTATTTTATTTTATATGTTAATAAATCAACATTGAAACCAATTTACTTAAGTAAAATATATTCATAAAAGTCTAATATATGGAAAGTTTATCTCTGTATTATTAGATGTGGGCCTTTTATGTTATTCTGAGTGCTAACATATTTTCCAAATTTTCTGAAGAATGTATTATTTTTGTAATCTGATGGGAGAAAATGCTATTTGCAAATAACAATTGATTATTTGACAATGGTAGGAAGTTCATGAAGAGAGAGATTATATCTGGGTTACTCTGTAACATTGGGGAAGCCACTTAACCTTACTGAACCTGTTTCTTTTTTCTTTCTGAAAAATTAAGGAAATCTATCCACTGACATCACAAAGATTTTCCAAGATGAAACAATATGGTATGTGAAAAAAATTAATTTGAATTTCAGGAAAACAAAAACATTGTTAATGTTTACCAAATATTGCATGATGAAATACCCAATCATATTACTTAATGAGTTATATTCAGCAAAATAATTTTAAAAGCAAAATTTCAAAATCTATTAAATATTTATTGTAAAAATTTAATATACAATAAGAAATACAGTTACATTTAAGTATCTTTGATACAATTTGGGGCGGTGATCAGCGAAAATAAGCATTTGGTAACAAGGCCGCAAAATGATTTTGCATGGATATGTTTGATCTGTATTTAAAGAAAAACATTTAACTAAGCACTTTCTGAAATCCACATGGATTCGATAGAATGTTTAAAATGTGATAATGTTTAGTTAGGCAAAGTTACAACTAAAGCAGGTGTTATCTTAAAGGTATTATTAAAAACAGCCAAATTCCAAACCATCTAAGGACCACTCATTTGAAAGATCGAGAACATAGAGAACAAGTTTTACTGATTTCTCAAATGTCCCTCAATAAATTTCCCTTTGAAATTTCTTGGCAGTTCTTATCAATGCTACACTTGATTCATTCTTTTGTTACACAAATCTTTGTTGAGCTGATATTTAAAATATTACTACATCATAAGCACATGTGTAGAGTTCCTTTTCTTATGGATATTATAGTGTAGAGAGACAAAAAATAACTCAACTAGTGAATATTGGCATAAAATGGAAAAGGTCTTGAAGAAACTGTAAAGGTAAGTAAAAGGGAGAATGAAGAGTGTGTGTGTGTGTGTGTGTGTGTGTGTGTGTGTGTGTGTGTGTATTTTCCAAAACACTTAAGAAGTCTTATTGAAGATGATAAAACACAGAAACATGAGATTTTCATTTTAAACTAAAATTATCAGTATCTTCCAGAACTTTCCTAGAACTGAGCCATTATTGTCACTATTGAAAAACAAAGCCAAGTTCCAAATCCAAAAGAATCAATGAACTTGATAGTAAACATTCTTCTCATGGCTCTAGTCCCCACCTTAGTTTTTTTTCTAAATTTTACATTTCTACCTTTTCAAGAATGAGTAGTAGTGTTCTTAAGTGATTACATTTATGAGAACGGCACTTTATTCATATTAATTACAAAAAACCACCCAAAAAACAAAAACCACATGCACCCTAGTCAAATTCACACAAAATACACATTTGTTCATTAAAGCTCATCTGCTTTGGATAATTTTTTCTCTTCACACATTAGCATCATAAGCCAAAGTTTGATCCATACTGCAAAAGCAGAACAAAATGAAAATCCCTGTTAACTCCCTAGGGAAATCCTAAGGTAAAAGCAAAAGCAAAAAACCTATGCTACAAAAGAAAAACAAAAAGCAGAAGCATTTGGACAGTGGAGCCAGCTCAGATGAATAAGTACCACAAGGATGAAGAAAAAAAAATTATTGTACAAACATATGCAAGAAGATAAAGTCCAGAGAAGCAGCCAAGATGGCTGAATAGGAACAGCTCTGGTCTACAGCTCCCAGCATGAGCAACACAGAAGACGGGTGATTTCAGCATTTCCATCTGAGATACCAGGTTCATCTCACTAGGGAGTGCCAGACAGTGGGCACAGGACAGTGGGTGCAGTGCACCGTGCATGAGCCAAAGCAGTGGGAGGCATTGCCTCACTCGGGAAGCACAAGGGGTCAGGGAGTTCCCTTTCCTAGTCAAAGAAAGGGGTGACAGACGGCACCTGGAAAATCGGGTCACTCCCGCCCTAATACTGTGCTTTTCCGACGGGCTTAAAAAACGGCGCACCAGGAGATTATATCCCACACCTGGCTGGGAGGGTCCTACGCCCATGGAGTCTCACTGATTGCTAGCACAGCAGTCTGAGATCAAACTGCAAGGCGGCAGCGAGGCTGGGGAAGGGGCACCCGCCATCGCCCTGGCTTGCTTAGGTAAACAAAGCAGCCGGGAAGTTCGAACTGGGTGGAGCCCACCACAGCTCAAGGAGGCCTGCCTGCCTCTGTAGTCTCCACCTCTGGGGGCAGGACACAGACAAACAAAAAGACAGCAGTAACCTCTGCAGACTTAAATGTCCCTGTTTGACAGCTTTGAAGAGAGTAGTGGTTCTCCCAGCATGCAGCTGGAGATCTGAGAATGGGCAGACTGCCTCCTCAAGTGGGTCCCTGATCCCTGACCCCGAGCAGCCTAACTGGGAGGCACCCCCCAGTAGGGGAAGACTGACACTTCACACAGGCGGGTACTCCTCTGAGACAAAACTTCCAAAGGAACAATCAGACAGCAGCATTCGCCATTCACGAAAATCCGCTGTTCTGAAGCCACCGCTGCTGTTACCCAGGAAAACAGGGTCTGGAGTGGACCTCTAGCAAACTCCAACAGACCTGCAGCTGAGGGTCCTGTCTGTTAGAAGGAAAACTAACAAACAGAAAGGACATCCACACCAAAAACCCACCTGTATGTCACCATCATCAAAGATCAAAAGTAGATAAAACCACAAAGATGGGGGAAAAACAGAGAAGAAAAACTGGAAACTCTAAAAAGCAGAGTGCATCTCCTCCTCCAAAGGAATGCAGTTCCTCACCAGCAACGGAACAAAGCTGGATGGAGAATGACTTTGACGAGTTGAGAGAAGAAGGCTTCAGACGATCAAACAACTCCGAGCGACAGGAGGAAATTCAAACCAAAGGCAAAGAAGTTGAAAACTTTGAAAAAAATTTAGACGAATGTATAACTAGAATAACCAATACAGAGAAGTGTTTAAAGGAGCTGATGGAGCTGAAAACCAAGGCTTGAGAACTACATGAAGAATGCAGAAGCCTCAGGAGCCAATGTGATCAACTGGAAGAAAGGGCATCAGTGATGGAAGATGAAATGAATGAAACGAAGCAAGAAGGGAATTTTAGAGAAAAAAGAATAAAAAGAAACGAAAAAAGCCTCCAAGAAATATGGGACTATGGGAAAAGACCAAATCTACGTCTGATTGGTGTACCCGAAAATGATGGGGAGAATGGAACCAAGTTGGAAAACACTCTGCAGGATATTATCCAGGAGAACTTCCCCAGTCTAGCAAGGCAGGCCAACATTCAGATTCAGGAAATGCAGAGAACGCCACAAAGATACTCCTCGAGGAGAGCAACTCCAAGAAACATAATTGTCAGATTCACCAAAGTTGAAATGAAGGAAAAAATGTTAAGGGCAGCCAGAGAGAAAGGTCGGGTTACCCACAAAGGGAAGCCCATCAGACTAACAGCTAATCTCTCAGCAGAATCTCTACAAGCCAGAAGAGAGTGGGGGCCAATATTCAACATTCTTAAAGAAAAGAATTTTCAACCCAGAATTTCATATCCAACCAAACTAAGCTTCATAAGTGAAGGAGAAATAAAATCCTTTACAGACAAGCAAATGCTGAGAGATTTTGTCACCACCAGGCCTGCCCTAAAAGAGCTCCTGAAGGAAGCACTAAACATGGAAAGGAACAACCGGTAGCAGCCACTGCAAAATCATGCCAAATTGTAAAGACCATTGAGGCTAGGAAGAAACTGCATCAACCAACGAGCAAAATAACCAGCTAACATCAAAATGACAGGATCAAATTCACACATCACAATATTAACTTTAAATTTAAATGGACTAAATGCTCCAATTAAAAGACCCAGACTTGCAAATTGGATAAGAGTGAAGACCCATCCGTGTGCTGTATTCAGGAAACTCATCTCCTGTGCAGAGACACACATAGGCTCAAAATAAAAGGATGGAGGGAGATCTACCAAGCAAATGGAAAACAAAAAAAGGCACGGGTTGCAATCCTAGTCTCGGATAAAACAGACTTTAAACCAACAAAGATCAAAAGAGACAAAGAAGGCCGTTACATAATGGTAAAGGGCTCAATTCAACAAGAAGAGCTAACTATCTTAAATATATATGTACCCAATACAGGAGCACCCAGTTTCATAAAGCAAGTCCTGAGTGACCTATAAAGAGACTTAGACTCCCAAAAAATAATAATGGGAGACTTAACACCCCACTGTCAACATTAGACAGATCAACGAGACAGAAGGTTAACAAGGATACTCAGGAATTGAACTCAGCTCTGCACCAAGTGGACCTAATAGACATCTACAGAACTCTCCACCCCAAATCAACAGAATATACATTTTTTCAGCATCACACCACACCTGTTCCAAAATTGACCACATAGTTGGGAGTAAATCTCTCCTCAGCAAATGTAAAAGAATAGAAATTGTAACAAACTGTCTCTCAGACAACAGTGCAATCAAACTAGAACTCAGGATTCAGAAACTCACTCAAAGCTGCTCAACTACATGGAAACTGAACAACCTGCTCCTGAATGACTGCTGGGTATGTAACAAAATGAAGGAAGAAATAAAGATGTTCTTTGAAACCAACGAGAACGAAGACACAGCATACCACAATCTCTGGGACACATTCAAAGCAGTGTGTAGAGGGAAATTTATAGGACTAAATGCCCACAAGAGAAAGCAGGAAAGATCCAAAATTGACACCCTAAAATCACAATTAAAAGAACTAGAAAAGCAAGAGCAAACACATTCAAAAGCTAGCAGAAGGCAAGAAATAACTAAAATCAGAGCAGAACTGAAGGAAATAGAGACACAAAAAACCCTTCAAAAAATTAACGAATCCAGGAGCTGGTTTTTGGAAAGGATCAACAAAATTGATAGACCTCTAGCAAGACTAATAAAGAAGAAAAGAGAGAAGAATCAAATAGACGCAATAAAAAATGATAAAGGTGATATCACCACAGATGCCACAGAAATACAAACTACCATCAGAGAATACTACAAACACCTCTACGCAAATAAACTAGAAAATCTAGAAGAAATGGATAAATTCCTCGACACATACACCCTCCCAAGACTAAACCAGGAAGAAGTTGAATATGTCAATAGACCAATAGCAGGCTCTGAAATTGTGGCAATAATCAATAGCTTACCAATCAAAAAGAGGACCAGATGGATTCACAGCCGAATTCTACCAGAGGTACAAGGTGGAACTGGTACCATTCCTTCTGAAACTATTCCAATCAATAGAAAAAGAGGGAATCCTCCATAACTCATTTGATGAGACCAGCATCATCCTGATACTAAAGCCTGGCAGAGACACAACCAAAAAAGAGAATTTTAGACCAATATCCTTGATGAACATTGATGTAAAAATCCTCAATAAAATACTGGCAAACTATATCCAGCAGCACATCAAAAAGCTTATCCACCATGATCAACTGGGCTTCATCCCTGGGATGCAAGGATGGTTCAATATATGCAAATCAATAAATGTAATCCAGCATATAAACAGAAACAAAGACAAAAACCACATGATTATCTCAATAGATGCAGAAAAGGCCTCTGACAAAATTCAACAACCCATCATGCTAAAAACTCTCAATAATTTAGGTATTTATGGGATGTATCTCAGAATAATAAGAGCTATCTATGACAAACCCACAGCCAATATCATACTGAATGGGCAAAAACTGGAAGCATTCCCTTTGAAAACTGGCACAAGACAGGGATGCCCTCTCTCATCACTCCTATTCAACATAGTGTTGGAAGTTCTGGCCAGGGCAATTAGGCAGGAGAAGGACATAAAGCATATTCAATTAGGAAAAGAGGAAGCCAAATTGTCCCTGTTTGCAGATGACATGATTGTATATCTAGAAAACCCCATTGTCTCAGCCCAAAATCTCCTTAAGCTGATAAGCAACTTCAGCAAAGTGTCAGGATACAAAATCAATGTACAAAAATCATAAGCATTCTTATACACCAATAACAGACAGAGAGCCAAATCATGAGTGAACTCCCATTCACAATTGCTTCAAAGGGAATAAAATACCTAGGAATCCAACTTACAAGGGACATGAAGGACCTCTTCAAGGAGAACTACAAACGACTGCTCAATGAAATAAAAGAGGATACAAACAAACGGAAGAACATTCCATGCTCATGGGAAGGAAGAATCAATATCATGAAAATGGCCATACTGCCCAAGGTAATTTATAGATTCAATGCCATCCCCATGAAGCTACTAATGACTTTCTTCACAGATTTGGAAAAAACTACTTTAAAATTCGTATGGAACCAAAAAAGGGCCCGCATCGCCAAGTCAATCCTAAGCCAAAAGAACAAAGCTGGAGGCATCATGCTACCTGACTTCAAACTATACTACAAGGCTACAGTAACCAAAACAGCATGGTACTGGTACCAAAACAGGGATATAGATCAATGGAACAGAACAGAGCCCTCAGAAAGAACACCACTTATCTACAACTATCTGATCTTTGACAAACCTGAGAAAAACAAGCAATGGGGAAAGGATTCCCTATTTAATAAATGGTGCTGGGAAAACTGGCTAGCCTTATGTAGAAAGCTGAAACTGGATCCCTTCCTTACACCTTATATAAAAATTAATTCAAGATGGATTAACGACTTAAAGGTTAGACCTAACGTTTTAGGTCTAAAACCATAAAAACCCTAGAAGAAAACCTAGGCATTACCATTCAGGACATAGGCATTGGGCAAGGACTTCATGTCTAAAACACCAAAAGCAATGGCAACAAAAGCTAAAATTGACAAATGGGATCTAATTAAACTAAAGAGCTTCTGCACAGCAAAAGAAACTACCATCAGAGTGAACAGGCAACCTACAAAATGGGAGAAAATTTTCACAATCTACTCATCTGACAAAGGGCTAATATCCAGAATCTACAATGAACTCAAACAAATTTACAAGAAAAAAACAACTCCATCAAAATGTGGGAGAAGGACATGAGCAGACACTTCTCAAAAGAAGACATTTATGCAGCCAAAAAACACATGAAAAAATACTCACCATCACTGGCCATCAGAGAAGTGCAAATCAAAACCACAATGAGATACCATCTCACACCAGTTAGAATGGCAATCATTAAAAAGTCAGGAAACAACAGGTGCTGGAGAGAATGTGGAGAAATAGGAACACTTTTACACTGTTGGTGGGACTGTAAACTAGTTCCACCATTGTGGAAGTCAGTGTGGTGATTCCTCAGGGATCTAGAACTAGAAATACCATTTGCCTCAGCCATCCTATTACTGGGTATATACCCAAAGGACTATAAATCATGCTGCTATAAAGACACATGCCCACGTATGTTTATTGCGGCACTATTCACAATAGCAAAGACTTAGAACCAACCCAAATGTCCAACAATGATAGACTGGGTTAAGAAAATGTGGCACGTATACACCATGGAACACTATGCAGCCATAAAAAATGATGAGTTCATGTCCTTTGTAGGGACATGGATGAAATTGGAAATCATCATTCTCAGTAAACTATCGCCAAGAACAAAAAACCAAACACCGCATGTTCTCACTCATAGGTGGGAAATGAACAATGAGAACACATGGACACAGGAAGGGGAACATCACACTCTGGGGAGTGTTGTGGGGTTGGGGGAGGGGGGATGGATAGCATTAGGAGATATACCTGATGTTAAATGATGAGTTAATGGGTGCAGCACACCAGCATGGCCCATGTATACATATGTAACTAACCTGCATATTGTGCACATGTACCCTAAAACTTAAAGTATAATAATAATAAAATAAAATTTAAGAAAAAGAAGATAGAGTCCAAAAAAGAACATAAATCATTAATTATCCTACAGAAATAATTATCATATCAGGTAACTCGACTCCTGAAATAAGCTGTAGTTGGATTTTATATTTATTTATTTATTTGTAAGTATATTTTTAAAATTTTACTTTAAGTTCTGGGATAAATGTGCACAACGTGCACGTTTGTTACGTAGGTATACATGTGCCATGGTGGTTTGCTGCACTTATCAACCCTTCATCTAGGTTTAAACCCTGCATTCATTGGGTATTTGTCCTAATGCTCTCCCTCCCCTTTCACTCCACCTCCCAGCAGGCCCCGTTGTTCAACTCCCACTTATGAGTGAGAACATGCTGTGTTTGGTTTTCTTTTCCTGTGTTAGTTTGCTGAGGATGATGTTTTCCAACTTTATCCATGTCCCTGCAAAGGACATGAACTCATTCTTTTTTATGGCTGCATAGTATTGCATGTTGTATACATGCCACATTTTCTTTATCCAGTCTATAATTAATGGGCATTTTGGTTGGTTCCAAGTCTTTACTAGTGTAAATAGTGCTACAGTAAACATACATGTGCATGTGTCTTTATAGTAGAATAATTTATAATCCTTCGAGTATATACCCAGTAATTGTTCCAGATCCTTGAGGAATCACCACACTGTCTTCCACAATGGTTGAACTAATTTACACTCCCACCAACAGTGTTCCTATTTCTCAGCATCCTCACCAGGATCTGTTGTTTCCCAACTTTCTAATGATCACCATTCTAACTGGCATGAGATGGTATCTCATTGTGGTTTTGATTTGCATCTCTCTAATGACCAGTGATGATGAGCTGTCCTTCAAATGTTTGTTGGCCACATAAATGTCTTCTTTTGAGGAGTGTCTGTTCATATGCTTCACCCACTTTTTGATGGGGTTGTTTGTCTTTTTCTTGTAAATTTGTTTGAGTTTTTTTTAGATTCTGGATATTAGACCTTTGTCAGATGGACAGATTCCAAAAATTTTCTCCCATTCTGTAGGTTCCCTGTTCAATCTGATGATAGTTTCTTTTGCTGAGCAGAAGCTCTTTAGTTGAATTAGATCCCATTTGTCAATTCTGGCTTTTTTGCAATTGCTTTTGGTGTTTTATTCATGAAGTTGTTGCCCATGCCTATGTCTTGAATGGTAGTGCCTAGGTTTTCTACTGTGGTTCTCATGGTTTTAGGTTTTACATGTAAGTCTTTAATCCATCTTGAGTTAATTATTGTATAAGATATAAGGAAGGGGTCCAGTTTCAGTTTTCTGCATATGGCTAGCCAGTTTTCCCAGCACCAGAAATAGGGAATCCTTTCCCCATTGCTTGTTTTTGTCAGGTTTTCAAAGATCAGATGGTAGTAGATGTGTGGTTTTATTTCTGAAACCTCTGTTCTGTTCCATTGGTCTATATATCTGTTTTGGTATCATTACCATGCTGTTTTGGTTACTGTAGCCTTGCAGTATAGTTTGAAGTCAGGTAGCATTGCCTCCAGCTTTGTTCTTTTTGCTTAGGATTGTCTTGGCTCTACAGGCTCTTTTTTGGTTCCATATGAAATTTAAAGTGTTTTTTTCCAGTTCTGTGAATAAAGTCAATGGTAGCTTGATTGAAATATCATTGAATGTATAAATTACTTTGGGCAGTATGGCCATTTTCACAATATTGATTCTTCCTATCCATGAGCATGGAATTTTTTTCCATTTGTTTGTGTCCTTTCTTACTTCTTGAGCAGTGGTTTGTAGTTCCCCTTGAAAAGATCCTTCACGCCCCTTGTAAGATGTATTTCTTGGTATTTTATTTTCTTTATAGCAATTGTGAATGGGAGTTCACTCATGATTTGGCTCTCTGCTTGTCTATTATTGGTGTATAGGAATGCTTGTGATTTTTGTACATTGATTTTGTATCCTGAGACTTTGCTGAAGCTGTTTATCAGCTTAAGGAGTTTTTGGGCTGAGACGATGGGGTTTTCTAAATATACAATCATGTCATCTGCAGACAGAGGCAATTTGACTTCCTCTCTTCCTGTTTGAATACCTTTATTTCTTTCTCTTTCTTGATAGCTCTTGCCAGAACTTCCAGAGCCTTTGGACTAATGGTGGAGTTTAGGTCATAGGGTCTTAGAGTAAACAGTGAGAAGCCAGAGTGGAGTCAGAGTACATAGTGGGGCCAGGCTCAGGCAGGTAGGTGCTATCAGGAGATTGGATTACAAGGACTGGGCCTGAGAAAATGAGCACAGGCTGTAGTAATGGATCCAAAGGAAAGGGTCAGATCACAGAGAAGAATTCAATGGAGAAGGGCATGGGGAAAGGCAGAAGCGAGCATGCAGAGATTTGGAACAGGAAAGAGGGCACTCACTGAACTGAAATTTATTTATACAAAATAGTCACACCAACACTTAATTTACCTTTGACTTTAAAATCTAATCACTCCTGCAAGACCCTGGGGACCCATATTTCTTCCACAGATTGCTGCAACCCTGAGATCAGGAGATACCCTCCTGAATCCACTCCACCAGGGCCTTCAGTCAGACAGAGATACGTGGAGTCCTGGCAGAACTGCCACTCAGACACACATGAAGTCCTGAAAGCCCTTGATCCCTGGGCATCCTGGCAACAGCCGCTGCAGCTCCAGCAAAGAGGGAGATCAGCCTCTCTTATGCACTCCCAGGAAAGGGGCTGAGTCCAGGGTGCTCAGCAGCCTTGCTTCCATGGCACCTTGCAGGATAAGACCCACTAAACTAGGATTCCAGCCACACACTGTATACTCCAGTCAGTACCAGCACAGCAACTCCCCGAAATGGAGCTCCCAGAAGGAGTGGTGGGCTACCATTTTTGCTGTTTCCTGGCCTTCACTGCTGCTGCCTTTGGGATCTGAAGAGTCCAAGGGGATTGGGGACTAGAGCAGATCCGCAGCACAACATGGCCAGACTATGGAGTAGCGTGAAACAGCCAGACTATTTTATATGGATCCCTGATCCTGTTTCTCCTCACTGGGCAGGACCTCCCAACAAGGGACTCCTGCCACACCCACCAGGGTTCTCAGGCCAGCAGGAGCTCTGCATCTCCCTTGAGAGGGAGCTACCAGAAGGAGGGGTGTGCTGTCATCTTTGCTGTTTCACAGTCTTCACAGCTGTTGCCTTTGGTCCCTTGCGAGTCCAAGGTGAATAGGAACTGGAGTGGATCCCCAGCACAGTGCAGCCACCCTGTGGACAAGTGGCCAGACTGTTTTTTACATGGGTCTCTTATCTGTTTCTCCTCACTGGATGGGACCTTCCAACCTTGGACTCCAGCCACCCTTTCCAGGTTCTCAGGTGGGCAGAGGCTCTGCATCTCGCTAAGATTGTGCTACCAGAAGGAGGGGCAGGCAGCTGTCTTTGCCATTTCACAGCCTTCACTTTGCTTCTTCTGGGCTCTGGAGAGTTATAAGGGGAAGTGGCGCTGTGTGGATCCCCAGCACAGCACAGCCACTACCCAGAAAAGTGGCCAGACTGTCCTCCACACAGATCCTGGACCTCCTTTCTCATTGGGTGGAGCCTCCTGACCTGGGACTCCAGCGCAACCACCCTGCCCCTGCCTGATCACCTCAATCAGGGGTGGGCCAACACTTCTCTTATGAGGAAATCCCAGACTCAATTCACAACTTCATCATTGCAGCTGCAGTGGTACCACCCTAACTGCCTTCATTCTGGAGAAGGAACAAAGGGCCTAGTTGCTATGCTGGCACCTCCAGCACCAACCACCACATGGAGAGGACTCTAGTGCCTCCAAATTGGGAGCCCACACCCCCCACTCTCCACCAGGTAGAGCCCTCACTCAGGACCACATAACAGCTGCCCCATCCACGGCTGAGCATACCCACTGGTAGTGGCTTTGCGTTTCTGTGGGGAGAGGCTTCCAGAGACAACAAAAACACCTCTGCCACTATCACAGCAGTGATTCTGCTCCTATTGCCATTGGTCTGGGTTAAAAATAAAGAGCCTAAGGGCCACAGCAGAGCTTACAGAACACCACAGTCACCATACAGAGAGAAGACCAGTCTCTCCTCCCTGTGAGCCCCCAACCCCCAACTCCTCAACAAGTGGAGCTCCCAGCTCAGGCCAGCAGTATAGGTACCCCACCAGCTGGATGAACACTCCTCATTGCAGTGGCTCCTTTTCTCTCAAAGGTATAGCTCCCAGGGGCAACTGAAAGCCCTTCTACCACTGCCTCTCTAGTGATACTGCCCCTGCTGCCTTTGGACTGGGAAAGGAGCAAAGACTCTAAGTGCCTTATCTACACCTCCAGCAAGCTGTATTTACCCTAAGAAGAGGCCATTCTGTCTCCCACAGGTCCCAACCACGTACCTGCTCATCATCAAACAGGTCCCCCTTTTTGGCTGGGGCCCACAGCACAGCACCCCATCCTAGGCCAATCACAGTGACTGGTTACAGCTCCACATCTCCCTGCAGTGGAGCCCCAGGAGAAAAGCAATAGACTCCTGGCCACAACCACTGTTAATATGTCTTCCTCTGCTGCCTCCAAGTTGAGGAGGGAACATAAACTTTGAGATTACCCCAGAGCTGTGATGTGCAGCCTGCAAGTGCCAAGCTGTGAACTGCAGCCAGCAATCAGGTGGGAGAGAAGCCCACAATTTCAGAGCATTGATAGGAAGAACAGCTGCAACTATGAAAAAATATAGAGGAGTCACATGACAGAACAAAAGCCTACGTACTGACCATTACACTTAAGTGCCATAAAATGGGTGACACCCCAAACCTTACACACCAAAAATACTTTGCTAACTTACTGCCTGTGAAACCAAGACAAGAAGTCACCTACAAATAAAGACCCTGCACAAAGCCTCAGCCCTCTGGAAAAAGCCAGAACAGATTTCTACCGACAGTACTCAATCTACACCAAAGACAAAGGAATATCCACAGAGATTAGAAAGAAGCAGTGAAAGAACTCTGGTAACTCAAATGGCCAAAGTGTCTTCTGTCCTCCAAACGACAGCACTAGTTCTCCAGAAAGCGTTCTTAACCAGGCTGAAATGCCTGAAATGATAGAAACAGAATTCAGAATATTGATAGGGGTGTAGACCAGAGAGGGAAAATGGCAGATAGGAGGCAAGACTAAATTGCAACTCCCCCTCAGATGGACAGAGCAGCGTGTGCAGACTCACATCATGAACTTGTGCTCCAGAACTACTGCAGGAATGTACCAGGAAATCCTAGAGAATCTACAGACCCTCTGAAGGAAGCAGATTGCTTCTTCAGAACATGGGAGACAGCCCAAATACTGTGAGTGCCCAAACTGTGAAAGTGGGAAAAGGGGATCATCTGCACTCGAACACACATTCTCACTGGGGAACCTGAAGGTCTAGATCATGGGAAAAGGATTTGACCTTACCTGGAGCTGAGTCAGTTTAGAGAGCTGAGCAAAATACAGGAGTAGAGGAAGCAGCGAGAGAAGCCCTGTGGGTTTTCTGGGTCCCCAGGGAAGCCATTTCTGATTTGTCACACAGGGGTCCTTGGGGAGGACTGCCAGATGAACTGGGAAAAGACCACAGGGAGAAGCAAACTTCAAGCTGAACTTTGTAACAGTTCCAACCATACTCAAAGTCTCCTGGCCAGAACTCACGGGGTGTGAATCCGGTGTGCAGACTCAACAGGTAGGGAGGCACAAAAGCCCTGCTTGCTTTCTTAGCTGGAGGCTGGTAGCTTGGAGCAATTTCTCAGCCCTGCTTCCCGATGCCTGGAAACCAACTTGGTGCTGTGGTGGCAGGATTTTCACAATGGGAGTGAGACCAGCTTTCTGGGTTGAATGGGAGCTGGGTGAGGCCTGTAACTGCCAGCTTTTCCTCACTTCCATGACAACCTGCATGACACCGCAGAGGCAGCCATAGTCCACCTGGGAACATAACTCCATTGGACTGAGAACCAAAGCCCCTCCCCCACAGCAGCCACAGCAAGCCCTGCCCAAGGAGAGTCTGAGCTCAGACATGCCTAACCCTGCCCCCACCTGATGGTCCCTCCCTATCAACCAATCCTGATAGTTGAGGACAAAGGGCATAGTCTCTTGGGAGTTCCAGGGCCCTGCCCACCACCTAATCCTCCCTACACTACCACAGCTGATGCTCTCTTGAAAGCGCCACCTCCTGGCAGGACAACCAGCAAAAACTAGTGCATTAAACAATCACAACTAAGGACCCTCACAGAGTCCATTTCACTCCTGTGCTGCCTCCACCACAGCAGGTGCTGGTATCCACAACTGAGAGACCTGAAGATGGTTCACATCACAGGATTCTGTGCAGACAACCCCCAGTACCAGCCAGGAGACTGGTAGCCCTACTGAGTGGCTAGATCCAGAAGAGAAATGACAATTACTATAGTTTGGCTCTCAGGAAGCCACATCCCTAGGAGAAGGGGGAGAATACTAAATCAAGGGAGCACCTTGTAGGACAAAAGAATCTGAACAGCAGCCTTCAACCCCAGATCTTTCCTCTGACATAGCCTCCATATGAGAAGGAACTAGAAAAACAATTCTGGTAATATGACAAAAGAAGGTTCTTTAACAACCCCCAAAAATTACACTAGGTCACCAGCAGTGGATCCAAACCAAAAAGGCATTCCCGATTTGCCTGAAAAAGAATTCAGATGGTTGATTATTAAGCTAATCAAGGAGGCACTGGAGAAAGGTGAAGTCCAATTCAATAAAAATTTTTTAAAAATGATACAAGATATGAGGGGAGAAATTTCAGTGAAATACACAGCATAAATAAAAAAACAATTACAACTTCAGGAAATAAAGGACACACTTAGAGAAATGCAAAATGTACTGGAAAATCTCAGCAATAGAATCGAACAAGGAGAAGAAAGAACGTTGGAGCTTGAAGACAGGGTTTTTAAATGAACCCAGCCCAACAAAGACAAAGAAAAAAGAATTTTTAAAAAATCAACAAAGCCTCCAAGAACCCCGAAGAAATTTAATCTCTTAACAGATCAGTAACAAGCTCCACAACTAAATCAGTAATAAATAGCCTACTAACAACAACAACAAAAGGCCAGGACAAGACGGATTTACAGCCAAATTCTACCAGATGTACAAAGAAAAGCTGCTACCATTCCAACTGACACTATTCCAGAAAACTGAGGAGGGAGGACTTCTTCCCAACTCACTACGTTAGGCCAGCATCATCCTGACATCAAAACCTGGCAGATACACACAAACAAACAAACAAAAAATCTTCAGGCCAGTATTCCTTATGGACATAGATGCAGAAATCCTCAACAAAATACTAGCAAACTGTATCCAATAGCACATCAAAAGCTAATTCACCATAACCAAGTAGGCTTTATACCTGGGATGTAAAGTTTGTTCAACATATGCAAATGAATTAATATGATTCATCACATAAACAAAAATAAAGACAAAAGCCACATGATTATCTTCATAGATGCAGAAAAGGTTTTCAATAAAATACAACATTTCTTCATGTTAAAAACCCTAAATAAACTAGGCACTGAAGGAACATACTTCAAAATAATAATAGCTATCTATGACAAACCAACAGCCAACATCGTATTGCATGGGCCAAAGATGGAAACATTCCCCTTGAAAACAGGAACAAGACGAATATGAACTGTCTCATTCAACGTAGTATTAGAAGTCCTAATCAGATCAATCAGGCAAGAGAAAGAAATAAAAGGTACTCAAATAGGAAGAGAGGAAGTCAAACTACCCCTATTGATAGACAACATGATTCTATGTCTAGACAACACCATAGTCTGCCCCAAAACCCTGTGAATTCATAAATAACTTCAGCAATGTTTTAGGATAGAAAATCAGTGTACAAAAATCAGTAGCATACACCAACAACATCTAAGTTCAGAGCGAAAACAGGAATGCAATCCCATTTACATTTGCCACAAAAAGAATAAAATACCTAGGAATACAGCTAATCATGGAGTTGAGATATCTCTACAATGAAAATTAACAAAACACTGCTCAAAGAAATTAGAGATGACACCAAAAAATGGAAAAATATTACATGCTCATGAATAGGAAGAATAAATATTGTTAAATTGTCCATAATGCCCAAAGCAATTCATAGATTAAACCCTATTTATTTATATCAAATTACCAATGACAGTTTTCACATAACTAGAAAAAACTATTTTAAAATTCATATGGAACCAAAAAAGAGCCCAAACAGCCAAGGGAATCCTAAGCAAAAAGAACAAAGCTGGAGGCATCACATCACCCAATTTCAAACTATATTATAAGGCTGCATGCTACTGATACAAAAAAAGACACATAGACCAATGGAGCAGAATAGAGTCCTGAAATAATGCTATGCACCTACAACCATCTGATCTTTGACAAAGTTGACAAAAACAAGCAATGGGGAAAGGACTCCCTATTCAATAAATGGTGCCAGGATAACTGGCTAGCCATCTGCAGAAGAGTGAAACTGGACCCCTTCTTTACACTATATAGAAAATCAACTCAAGATAAATTAAAGACTTAAATGTAGAACCTAAAACTATAAAAACCCTGGAAGGTAACCTAGGAAATACCATTCTGGACATAAGACCTGGCAAAGATTTCATGATGAAGATGCCAAAGGCAATTGCAACAAAAACAAAAATTGACAAATGAGACCTAACTAAAGAGCTTTTGCATCACAAAAGGTGCTATCAACAGAGTGAACAGACAACCTACAGAATGGGAGAAAATATTTGCAAACTATATATCTGACAAAAGTCTAATTTCCAGAATCTATAAAGAACTTAGTTTTACAAGCAAAAAACAAACAATCCCATTAAAAAGTGGGCAAAGAACATGTAGAGATACTTTTCAAAAGCAGACATAGATGTGGCCAAAATTTGAAAAAAAAAATGCTCATATTACTGATCATTAGAGAAATTCAAATTAAAACCACAATTGGCTATCATCTCATACCAGTCAGAATGGCTATTACTAAAAAGTCAAAAAAATAACAGATGCTGGCAAGATTGTGGAGAAAAAGGAATGCCTATACACCGTTTGTGGGAAGGTACATTAGTTCAACCATTGTAGTAGACATTGTGGCGATTCCTCAAAGACCTAAGAACAGAACTATCATTTGACCCAGCAATCCCGTTATTGGCTATATACCCAAAGAGATATAAATTATTCTACCATAAAGACACATGGGCATGTATGTTTATTGCAGCACTATTCACAATAGCAAAGACAGGGAATCAACCTAAATCCCCATGAACAATAGACTGGGTAATGAAAATGTGGTACATATACACCATGGAATACTATGCAACCATAAAAATGAATGAGATCATGTCCTTTGCAGGAATATGGGTGGAGCTGGAGGCCATTATCTTGAGCAAACTAATGGAGGAAGTTTGCTAAACTAACTCCAACATGTTCTCACTAATAAGTTGGAGCTAAATGAGAACAAACGGTCACAAAAGGGGAACAACACACACTGGGGCCTACATGAGGGAGGAGGTTGGAAGGAGGGACAGGATCAGGAAAAATAACTATCGATGTAGGGAAAAGAAAGAGAGATCTGACTGTTACTGTGTATATGTAGAAAAGAAAGACCTAAGAAACTCCATTTTGATCTGTACCCTGAATAATTGTTTTGCCCTTTGATGCTGTTAATCTGTAACTTTGCCCCAACCTTGAGCTCACAGAAACATGTGTTGTATGGAATCAAGGTTTAAGGGATCTAGGGCTGTGCAGGATGTGCCTTGTTAACAATATGTTTACAGGCAGTGTGCTTGGTAAAAGTCATCGCCATTCTCCATTCTCGGCAAACCAGGGGCACAATGCACTGTGGAAAGACACAGGGACCTCTGTCCAGGAAAGCTGGGTATTGTCCAAGATTTCTCCCCACTGAGATAGCCTGAGATATGGCCTCATGGGACAGGAAAGATCTGACTGTCTCCCAGCCCGACACCAGTGAAGGGTCTGTGCTGAGGAGGATTAGTAAAAGAAGAAGGCCTCTTGCAGTTGAGATAAGAGGAAGGCCTGTGTCTCCTGCCTGCCCCTGGGAACTGAATGTCTCGGTATAAAACCCTATTGTACATTCGTTCTATTCTGAGATAGGAGAAAACCGGGTGTGGCTGGAGGTGAGATATGCTGGTGGCAATGCTGCTCTGTTATTCTTTACTACACTGAGATGTTTGGGTGGAGAGAAGCATAAATCTGGCCTACATGCATATCCAGGCATAGTACCTTCCCTTGAACTTATTTGTGACACAGATTCCTTTGCTCACATGTTTTTTGGCTGACCTTCTCCCTACTATCACCCTGTTCTCCTGCCACATTCCCCTTGCTGAGATAGTGAAAATGGTAATCAATAAATACTGAGGAAACTCAGAGACCGGTGCCGGTACGGGTCCTCCGTACGCTGAACGCTGGTCCCCTGGGCCCACTGTTCTTTCTCTATACTTTGTCTCTGTGTCTTATTTCTTTTCTCAGTCTCTCATCCCACCTGATGAGAAATACCCACAGGTGTGGAGGGGCTCGTCCCCTTCAATCGGGTACTAATGCTTATTATCTGGGTATAAAAATGGCCTATGCACCAAACCCCCATGACACGAGTTTGCCTGTATTAACAAACCTGCACATGTACCCTGAAGCTAAAATGAAAGTTAAAAAAATTTTTTGTAAATCTAATCACCCACCAACTTCTACCACATGAAACATGACTTTATTATTTCATTTAATCCTTATGACAGCAAACAATTCTGAACACACGTGGAGGCACACTTTTGAATTTTTTACAGATATCTTACTTCAACATTAGGAATTTGATGGTCATCTTTTTTTCTTTTATTATTATTACACTGTAAGTTTTAGGGTACATGTGCACAACGTGCAGGTTAGTTACATGTGTATACATGTGCCATGCTGGTGTGCTGCACCCATTAACTCGTCATTTAGCATTAGGTATATCTCCTAAAGCTATCCCTCCCCCCTCCTCCCACCCCACAACAGTCCCCAGAGTGTGATGTTCCCCTTCCTGTGTCCATGTGTTCTCATTGTTCAATTCCCACCTATGAGTGAGAATATGCAGTGTTTGGTTTTTTGTTCTTGCGGTAGTTTACTGAAAATGATGATTTCCAATATCATCCATGTCCCTACAAAGGACATGAACTCATCATTTTTATAGCTGCATAGTATTCCATGGTGTATATGTGCCACATTTTCTTAATCCAGTATATCATTGTTGGACATTTGGGTTGGTTCCAAGTCTTTGCTATTGTGAATAGTGCCACAATCAACATACGTGCGCATGTGTCTTTATGGCAGCATAATTTATAGTCCTTTGGGTATATACCCAGTAACGGGATGACTGGGCCAGATGGTATTTCTAGTTCTAGATCCCTGAGTAATCGCCACACTGACTTCCACAATGGCTGAACTAGTTTCCAGTCCCACCAACAGTGTAAAAGTGTTCCTATTTCTCCACATCCTCTCCAGCACCTGTTGTTTCCTGACTTTTTAATGCTTGCCATTCTAACTGGTATAAGCATATGTTTTGAATGGCTAGACATCTGCACATAGCCATTTCTTTAGTCTTGATGAGTATTTCTCAAACCTTCTGTTGCATGTGTATTATTGAACAGGGCTATATTTATGAAACCATATATATTGTGCATTATGGTTGAGTTATGGTAGTTCCAAAGGTAATTGCAACTTATATGCTTTTTCATTTTGCATGTGGACTTTATTACTTAACCACTTCAATAGTCAATATTTAAGGAAACATACTGGATGTGAAGCAACTGGAAACGTGGAAACCAGTAATGAAGGAACCAGTGATTTAGACGAAACAGGAGGGTGAAGTTTGAGACAGAATACAGGGACTGGTTTACACTTAAAGCTTCAAACCAGCACTAAAATAGTGAAGGCTATAAGAATGATGACGGGACTGACTCCAGAGCTCCAGTTGGGGCAAGAGAATACTTCCAGAGGGAGAATATTAGAATATAGAAGTAGAAAGAGCTGTTTAGAGTTGGCCTGCATACCAACTGCACCCTTCCATGTAATTCCTGCTGGTTCTGCAGTTAACTTTCTCTTGCCTGTCTCTTATTAGGGTTTATATGTACTTCTGTATTTTCTCTGTTTTGCACCCCCCCCCAGCACCCCAATGTAGAATTCAGCCACTTCACCTGTTTTCACTCCAAAAGAAATACACTCCAAATATTGTGTGATTTTTTTCAGACTTTCCTGAAAATAATTTTGAAGATATCATAAGGAGAGCTAAATACTATCCTGCTAGATTCAACCCCTCTCCTCCCTACACAAACACACATTTCAATTTTCTCTTTCTCTTTCTCTTTCTTTTCTCCTTTCTATTTCTTCTCCTCACCACCAACCTCACCCACCTGGACACTGAAAGGGACTGAACATTCACTAGTCTTAGTGAACGTCAAATACATTTGCAAACAAACTAAGAACTTGATGCCATTCTTTTTTTCCCCCCATACAGTAGTCTTTTTTTTATTTTTTTTTCGTTACTAGAAGTTTTAGGGTACATGTGCACAACGTGCTGGTTTGTTACATATGTATACATGTGCCATGTTGGTGTGCTGCACCCATTAACTCTTCATTTAACATTAGGTATATCTCCTAATGCTATCCCTCCCCCCTTCCCCAACCCCAAAACAGGTCCCAGTGTGTGATGTTCCCCTTCCTGTGTCCATGTGTTCTCACTGTTCAATTCCCACCTATGAGTGAGAACATGCAGTGTTTGGTTTTTTCTCATTGCAATAGTTTGCTGAGAATGATGGTTTCCAGCTTCATCCATGTCCCTACAAAGGACATGAACTCATCATTTTTTATGGCTGCATAGTATTCCATGGTGTATATGTGCCACATTTTCTTAATCCAGTCTATCATTCTTGGACATTTGGGTTAGTTCCAAGTCTTTGCTATTGTGAATAGTGCTGCAATAAACATACGTGGGCATGTGTCTTTATAGCAGCATATTTTATAATCCTTTGAGTATATACCCAGTAATGGGATTGCTGGGACAAATGGTATTTCTAGTTCTAGATTCCTGAGGAATCGCCACACTGACTTCCACAATGGTTGAACTAGTTTCCAGTCCCACCAACAGTGTAAAAGTCTTCCTATTTCTCCACATTCTCTCCAGCACCTGTTGTTTCCTGACTTTTTAATGATCGCCATTCTAACTGGTGTGAGATGATATCTCATTGTGGTTATGATTTGCATTTCTCTGATAGCCAGTGATGATGAGCATTTTTTCATGTGTCTTTTGGCTGCATAAGTGTCTTCTTATGAGAAGTGTCTGTTCATATCCTTCACCCACTTGTTGATGGGGTTGTTTGTTTTTTCTTGTAAATTTGTTTGAGTTCATTGTCGATTCTGGATATTAGCCCTTTGTCAGATGAGTAGACTGCAAAACTTTTCTCCCATTCTGTAGGTTGCCTGTTCACTCTGATGGTAGTTTCTTTTGCTGTGCAGAAGCTCTTGAGTTTAATTAGATCCCATTTGTCAATTTTGGCTTTTCTTGCCATTGCTTTTGGTGTTTTAGTCATGAAGTCCTTGCCCATACCTATCTCCTGAATGGTATTGCCTAGGTTTTCTTCTAGGGTTTTTATGGTTTTACGACTAACATTTAAGTCTTTCATCCATCTTGAATTAATTTTTGTATAAGGTGTAAGGAAGGGATCCAGTTTCAGCTTCCTACATATGGCTGGCCAGTTTTCCCAGCACCATTTATTAAATAGTGAATCCTTTCCCCATTTCTTGTTTTTGTCAGGTTTGTCAAAGATCAGATAGTTGTAGATATGTGGCATTATTTCTGAGGGCTCTGTTCTGTTCCATTTGTCTATATCTCTGTTTTGGTACCAGTACCATGCTGTTTTGGTTACTGTACGCTTGTAGTATAGTTTGACCTCAGGTAGCATGATGCCTCCAGCTTTGTTCTTTTGGCTTAGGATTGACTTGGGAATGCAGGCTCTTTTTTCATTGCATATGAACTTTAAAGTAGATTTTTCCAATTCTGCGAAGAAAGTAATTGGTAGCTTGATGGGGATGGCATTGAATCTATAAATTACCTTGGGCAGTATGGCCATTTTCACGATATTGATTCTTCCTACCCATGAGCATGGAATGTTCTTCCATTTGTTTGTATCCTCTTTTATTTCATTGAGCAGTGGTTTGTAGTTCTCCTTGAAGAGTTCCTTCACATCCCTTGTAAGTTGGATTCCTAGGTATTTTATTCCCTTTGAAGCAACTGTGAATGGGAGTTCACTCATGAACTGGCTCTCTGTTTCTCTGTTATTGGTGTACAAGAATGCTTGTGATTTTTGCACATTGATTTTGTATCCTGAGAGTTTGCTGAAGTTTCCTATCAGCTTAAGGAGATTTTGGGCTGAGTCAATGGGGTTTTCTAGATATACAATCATGTCATCTGCAAACAGGGACAATTTGACTTCCTCTTTTCCTAATTGAATACCCTTTATTTCCTTCTCCTGCCTGATTGCCCTGGCCAGAACTTCCAACACTATGTTGAATAGGAGTGGTGAGAGAGGGCATCCCTGTCTTGTGCCAGTTTTCAAAGCGAATGCTTCCAGTTTTTGCCCATTCAGTGTGATATTGGCTGTGGGTTTGTCATAGATAGCTCTTATTATTTTGAGATATGTCCAATCAATACCTAATTTATTGAGAGTTTTTAGCATGAAGTGTTGTTGAATTTTGTCAAAGGCCTTTTCTGCATCTATTGAGATAATCTAATCATGTGTTTTTTGTCATTGGTTCTGTTTATATGCTGGATTGCATTTATTGATTTGCGTATGTTGAACCAGCCTTGCATCCCAGGGTTGAAGCCCACTTGATCATGGTGGATAAGCTTTTTGATGTGCTGCTGGATTCGGTTTGCCAGTATTTTATTGAGGATTTTTGCATCAATGTTCATCAAGGATATTGGTCTAAAATTCTCTTTTTTTGTGGTGTCTCAGCCAGGCTTTGGTATCAGGATGATGCTGGCCTCATAAAATGAGTTACGGAGGATTCCCTCTTTTTCTATTGGTTGGAATAGTTTCAGAAGGACTGGTACCAGCTCCTCCTTCTACCTCTGGTAGAATTTGGCTGTGAATCCATCTGGTCCTGAACTTTTTTTTGTTGCTAAACTATTAATTATTGCCTCAATTTCAGAGCCTGTTATTGGTCTATTGAGATATTCAACTTCTTCCTGGTTTAGTCTTGGGAGGGTGTATGTGTCGAGGAATTTATCCATTTCTTCTAGATTTTCTAGTTTATTTGCATAGAAGTGTTTATAGTATTCTCTGACGTTAGTTTGAATTTCTGTGAGATCGGTGGTGATATCCCCTTTATCATTTTTTATCACGTGTATTTGATTCTTCTCTCTTTTCTTCTTTATTAGTCTTGCTTGTTGTCTATCAATTTTGTTGATCTTTCCATAAAACCAGCTCCTGGATTTATTGATTTTTTGAAGGGTTTTTTGTGTCTCTATTTCCTTCAGTTCTGCTCTGATCTTAGTTATTTCTTGCCTTCTGCTAGCTTTTGAATGTGTTTGCTCTTGCTTTTCTAGTTCTTTTATTTGTGATATTAGGGTGTCAATTTTGGATCTTTCCTGCTTTCTCTTTTGTGCATTTAGTGCTATAAATTTCCCTCTACACACTGCTTTGAATGTTTCCCAGAGATTCTGGTATGTTATGTCTTTGTTCTCATTGGTTTCAAAGAACATCTTTATTTCTTCCTTCATTTCGTTATGTACCCAGTAGTCATTCAGGAGCAGGTTGTTCAGTTTCCATGTAGTTGAGCGGTTTTGAGTGAGCTTCTTAATCCTGAGTTCTAGTTTGGTTGCACTGTTGTCTGAGAGACAGTTTGTTATGATTTCTGTTCTTTTACATTTGCTGAGGAGTGCTTTACTTCCAACTATGTGGTGAATTTTGGAATAGGTGTGGTGCAGTGCTGAAAAGAATGTATATTCTGTTGATTTGGGATGGAGAGTTCTGTAGATGTCTGTTAGGTCTGCTTGGTGCAGAGCTGAGTTCAGTTCCTGGATATCCTTGTTAACATTCTGTCTCATTGATCTTTCTAATGTTGATAGTGGGGTGTTAAAGTCTCCCATTATTAATGTGTGGGAGTCTAAGTCTCTTTTTAGGTCTCAAAGGACTTGCTTTATGAATCTGGGTGCTCCTGTATTGGGTGCATGTATGTTTAGGGTAGTTAGCTCTTCTTGTTGAACTGATCCCTTTACCATTATGTAATGGCCTTCTTTGTCTCTTTTGATCTTTGTTGGTTTAAAGTCTGTTTTATCCAAGACTAGGATTGCAACTCCTGACTTTTTTTGTTTTCTATTTGCTTGGTAGATCTTCCTCCATCCCTTTATTTTGAGGCTATTTGTGTCTCTGCATGTGAGATGGGTCTCCTGAAAACAGCACTGTGATGGGTCTTGACTCTATCCAATTTGTCAGTCTGTCTTTTAATTGGAGCATTTCACCCATTTACATTTAAGATTGAGATTGTTATGTGTGAATTTGATCCTATCATTATGATCTTAGCTGATTATTTTGCTCGTTAGTTGATGCAGTTTCTTCCTAGCCTTGATGGTCTTTACAATTTGGCATGTTTTTGCAGTGGCTGGTACCGGTTGTTCTTTTCCATGTTTACTGCTTCCTTCAGGAGCTCTTTTAGGGCAGGAGTAATGGTGATAAAATCTCTCAGCCTTTGCTTGTCTGTAAAGGATTTTATTTCTCCTTCACTTATGAAGCTTAGTTTGGTTGGGTATGAAATTCTGGGTTGAAAATTCTCTTCTTTAAGAATGTTGAATATTGGCCCCCACCCTTATCCAGCTTGCAGCGTTTCTGCCGAGAGATCGCCTGTTAGTCTGGTGGGCTTCCCTTTGTGGGTAACCTGACCTTTCTCTCTGTCTCCCCTTAACATTTTTTCCTTCATTTCAACTTTGGTGAATCTGACAATTATGTGTCTTGGAGTTGCTCTTCTCGAGGAGTATCTTTGTGGTGTTCTCTGTATTTCCTGAATTTGAATGTTGGCCTGCCTTGCTAGATTGGAGAAGTTCTCTTGGATAATATCTTGCAGAGTGTTTTCCAATTTGGTTCCATTCTCCCGGTCACTTTCAGGTACACCAGTCAGACGTAGATTTGGTCTTTTCCCATAGTGCCATATTTCTTGGAGGCTTTGTTCATTTCTTTTTACTCTTTTTTCTCTAAACTTCTCTTCTCGCTTCATTTCATTCATTTGATCTTCCATCACTGATACACTTTCTTCCAGTTGATCGAATCAGCTACTGAAGCTTGTGCATTCGTCATGTAGTTCTCATGCCATGGTTTTCAGCTCCATCAGGTCCTTTAAGGACTTCTCTATATTGGTTATTCTAGTTAGTCATTCGTCTAATCTTTTTTCAACACTTTTAGCTTCTTTGCGATGGGTTTGAACTTCCTCCTTTAGCTCTGAGAAGTTTGATCATCTGAAGCCTTTTTCTCTCAACTCGTCAAAGTCATTCTCCATCCAGCTTTGTTCCATTGCTGGTGAGGATCTGCGTTCCTTTGGAGGGGGAGAGGCACTCTGATTTTTACAATTTTCCACTTTTCTGCTCTGTTTTTTCACCATCTTTGTGGTTTTATCTACCGTTGGTCTTTGATGATGGTGACATACAGATGGGGTTTTGGTGTGGATGTCCTTTCTGTTTGTTTGTTTTCCTTCTAGCAGTCAGGACCCTCAGCTGCAGTTCTGTTGGAGTTTGCTGGAGGTCCACTCCAGACCCTGTTTGCCTGGGTATCAGCTGTGGAGGCTGCAGAACAGCGGATATTGCTGAACAGCAAATGTTGCTGCCTGATCATTCCTCTGGAAGCTTCATCTCAGAGGGGTACCTGGCCATGTGAGGTGTCAGTCTGCCCATACTGGAGGGTGGCTCCCAGTTAGGTTACTCAGGGATCAGGGACCCACTTGAGGGGGCCATTTGTCTGTTCTCAGATCTCAGGCTCCATCCTGGGAAAACCACTACTCACTTCAAAGCTGTCAGACAGGGACATTTAAGTCTGCAGAGGTTTGTGCTGCCTTTTGTTCAGCTATGCCCTGCCCCCAGAGGTGGAGTCTACAGAGGTAGGCAGGCCTCCTTGAGCTGCGGTGGGCTCCACCAAGTTCTAGCTTCCTGGCTGCTTTGTTTACCTACTCAAGCCTCAGCAATGGCGGGCACCCCTCCCCCAGCCTCGCTGCCACCTTTCAGTTTGATCTCAGACTGCTGTGCTAGCAATGAGTGGGGCTCCGTGGGTGTGGGACCCTCTGAGCCAGGCACGGGATATAATCTCCTGGTGTGCTGTTTGCTAAGATGGTTGGAAAAGCACAGTATTTGGGTGGGAGTGACCTGATTTTCCAGGTGCCATCCAACACTGCTTCCCTTGGCTAGGAAAGGGAATTCCCTGAGTCCTTGCACTTCCCGGCTGATGTGATGCCTTGCCTTGCTTCAGCTCATGCTTGGTGGTCTGCACCCACTGTCCTGTCCCCACTGTCTGACAAGCCCCAGTGAGATGAACCTGGTACCTCAGTTGGAAATGCAGAAATCACCTGTCTTCTGCGTCACTCATTCTGGGTGCTATAGACTGGAGCTGTTCCTATTCAGCCATCTTGGTACCCCCCACATTTACTTTCACAACTTCAACTCCCATTTCTCTCATGAATCTCAAGTTTATATCTTTGGCCTGTCCTTTCCTCAAACTTCTTGGTATTCATCTTCACTTTGATATTCCTAATTTAACTAACAAATATTATATTGTTCTTATTTGGACCCTCTGTTTATTTCATACCACTGATTGCCTCCTTTTTCATACCACTGATTGCCTCCTATTTGTTCCTTCTATGAAAACAAACTTTTTGTGGAAATCCTTCTATCTCTTTGACCATCATTTCCTGTGGTCCTCTGAAGGTATCTCCTCTGCCTAATTCTTAAGGTTAGTGCTTCTCAGCTTTATGTCATTGGTCCAATACTTTTTGCTTGATATCCTATTTTGAAGTGATTTCAATGATTCTATGGTTAAAATTATTAGCCATGATATTACTCATATGTTTACACTTACTTGGAATGCCTACACTTGCATACCCTAAATATAAGTCCTAGATATCTCATAGATATCTCACATGATCTATACAGTTAAACAGAAATGATCATAATAAGCCTTTTTCTTTATACATCTCCACTCGGATTCCATATTTTGTTTGGTGGCATCAGCATTCATTCAACTAAGCCAGAAATCAGACACCATTAAAAATTTTCTTTTCATCTCAATAGCTATAGAGATACAAGTGGATGTTGGTTACATGGATGAATTTTCGTCATGGTCAGGTGCAGGATTTTAGTGTATCCATAACCCAAATGTGGACGTTGTACCCAATAGGTAGTTTTTCATCACTCACCACCCCACTCTCCCTCCTTATGAGTCACCAGTGTCCATTATACCACTCTGTATGCGTTTGCATGCCCATGGCTTCAAGAACACACAATATTTGCTTTTCTGTTACTGACTTTCTGGGATTCAGATAATAGTCTCCAGTTTCTTATAAGTTGCTGCAAAAGACATTATTTTTTTCTTTTTTATGACTGAGTATATTCCATGGTAGGTATATACCACATTTTCTTTACCCATTCATTGATTGGTGAGAACTTAGGTTGGTTCCATATCTTTGCAGTTGTGCTGCAATAAACATATACGTGCACATGTCTTTTGATATAGTGACTTATTTGCTTTGGGTAGATACCCAACAGTGAAATTGCTAGGTTGAATGGTAGATCTACTTTTCATTGAGAAATTGCCATGGTGTTTTCCACAGATATTATACTAATTTACATGCTCAGCAGCAGTGTATAAGCATTCCTTTTTCACCACATCTGTGCCAATGTCTGGTTTGGTGGTGGTGGGTTGTTTTATTTTTTAAAACTTTTTAATAATGGCCATTCTGGCTTGGGTAAGGGGGTATCTCATTGTTGTTTAAATTTGCATTTCTTTGATGATTAGTGATGTTGAGAATGCTTTCATATATTTATAGGCTATTTGTATGTCTTCTTTTGAGATGAGAAATATCTATTCATGACATTTACTCACTTTTTACTGGTATTACATGTTTTTTCTTGCTGATTTGTTTCAGTTTCTTATAGATTCCAGATATTAGATATTTGTCAGGTGCATAATTTGCAAATATTATCTCCCGTTCTGTGAGCTGTCTGTTTACTCGGATTGATTGTTTCCTCTGCTGTGTAGAAGCTTTTTTGCTTAATTAGGGCTCATTTATTTGTATTTGGTTTTTTATTTGGATTTGTTTTTTGGGACTTAGTCATAAATTATTTGCCAAATAATGATAAGATATTCCATGCCCATGGATTGGAAGAAACAAAGTTGTTGAAATGTCCATACTACCCAAAGCAATCCATGCGTTCCATGCATCTTTCTCAAAATAACAATGACATTCTTTACAGAAATAGAAAAAAAAACTTTCCTAAAATTTATGTGGAAAGATGAAAGACCCAGAATAGCCAAAGCTATCCTCAGCAAAAAAGAGCAAAACTGGAGGAATCACATTACCTGACTTGAAATTATACTACAGATTTATGGTAAACAAAACAGCATGATACTGGCATAAAAACAGACACATAGACAAACTGAACAGAATAAAGATCCCAGAAACAAATTCACATACCTACAGGGAACTTATTTTTGACAAAGGGGCCAAGAATAAACACTGGGAAAAAGACCATCTCTTCAATTAATGGTGCTGAGGACACTGGATACCCATATGTAGAAGAATGAAACTAAAGTCATATCTCTCACCATATACAAAAATCAAATGAAAATGAATTAAATCCTTAAATCTAAGACCTCAAACTGTGAAGCTAATATGGGAAAACATTGGGGAAACTCTCTAGGACATCACTCTTGAAAATGATTTCCTGAGTAATACACCACAAGGACAGGTGACCAAAGCAAAAATGGACAAATGAGATCCCCTCAAGTTAAAAAGCTTCTGCACAGCAAAGGAAACAACCAACAAACTGAAGAGTCATCCCACAGAATGAGAGAAAATATTTTCAAAATACTCACCTGCAAAGGGATTAATAACCAGAATATATATGGTGCTCAAATAAGTCTATAGGAAAAAAATCTAATAATTCAATTAAAAACTGGCATAAAATTTGAATAGACATTTTTCAAAAGAAGATATACAAATGACAAACAGGCATATGAAAAGGTGCTTGACATCATTGGTCATCAGAAGAATGCATGTTAGAACTATAATGAGATAATCATCTCACTGAAGTTAAGTGGCTTATATCCAAAAGACAGGCAATGGCAAATGCCAGTGAGAATATGGAGAAAAGGGAACTCATGTACATTGTTGGTGGGAACGTATATTAGTACAACTACTATGGAGAACAGCCTAGAGATTCCTCAAAAAAACTAAAAATAGAGCTACCATACAATGCAGCACCCCCGCTGCTGCATATATACCAGAAAGAAAGAAAACCAGTGTATCAAAGAGATATCTGCACTCTCATGTTTGCTGCAGCTCTGTTCTCAATAGACAACATTTGGAAGCAACCTAAGTGTCCATCACCTAACAAATGGTTAAAGATAATGTGGCACATGTACACAATGGAGAACAATTCAGCCATAAAATAGAATAAGATTCAATCATTTGCAACAACGTGGATGGAACTGGAGGTCATTATGTTAAGTGAAATAAACCAGGCACAGAAAGAAAACATCTCATGTTCTCACTTATTTGTGGGATCTAAACATCAAAACAATTGAATCCATAAAGATAGAGAATAGAAGAATGGTTACCAGAGACTGGAAAGTGTAGTGGAGGAGTCTGTGGGAAAAGTGGGTATGGTTAATGGGTACAAAAAAAATTTAGATGAATGAATAAGACCTAGTATTTGATAGCACAACAGCATGTCTATAGTCAATAATACTTTAATTATACATTTTAAAATAACTAAAAGAGTATAACTGGTTTTCATATAACACAAAAAATTAATGCTCCATTTTCCATAATGTGATTATTATCCATTGCATGACTGTATCAAAACATCTCATGTATCCCATAAATATATACATTTACTGTGTAGCCACAAAAGTTAAAAATAAAAAATTATTAAAAATTTAAAAAAGTTATTCAGGACCCAAACTCAACACTTGTCCAAATGGAACTAAAAGATATCTACAGAACACTCCACCCAACAACAAAAGAATAAACATTTTCATCTGCACATGGCACGTACTCTTAGATTGACCACATGCTTGGCCATAAAGCAATTCTCAATTAATTCAATAAAACCAAAGTCATACCAACCATAGTCTCAGACCACAGCACAATAAAAATACAAATCAATATCAAGAAGATCTGTCAAAACCATACAATTACATGAAAATTAAGCAAACTTCTCCTGAATGACTTTTGGGTAAACAATGAAATTAAGGCAGAAAGCACAATATTCTTTGAGACTACTGAAAACAAAGGTACAACATGCCAGAATTTTTAAGTCACAGCTAAAGCAGTTTTAAGAGGAAAGTTCATAGCATTAAATGTCCACATCAAAAAGTCAGAAAGATATAAAATTAACAATTTAACATGGCACCTAGAAGAAGTAGCAATAAGGACCAAATCAACTCCAAACCTGGCAGAAGAAAAGAAATAACCAAAATTAGAGCTGAGCTGAAGGAAGTTGAGTTGCAAAAAAGACATACAAAAGATCAATGAACCCAAAAATTGGTTCTTTATTAAGATTGGTAAACTTCTATCTAGACTAATAAAAAGTAAAAGAGAGAAAAACCAAATAAGTGCAATCAGAAATGATAAAGGAGACATTATCATCAACCCTGCAAAAATACAAAACACCCTCAGAGACTACTAGGAGCACCTCTGCACAAAAACTTGAAAACCTAGAACAAATGGATGAATTCCTGGAAACATAAGTTTCTAATACTAACGCAAAAAGAAAATGAATATTTGAACAGACCAATAACAAGTTCCAAAACTGAATCACTAATTTAAAAAAAAGAGAAAGAAACCTACAAACCAGAAAAAAAGCCCTGGACCAAATGAATTCACAGCTGAATTCTACCAGACATATGAAGAACTGCTGATACCAATCCTACCGAAACTATTTTATTAAAGTAAGAATGAGGGACTCATCCCTAACTCATTTTATGAGGCCAGCATCATCCCCATACCAAAACCTGGAAGAGACAAAGTGAACAAGGAAAATTTCAGGCCAGTATCCCTGATGAACACAGACACAATAATACACAAAATACTACCAAATCATATTCAGCAGTACATCAAAAAGCTAACCCACTGTGACCAAGTAGGCTTTATTCCTGGGTCAAATGTTGGTTCAACATATGCAAATCAATAAATGTAATTCTTCAATAAGCAGAACTATAAACAAAAACTACATGACCATCTCGATAGATGTAGAAAGGGCTTTCAGTAACATTTAATATCCCTTCATGTTAAAAACCCTCAACAAATTAGACATTGAAAAAATGTACACCAAAATAATAAGAGCCATCTGTGACAAACTCATAGCCAACGTCACACTGAATGGGCAAGAACTGTAAGCATTCCCCTTGAGAACTGAGACAAGGATGCCCACTGTCACCACTCCTATTCAACATAGTACTAGAAGTCCTAACCAGAGCAATCACACAAGAGAAAGATAGACTATCTTTCTTCACAGACAATATGATTCTACACTTAGAAAACCCCATAGTCGCTAGCCAAAAGCTTGTAGAACTGATAAACAACTTCAATAAAGTTTCAAGACATAGAATCAATGTACAAAATCAGTAGTATTTCTATACACCAATCACATCCAAGCTGAGAGACAAATAAACAATGCATTCTCAATCACAATAGCCGTGAAAAATAAGGTATCTAGGAATACATCTAACCAGGGAGGGGAAAGATCTCTGCAATGAATATTACAAAACACTGCAGAAATTAATCAGTGATGACACAAACAAATGAAAAACTTTCCATGCTCATGAGTAGGATGAATCAATATTGTTTAAATGGCTGTACTGCCCAAAGCATTTTACAGATTTGACCCTATTCCTATCCAACTACCAACATCATTTTTCACAGAATTAGAAAAATACTATTCTAAAATTTATATGTAACCAAAAATGAGTCCAAATAGCCAAAGCAATCCTAAGATAAAAGAACAAAGCCAGAGACATCACACTACCCAAATTCAAACTATATTACAAGGCTAGAGTAACCAAGACAGCATGGTACTGGCACACATGCAAACACATAGACTAATGAAACATGTTAGAAAAACCCAAAATAAGGCCACACAAATACAACCATCAAATCTTCAACAAAGTTGACAGTAACAAGAAATGAGCAGAAGACTCCTATTCAAATGGTGCCAGGGTAACTGGTTAGCCATATGCGAAAGACTGAAACTGGATCTTTTCCTTTCACCATATACAAAAATCAACTCAAGATGGATTAAAGACTTACTTAAATATAAATCTTAAAACTATAAAAAAAAATCCTAGAAGAAATCCTAGGAAATACCATTCTGGACATAGGCCATAGTAAAGATTTCATGACAAAGACTCCAAAAGCAATTGCAACAAAAACAAAATTTGACAAGTGGAACCTAATTAAACTAAAGAGCTCTAGCACAGGAAAAGAAATTATCAACAGAGTAAACAGAAAACCTACAGAATGGGAGAAAATGTTTTCAAACTATGCATCTGATATGGTTTGGATCTGTGTCCCCACCAAATATCATGTCAAATTATAATCCCCAGTGTTTGAATTGGGGCCTGGTGGGAGGTGATTGGATCATGGGGGTGGTTAATCCTGAGTGGTTTAGCAACATCCCTTGGTGCTATTCTCATGATAGTGAGTGATTTATCATGAAATATGGTTGTTTAAAAATGTGTAGCACCTCCCTGCTCTCTTCTTCCTGCTCTGGCCATGTGAGACGTCTTGCTCCCCCTTTGCCTGCTGCCATGATTGGAAACTTTCTGTGACCTCCCTAGAAGATGAAGCCACTATGCTTCCTGTACAGCCTGTGGAACCATGAGCCAATTAAACCTCTTTTCTTTATAAATTATCCAGTCTCAGGTATTTCTTTATAGCAATGCAAGAACAGACTAATACAGCATCAAACAAAGATCTAATATCCAGAATCTATAAGGAATTTAAACAAATCAACAAGCTAAAGGCAGGCAACCTCATTAACAAATGGACAAAGGACACAAACAGACACTTCTCAAATGAAGACATGCATGTGGCCAACAAACAAATGAAAAAAGATGCTCAAAAGGAAAAAGAAATGGTGAATAGGAGGCAGGATTAACACAGCTCCCACTTGGTCTGAGTCTCCATTGTGTGGAGACTCACATCATGAACTTTTGCTCCAAGAACTACTGCAAAAACATACCAGGAATACTGAAAGGATTCGCAGACTCTTTGAAAGAAGTACCTTGCTGATGATATAGGAGTTAAGAAGAAATCATTTAGGCAGATATTAAGGGTATGGGAGTCCTCAGTAAGGCTTTTCTTTTTAATGAAAAGCAGCCTCAAGTCATTTTCTAACAAAGAGAAGTCTGTAAAGTCGAGCTGCAGACATAGACAAGCAAGCTGGGAGCTTGCACAGGTGAATGCCAGCAGGAACTAAGGACTAGACATATTTAAGATGGCAGCTACATCTTCCCTTATCTTTGTCAGCCACGTGTACAGTAAAGAGCAGACAAGATGGTGCTGATCAACTGGAAAGTCCATTTGCATAATAAGATTGGGGGGGAGACCAGCCTTCCCCGCATACTATGTAAATGTCATACCTGATTGAACCTATCTGAGCCCTAAGTAAATCAGATACCACCTCCCCAAACCGGACTATAAAATCTGATACATTCACTGCCAGCCAGTCCTTTCTGCTCAGAGACTCCTTTCTCTATTGAGAGGACTGTTTCCCTTTCTCTTCTCTTCTGCCTATTAAACCTCCACTCCTAAACTCTTTGTGTGTGTCTGTGTCCTAGATTTTCCTGGTGTGTGACAATGAACCCCAGGGTATATACTCCAGACAACATAGCCACTGCAAACTCTGTGAGACAGCCGAAAAACTGTCAGTGCCCAAAGTGTGATGGGGAAAAGTCCTCCTCTGAGCACACATTCTCACTGGGAAACTTGAAAATCCAGATCATGGGAGAAGGATTTAACCTTACCTAGAGCTGAATTTAGCTAGCCAAGTGAGATATAAAGGTAGAAGAAAGAGAAAATTCCCAGTCCCCAGGGAAGCCAAGGGAAACCATTTCTGACTTTGTCTCACAGGGGTCCCTGGGGAGGGCTGCCAGAGGAATTGAGGAAGGACCACAGGAAGAAGAAAACTTCCAGCTGAACTTTGTAATAGTGTGAATTTTCCCAGGCTGAATGCAGGGGTTGGGGGGGAGGGGATGGGAAGTGCAGATATCAGCAGAGAAGCCATGGCAGGCAGGGAGGGGTGGAGCCTGAAAGCCCTGCTTGCTTTCTCAACAGAGAGGCTTGTACCCTGGGGCAAGATCTCAACCCTTTTCACCTGCTGCCTGGACATAAACTTAGTGCTGTTGGTGGGGCATGGTGGCAGTGAGATTGGCCTTGCTGGCTGTGTGGGAGCTGGGTGAGGCCTGTCACTGCTGGCTTTCCCCCACTTCCCTGGCAACCTGTATAACACAGCAGAGGCAACCATAATCCACCTGGGAACATAATTCCATTGGCCTGAGCATCAAACCCCCTCCCCCACAGCAGTTGCAGCAAACCCTGCCCAAGGAGAGTCTGAGCTCAGACACGCCTAACCCTGACCTGACCTGACAGTACCCGCCCTCATACCTGAAGACAAAGAAATAATCTCTTGGGAGCTCTATGGCCCTGCCCATTGCCTGAGAAACCCAAATACTTATCCTGGCGACAAGTTATCCTAAACTCTCTGTGTGTGTCTGTGTCCTAGATTATGGGTACAGAGCAAGCTCAAATCCCTCCTATAATACTAGAGCTGATGCTTTCTTGAAAGTGTCACCTCCTGGTTGAGGGAAAACCAACTCAAGACATTACAACAACAAGTCATAAAAGAACAACCCAGCTCCAAGAAAGGAGAAAACAACTGCTAATTGCACCACCTGCAACATTCTGGCTAACCAGGGGTCCTGAGTCTGTCCACATGACAATGTCACAGCTAGCACAACCAGCATTTGAGAAAACCAGTGCACTAAACAAAACTACAACCAAGGATCCTCAGGGGGCCCCTCAGTGTGATGTTGGCTGTGGGTTTTTCATGTACGGCTCTTATTTTGAGGTATGTTCCTTCAATTCCTAGTTTATTGAGAATGTGTAACATGAAGGGATGTTGAATTTTATTGAAATCTTTTTCTGCATCTATTGAGATAATCATGTGGTTTTTGTCTTTAGTTCTGTTTATGTGATGAATCACATTTATTGTTTTGTGTATGTTGAACCAACCTTGTGTGCCCAGGATGAAGCCTACTTGATTGCAATGGGTAAGTTTTTGATGTGCTGCTGTATTCAGTTTGCCAGTATTTTGTTGAGGCTTTTTGCATTGATGTTCATCAAGGATATCTGCGTGAAGTTTTCTCTGTTTTTGTTGTGTCTTTGCCAGGTTTTGGTATTAGGATGATGCTGGCCTCATAGAATGAGTTAGGGAGGAGTCCCTACTCCTCAATTTTTTGGAATAGTTTCAGTAGCAATGGTACCAGTTCTTTAGTACATCTGGTAGAATTCGGCTGTGAATCCATCATATCCTGGGCTTGTTTTTTTTTTTTTTTTTTTTTTTTTTTTGGTTGGTAAGCTATTTTATACTGATTCAGTTTGAGAGCTCATTGGTCCTTTTAGGAAATCAATTTCAGTCTTGGGAGGGTGTATGTGTCCAGGAATTTATCTCTTCTAAATTTCCTGGTTTGTGTGCATTGAGGTGTTCATAGTAGTTTCTAATGGTTATTTTATTTCTGTGGAGTCAGTGGTAATATTTCCTTCATTATTTCTAATTGTGTCTATTTGGATCCTCTTTCTCTTCTTCTTTATTAGTCTAGCTATCTATCTTATTAATTTCTTTTAAAAACAACTCCTGGATTCATTGATCTTTTGAATGGTTCTTCATGTCTCAATTAAGGATGCCTAATTTCCCTACTTCTATTCAACATAGTACTAAAATTTCTATCCAGAGAAATAAAGCAGGAGAAATAAATAAACAGCATCCAAATTGAAAAAGAGAAAGTCAAATTGTTTCTTTCATGATAATATGATCTGTACCCATAAAACCCTAAAGACTCTTCCAAAAGGCTCCTGGACTTGATAAATGACTTTAGTATAGTCTCAGGTTACAAAATAATTGTACACAAATCAGTGGCACTGTCATACACTTACAATGACCAAGCTGAGAATGAAATAAAAAACTCGATCCCTTTTACAATAGCTACAAAAAATACCTAGGAATACACTTAACTGAGGAGGTTAAAGATCTCTACAAGGAAAACTACAATACGTTGCTGAGGGAAATCATAGATGACACAAACAAGTGGAAACACCTCCCATGCTCTTGAATTGGAAGAATCAATATTGCAAAAATGACCACAGTGCCCAAGGCAATCTACCAATTCAGTGCCATTCATATCAATATACTACCATTATTTTTCACAGATTTAGAAAAAAATCCTAAAATTTATATGGAACCAAAAAAGAGCCTGAATAGCCAACACAATCCTAAGCAAAAAGAACAGTGATGGAAGCATTACATTACCTGATTCCAAATTATACTACAAGGCTATTGTAACCAAAACAGCAATGTATTGGAATATAAGCAGAATGGAAAAGATAAACCAGAAATAAAGCCAAATGCTCAGAATCAACTAATCTTTGACAAAGCATTCAAAAACCTAAAGTGGGGAAAGGACACCCTCGTAAATAAATGGTGCTAGGAAAATTGGATAGCCACATGCAGAAGAATCTTGATCCCTATTTCTTACCATTTACAAAAATTAACTCAAAATGAATTAAAGACTTAAATATAACACCCCAAACTATAACCATTCTAGAAGAAAATCTAGGGAAAACTCTTCTGAACATTGGCCTAGGCAAATAATTTATGACTAAGATCCCAAAAGCAAATGCAAATAAAAAACCAAATATAAATAAATGAGACCCAATTAAACAAAAAAGCTTTCCTGGGTGACTGGACAAGAATTAGACAAGTAAAAGGAGGGGTGTATTAAAGCCAATGAGCATAGCTAAGTAAGAAAAATGCCCTGAGAAACATATAATTATGTGAATTGTGAATGGTCAAAAACAGAAGGAAAAAATAAAAAAAGAAAACAGAGCAGAGATGAGGAGAGCATTGGACCAGTTTCCTGGTCTAAAACGCAAGATCCACGAAGTTACAAAACAGTTTGTTCAGCTAGGACTATGGGACAGGCAGGAAACAGCTCATCTTGCTCAATCATGGATTGGTCAAAGGATATGTGTGACTGAAGCAAGTGTTAGAAGGTCTGTCCCCAAGCAGTTGCAGCTGTAGGAGGAAGTGTGCCCAGAAGGGATGACTGTGTCCAGCAGGGAGACCTTTGTTTCCACTGCTCCTCAGAGCCAGCTTGCTGTGACAAAGACACTTTCCTCTTTGTGCAAGTGGCACAAGGCACAAAGCAGCTTTGCTACTTTTTCCAATTGAAAACCACGATAAGATCCTTTGCAAAACTCTTCAAGAAGGCAGTGGTGGCTTTGATCTTTCTAGTGGACAGAAGCTGCCATGTAGAATCTCCCCTAACTCTTTTCCTCACACTTGCCCAGCAAGAGAGCATAGACTTCTTGGCCCATCAAGGTAGACAGAGTCCTCTTCTGAATATGATCTGCCCTTAGACCTAGATCTTAGGCCCACAGCAATGTAAGACACAAGACTTCCTCATTCTCCTCAAGTGAGTACACAGTTTTTCTTAAGTGGAGATTCTAAACCTGGAATCCATGGAGAGCTATAGAGAGTTACAAATCCCATGAAACTAAAAAATATTTGATATGTGTGTACATTTTTTCCAGATGTACATGGCTTTTATCAGATCCTCTAAGGGAGTCATGGCCTAAAAATATTAATAATCACACATCCAGGGAAAGAGCAAGGTACAGAGGTGTAATGGCTGTAATGAAGTGAAGTTGGAGGTATTCCTCATTCTTGGGAAAAGACTCCTATAAGTTTAATTTATATTGTTTTAGTCAGGCACTAGCAAAATGAAGTGAAAATTTGTCTTCAACTACTTTCAATGCCTTTTTTTTTTAACACTGGTTTTGATTAGCTGAACAACATGTCTTGAGGGCTGGCTATATGGCAGGCCCTATACTAAGCACTTGAGGATACAGAGATGAATAAGGCACCATCTCTGCCATTAAGCAACTCAAGTTGTGCTGGGAAATATACAAATAATTCATTTTAATACAGCTTGGTAAGCACAATGCTAGAGAAATGTAGAGGGTGCTATAGATATTTCAATGAAAGAGCAAGTGCAACAGTCTACGAGATAGATGTTATTATTCTATATTATCATATGAAAAAACTGAGGTTCAATTGGGTTAAGTGACCTGCCCTTAACTTCTCAGTTACCTGGATTATCAGTGCACTAAAACCCAGGTCTTTTGACTACAAGTATAGTTCAATCCTTTTCTCTCCACACTACAGCTTGTGACTATAGAAAAACTGCTGTTGGCAGGAAAGCAGTTCCCAATGGCAAGAGAGATAATTGAGGACTCAAGTGTAGTAGCAGTGTGGTGACAGTTAAAGATTTCATATGATCTACCCTTGAGAAACAGCTGTTGATCATATGAATACAGAATGAGAATGGAGACAGAAAAAGTTGAAGCCCAAGGCAAAGTTTCTCAGTTTTGGGGGATACTATTGGAGTTCTTCCTTGCCCGATATATTATTGTCACAGAATCCTTGGGGTGTCGCTTCACCAGCCAGAAACCTCTGTGACCAATGGTGCCTTCTGCCTGAGTATTGCTCCTGCATGCTGGGCTCATTCCACCTACTCAGCCCAGCAGGCTGTGCTTCACTTACGCTACTGGCCCAGATCCTACATGTGTGAAGGGTGAACCAGGCACTAAGTGGCAAGAGGAGTGTGGGCAAGCAAGTGTGGGGTCCAGCCACTGCACACAGCCAGGCACACCAGCTGCTGTGGTGGGGAAGGCAGCTCCAGGTGCCAGCACAGGTGCCAGCTCCATGTGAGGGTGTGGCTGGACCAGATATACACACACGGTTTCTGCTGTGGGCACCCATATCTGGACAAGGGGAATGCAGTGGCACCTGGAAGCTTGGAGATGCCTAGGACTGCAGAGCCCCAAAGAGGGTGTCACAGCCCTGGCTCAGGGAGCCCCTAGGTCTGGGCTCCTTGAAGGGCCACAGCACTTCTCTCCTCATCACCCACATGGTAAGTGGGGGGGTACATGTTTCAATCCTGTTTGTGGTACAGCTCTTTCAGTCTTTGCCATTTGGCAGGTCCCAAGTTATTGTCCCACATCGAGGAAGAATGAGGTACTTGGACAACTGGAGGGTGAGCAAGGTGGAGAGGTGGAGAGGAGCTTCATTGAGTGACAGAACAGATCTCAGGAGAACCACAGTGGGTAGCTCCTTTCTGCAGGCTGGTTGTCCCAACAAGTGTCCAGCTCTCAGCTCAGAGGAGACCCAAAGTGGGTAGCTCCTTCCCACAGCTGGTGGTCCCAACATCTGGCTGAGTCTGGCTGAGTCCGGGGTGTTTATAGGCTCAGAAGGGAGGAAGTGTGTGCTGATTGGTCCATGGGTGGCCATGGGTGGCCATGGGTGGGCCCAGAAAAAGCACCATAAATTCTCACTCTGGGCCATGGACTCCACCTAGAACTAGCAGTCTGGCCCCCAAGCTTCAGGCCATCCCTGGCTTGAAGGTGGAGTTTAACCAGGGACCCATCCCTTTCCTCCCAGGAGCCTGTCTGCCTCTTGCCACCATCAACATGGCTGTTCATACTGAGGAGCACCTGAAAGCCCATTCCAAGCTGCCTTCAGCCCCCCCTCAGCCTCCCTTCCATGCTTGTCGGCACCCAAAGTCCAGAGGGGGCCAATGTGGCAGGGAGCTGGCACGTCAGTGCTGTCCTGAGTATGTGTACACCCAGCCAGGTTGCAACACCACTTAGGCTTGGCCACAACTTTGCTCCACCCCAGAGTGGGCGCTGGGAGTGGGGAGAGGCCAGGGAGTGGGAGCAGGCACAAGCCTGCAGGGGCAGGGGGGCTTCCCAGGCCCCTGAGAGTGCAGGGATACCCAGATCTCGAGCTGCAGCTGGGCAGTTGCAGCTATGCCTGGGAATACAGGGCTCCCCCCTGTTTCCAGCCCCCTGCTGGCTCCCCGGAGCACACAGACCCAGCTGCACCTTCCCTGCTGCAGCCAGAATGTTCACATCAGCCACTCCAGATGGGCTGCAATTGCCATCATTATCAAAAACTGTTTCTTAGGGCTTTATCACAGTTTTAGGCCTCATGACTGCATGCTGTATATTACCTTACCAAAGCCAGATCTATATGAGCACTGCAGTGTCACTGAGATAGATGATAAAGATGATTTTAGACAACTCAGTTTCCAGCATAAAACTTTTAATTTAACTTGTGAAACGTGAATTGGTCTCTCTACTACCTGTTGCTAAACTGGAGTGCACATTCAAATGGAAATTGAACTTTAAAAAGAGCTCACATTTTATCAACAATTGATTAATCTCTGTTGAATAATTTTGTGACACACACTTTCAAGTTGCATAGTGCAATTATAGGCTGGATTATCAACCAACTGACAGTTGTCTAAAGTCAATAGTCCAAGTCAGATGGAATTCTGAGAGCAAATAGTGCACGTTATATACTGTTTACTGTTAAAAAATAAAGTTGTTTTATTAGCTGAATGTTAGAGCTTTTAAAATGTTTCCCAAGAAGTTGTCTGGTTTTAGAAAATCACATATGATAAATAAGTACTAAATAATTTGTTTTGAAATACAGAGACATAAAAAATGTATTAGCAAAAAATATATTATCATTTCCAAAATGCTGAATTAATGTTTGAAGAACGTTGGCTTGGTAGGAAATTAAATAATTACCCTGCCTATGTTAAACACATATCTCTCCTTAGTCTGGCAGTAACATTTCCTGGTATTCCATTTAAGGGCTATGGCAATTACTTATAATTCAATTAAACTAATTTAATGAATATTAGAGAACGATTATAATCTAGGTACTGCTTTAGGTACTTAGGCTATAACAGTGAACAAAACCAAGTCCCTGTCCTAAGAAAAGTCAAACTTTAGGGGGATAGACAAAACATAAACAAACAAAAAAAGTTTATTACTGTTTCAGATAGTGAATTTTTTAAAAAATAGAAAAACAGTGTAAATGGTTAGAGAGTAATGAGAGGAATAGAGTATTTTCCATGGTCAGAACATATTTCTCTGAGGAGGTGACATTTAGGTAAATACTTTAATAAAATGAAAGAGCAGGAGGGGGAGCCAAGTTGGCCGAATAGGAAAAGCTCCAGTCTACAGCTCCCAGCATGAGCGACGCAGAAGACGAACGATTTCTGCATTTCCACCTGAGGTACCAAGTTCATCTTACTGGGGATTGTCAGACAGTGGGTGCAGCACAACGAGTGTGAGCTGAAGCAGGGCGAGGCATCACCTCACCCAGGAAGCACAAGGGGTCAGGGAATTCCCTTTTCTCGCCAGGGAAAGGGGTGACAGACGGCACCTGGAAAATTGGGTCACTCCCACCCTAATACTGCACTTTTCCAATGGTCTTAGCAAAAAGCACACCAGGAGATTGTATCCCGTGCCTGGCTAGGAGGGTCCTACACCCACGGAACCTCGCTCATTGCTAGCACAGCAATGAGAGATCAAACTGCAAGGCAGCAGTGAGGCTGGGGGAGGGGCGCCCACAATTGCCTAGACTTGAGTAGGTACACAAAGCGGCCAGGAAGCTCTAACTGGGTGGAGCCCGCCACAGCTCAAGGAGGCCTGCCTGCCTCTGTAGACTCCACCTCTGGGGGCAGGGCATAGCCAAACAAAAGGCAGCAGAATCCTCTGCAGACTTAAATGTCCCTGTATGACAGTTTTGAAGAGAGTTGTGGTTCTCCCAGCACACAGCTTGAGATCTGAGAAGGGACAGACTGCCTCCTCAAGTGGGTCCCTGACCCCCAAGTAGCCTAACTGGGAGGCACCCCCAAGGAGGGACAGAATAACACCTCACAATGCTGGGTACTCCTCTGAGACAAAAGTTCCAGAGGAACAATCAGGCAGCAACATTTGCTGTTCACCAGTATCTGCTGTTCTGCACCCTCTGCTGCTGATACCCAGGCAAACAGGGTACAGAGTGGACCTCCAGCAAACTCTAACAGACCTGCAGCTGAGGGTCCTGACTGTAGAATGAAAACTAACAAACAGAAAGGACATCCAAACCAAAACCCCATCTATCACCATGATCAAAGACCAAAGGTAGATAAAACCACAAAGATGGGGAAAAAACAGAGCAGAAAAACTGGAAACTCCAAAAACCAGAGCGCCTCTCCTCCTCCAGAGGAATGCAGTTCCTCACCAGCAATGGAACAAAGCTGGACGGTGAATGACTTTGACGAGTTGACAGAAGAAAGCTTCACACGACCAAACTACTCTGAGCTAAAGGAGGAAGTTCGAACCCATGGCAAAGAAGTTAAAAACCTAGAAAAAAGATTAGACGAAAGGCTAACTAGGATAACCAATGCAGAGAAGTCCTTAAAGGACATGATGGAGCTGAAAACCATGGCACGAGAACTACGTTATCAATGCACAAGCCTCGGGAGCCAATTAGATCAACTGGAAGAAAGGGTATCAGTGATGGAAGATGAAATGAATGAAATGAAGTGAGAAGAGAAGTTCAGAGAAAAAAGAATAAAAAGAAATGAACAAAGCCTCCAAGAAATATGGGACTATGCAGAAAGACCAAATCTACATCTGATTCGTGTACCTGAAAGTGACAGGGAGAATGGAACCAAGTTGGAAAACAATCTGTGGGATATTATACAGCAGAACTTCCCCAATCTAGCAAGGCAGGCCAACATTCAGATTCGGGAAACAGAGACAGCATCACAAACATACTCCTCTAGAAGAGCAACTCCAAGACACATAATTGTCAGATTCACCAAAGTTGAAATGAAGGAAAAAATGTTAAGGGCAGCCAGAGAGAAAGGTCGGGTTACCCACAAAGGGAAGCCCATCAGACTAACAGCTGATCTCTCGGCAGAAACTCTACAAGCCAGAAAAGAGTGGGGGCCAATATTCAACATTATTAAAGGAAAGAATTTTCAACCCAGAAGTTCATATCCAGCCAAACTAAGCTTCATAAGTGAAGGAGACATAAAATACTTCACAGACAAGCAAATGCTGAGAGATTTTGTCACCACCAGGCCAGTCCTAAAACAGCTCCTGAAGGAAGCAGTAAATGTGGAAAGGAACAACCGGTACCAGCCACTGCAAAAACATGCCAAATTGTAAAGACCATCAAGGCTAGGAAGAACCTACATTAACTAATGAGAAAATAACCAGCTAACATCATAATGACAGGATCAAATTCACACATAAAAATATGAACCTTAAATGTAAATGGGCTAAATGCTCCAACTAAAAGACACAGACTAGCAAATTGGATAAAGAGTCAAGACCCATCAGTGTGCTGTATTCAGGAAACCCATCTCACATACAGAGACACACATAGGCTCAAAATAAAGGGATGGAGGAAGATCTACCAAGCAAATGGAAAACAAAAAAAGACAGGGGTTGCAATCCTAGTCTCGGATAAAACAGACTTTAAACCAACAAAGATCAAAAGAGACAAGGAAGACCATTACATAACGGTAAAGGGATCAATTCAAGAAGAAGACCTAACTATCTGAAATATATATGCACCCAATACAGGAGCACCCAGATTCATAAAGCAAGTTCTTAGTGACCTACAAAGAGACTTAGATTCCCACACAATAATAGTGTGTCACTTTAACACCCCACTGTCAACATTAGAAAGATAAATGAGACAGAAAGTGAACAGGGATGTCTAGGAAATGAACTCAGCTCTGCACCAAGTGGACCTAATAGACATCTACAGAACTCTACACCCCAAATCAACAGAATATACATTCTTTTCAGCACCACACCACACCTATTCCAAAATTCACCACATAGTTGGAAGTAAAGCACTCCTCAGCAAATGTAAAAGAACAGAAATTATAACAAACTGTCTCTCAGACCACAGTGCAATCAAACTAGAACTCAGGATTAAGAAACTCACTAGAAACCACTCAACTACATGGAAACTGAACAACCTGCTCCTGAGTGACTACTGGGTACATAACGAAATGAAGGCAGAGATACAGATGTTCTTTGAAACCAACGAGAACAAAGACACAACATACCACAATCTCTGGGACACATTCAAAGCAGTGTGTAGAGGGAAATTTGTAGCACTAAATGCCCACAAAAGAAAGCAGGAAAGATCTAAAATTGACACCCTAACATCACAATTAAAAGAACTGGAGAAGCAAGAGCAAACACATTCAAAAGCTAGCAGAAGGCAAGAAATAACTAAGATCAGAGCAGAACTGAAGGAAATAGAGACACAAAAAACCCTTAAAAAAATCAGTGAATCCAGGAGCTGGTTTTGTGAAAAGATCAACAAAACTCATAGACCACTAGCAAGACTAATAAAGAAGAAAAGAGAGAAGAATCAAATAGATGCAATAAAAAATGATACAGGGGATATCACCACTGATCCCACAGAAATACAAACTACCATCAGAGAATACTATAAACACTTGTATGCAAATAAGCTAGAAAATCTAGAGGAAATGGATAAATTCCTCGACACATACAGCCTCCCAAGACTAAACCAGGAAGAAGTTGAATCTCTGAATAGACCAATAACAGGCTCTGAAATTGAGGAAATAATTAATAGTTTAGCAACAAAAAAAAGTTCAGGACCAGATGGATTCACAGCTGAATTCTACCAGAGGTACAAGGAGGAGCTGGTACCAGTCCTTCTGAAACTATTCCAACCAATAGAAAAAGAGGGAATCCTCCGTAACTCATTTTATGAGGCCAGCATCATCCTGATACCAAGCCTGGCAGAGACACAACAAAAAAAGAGAATTTTAGACCAATATCCCTGATGAACATCGATGCAAAAATCCTCAATAAAATACTGGCAAACTGAATCCAGCAGCACATCAAAAAGCTTATCTACAATGATCAAGTGGGCTTCATCCCTGGGATGCAAGCCTGGTTCAACATATGCAAATCAATAAACATAATCCAGCATATAAACAGAATCAATGACAAAAACCACATGATTATCTCAATAGATGCAGAAAAGGCCTTCAACAAAATTCAACAACGCTTCATGCTAAAAACTCTCAATAATTTCGGTATTGATCAGATGTATCTCAAAATAATAAGAGCTATCTATGACAAACCCACAGCTAATATCACATTGAATGGGCAAAAACTGGAAGCATTCCCTTTGAAAACTGGAACAAGACAGGGATGCCCTCTCTCACCACTCCTATTCAACGTAGGGTTGGAAGTTCTGGCCAGGGCAATCAGGCAGGAGAAAGAAATAAAGGGCATTGAATTAGGAAAAGAGGAAGTCAAATTGTCCCTCTTTGCAGATGACATGATTGTATATCTAGAAAACTCCATTGTCTCATCCCAAAATGTCCTTAAGCTGATAAGCAACTTCAGCAAAGTCTCAGGATACAAAATCAATGTGCAAAAATCACAAGCATTCTTATACACCAATAACAGACAAACAGGGAGCCAAATCATGAGTGAACTCCCATTCACAATTGCTTCAAAGAGAATAAAATACCTAGGAATCCAACTTACAAGGGATGTGAAAGACCTCTTCAAGGAGAACTACAAACCACTGCTCAATGAAATAAAAGAGGATACAAACAAAGGGAAGAACATTCCATGCTCATGGGTAGGAAGGATCAATATGGTGAAAATGGCCATACTGCCCAAGGTAATTTATAGATTCAATGCCATCCCCATCAAGCTACCAATGACTTTCTTCACAGAATTGGAAAAAACTACTTTAAAGTTCATATGGAACCAATAAAGAGCCCACATTGCCAAGTCTATCCTAAGCCAAAAGAACAAAGCTGGAGGCATCACGCTACCTGACTTCAAACTATACTACAAGCCTACAGTAACCAAAACAGCATGGTACTGGTACCAAAACAGAGATATAGACAAATGGAACAGAGCAGAGCCCTCAGAAATAAGGCCGCATATGTACAACTATCTGATCTTTGACAAACGTGACAAAAACAAGCAATGGGGAAAGGATTCACTATGCAATAAATGGTGCTGGGAAAACTGGCTAGCCATATGTAGAAAGCTGAAACTGGATCCCTTCTTTACACCTTATACAAAAATTAATTCAAGATGGATTAAAGACTTAAATGTTAGACCTAAAACCATAAAAACCCTAGAAGAAAACCTAGGCAATACCATTCAGGACATAGGCATGGGCAAGGACTTCATGTCTAAAACACCAAAAGCAATGGCAACAAAAGACAAAATTGACAAATGGGATCTAATTAAACTAAAGAGCTTCTGCACAGCAAAAGAAACTACCATCAGAGTGAACAGGCAACCTACAGAATGGGAGAAAATTTTTGCAATCTACTCATCTGACAAAGGGCTAATATCCAGAATCTACAATGAACTCAAACAAATTTACAAGAAAAAAACAAACAACCCCATCAAAAAGTGGGTGAAGGACATGAACAGACACTTCTCAAAAGAAGACATTTATGCAGCCAAAAAACACATGAAAAAATGCTCATCATCACTGGCCATCAGAGAAATGCAAATCAAAACCACAATGAGATACCATCTCATACCAGTTAGAATGGCAATCATTAAAAAGTCAGGAAACAACAGGTGCTGGAGAGGATGTGGAGAAATAGGAACACTTTTACACTGTTGGTGGGACTGGAAACTAGTTCCACCATTGTGGAAGTCAGTGTGGCGATTCCTCAGGGATCTAGAACTAGAAATACCATTTTACCCAGCCATCCCATTACTGAGTGTATACTCAAAGAATTATGAATCATGCTGCTATAAAGACACATGCCCAAGTATGTTTATTGCGGCACTATCCACAATAGCAAAGACTTGGAACCAACCCAAATGTCCAACAATGGTAGACTGGATTTCATGCACCATGAAATACTATGCAGCCATAAAAAAGGATGGGTTCATGTCCTTTGTAGGGACATGGATGAAGCTGGAAACCATCATTCTCAGCAAACTATCTCAAGAACAAAAAACCAAACACCACATGTTCTCACTCATAGGTGGGAGTCGAACAATGAGAACACGTGGACACAGGAAGGGGAACATCACACCCTGGGGCCTGTTGTGGGGTGGGGGGAATGGTGAGGGATAGCATTAGAAGATATATCTAATGTTAAATGACAAGTTAATGGGTGCAGCACACCAACATGGCACATGTAACAAACCTGTACATTGTACACATGTACCCTGAAACTTAAAGTTTAGTAAAAAAAAAAAAAAGTATGAATTATAGTAACCTTCTTAAAAATAAAAAATAAAAAGAAAGAGCAAGGCATGTGAATATTTGAGAAACGAGTGATCCATGTAGAGGGAACATCAAGTCCAAAGCCCTGATGCAGAGCAAGAGCATTTAAAGAACAGCAAGGAGAACATTGTGGATAGAATTCAGTAGGCCTGGGAGGGAGTAGTAGGTGAGATAAAAATAATAGGTCATGTTGGTCCTTTTATGTCTTATAAAAAATTATGAATGTGTTCTAAGTGTGATGAGAGGTCATCTGAGAGGATTTTTGTTTGTTTGGGGATTGTGTGTGTGCATGCACGCATGTGTCTCTGCTTTGCTTTTCTGTTAATTGTTAAAACATTTTTATAATAGAAAGTTTCAAATATAAACACAAAAGTAGAATCATATAATGAACTCCCTTGTACTTGTCATTTTTAATACTTATTAAGTCACGGTCTCTCTTGTTTCATCTATACACCCACCTAACTGCCTACAGATCCAAATTTGGAAGCAAATTCCGCACTTGCTATCCTTTCATACATAAACATTTCAGCATTTATATTTGAAAGGTAAGGATCATCTGAGAGTTTTCAGCAGGGGTGTGTTAAGTAAGTTACTATGAGGATGAAATGAGATAATGTAAATAAAATGCCTCATGCATAGTGGGTGCTCTCCAAATAGCAGTTATTATCATTATTACTCTGGCAGGATACTGAATGAAGTTGAAATCTTGAATGACATTGGGACCAGAATGGCTAATAAGGGTGGATACAGAACTAGGTTTCAGATCGGGTGGCAGATAAGCCAGCCAGGAGCCAGGTATGGCAGAGACTGGATAGGGATGGATCCAGATCAGGCAAAGAAGCTATTACCACTAGGGCTATCACACAGAGCCAGTTCTCCAAGGAAAGCCGCAGACAGCCAGGGACATCTCAGCGCTAAGTTCCCTCAGTACCACAATGAGTATCTCTGCTTAAATGAATCCTTAGGAAGGCATGACCATGGAGCTTTCTGTTGACCCTTCCCAGGTTCACTGTGGCCAGGGATTTGTAGAGACTCCAATGCCTGATGACATTTTGGTGGTCCAGAGTTTCAGTTTCTGGGGAGTTAATTAAGCAATCTTCTCCTTAGCATCTCTCTGAGCCAGGTGTTCCAGATTCATCTCACTGTGGATCTACAACTGGATCAACTTTTATTAATAGTATTAATATCTACTATGATTGAGTACCAAATATGTGCCAAGCATTGTTAGGGAGCTTTAGATACATTATTTCATCTCTTTCTCCTCACAGCCTTGTGAAGCTGGTATGGTGGTGGTGTTACCATTTTATTGATGAGGAAATTGAGGCTCAGAGAGGTTAAGAGACTTATTCAAAATAATGCATCTAGAAAGTGTAAAGTTGGTCTGTTTGACTTTAATGCCAATCTTTTTACTTCTACACCAGGTTACTTTAGAGAAAAATCACTGTGTTTTCCATGTTCAGACATATATGTAGCTCTTGCCAATCTGGGCCACTGAAAGTTGTACCCCACCTACTCCATTAAGTATGTAGCAGAAGAAAGACCAACTTTCTTCCTTTGGGGGTTTCAGACTCTAGTCCCCAAGGGCTCTGCCTAAGAAAGCATGGCTAGAGGCAGAGAAAGTGTCTGGAGTGGAAAAGTATGAAGCATGCATAACTTTGGCCATCTTTTCCTTACCAGAGAACAGTCTCAGAGTAAGACAATGTGTCCTGCCTCAGATTATGTGTCTTGCCTCAACATGAAATGAACTGATGTTATCCTCAAATGCCCCCAGCTACAAAATGCTTTTGTCTTGCTGAAAGTTTCAGGAGTTACCTTAGAAATCTGGCTCAGAAAATCATCAAGCTGCAGGCTCAAGCACTGTAACCTACCCGCTCCAACTGAGAATGTAAAAAAATGTGACTACACAGAAATCTAAAAGCTATTAACTAAAGCTAGATTTATTCTCAATCTCAGTTCATGCAGCATTTCTCTCTCTCTCTCTCTCCTCTCTTTCTCCCCTCTCTGTCTCCTCTCTCTCTTTCTCTCTCTCTCTAGCACAGAGACCATCTAGAGCAGAAGCCTTTTTTCACTGATTCATCATGGATTCTGTGACATGTCAGGCACTGTACTATGTTGTGCGGAGTCAGTGAGGGAGGAAAAACAGACATGTTTATGCCCTCAAGGAGTTTCCAGCCTAGTGAGACCTTTTTTGCAAGCAGACTATCTTCAGTATAGGCTTGTTGAACATATGAAAGGAAATTGAAAACAACTTGAGCTAAATCAGCCTCAATACTGTGAGGCAGATTTAGCTTTAACCTCATCTAGAAATAACGTGTCTGTCCAGATCTGTTCACTTTAATCTGACATTCCCGGGCTATACAGGGTGCATACAGGGTGCAGTCATCTCCTTCTCTAAGATCTTTTCTGTTACTCTAGCAGTACAGCAGTAGAGGATAGTGGGACACAATAAACTGCCTTGGACTTAAGTCTCAGTTCTGTCACTCACTAACCATGTGACTTGTGGGCAAATAACCTAACCTCTCTGTGCCTCAGTTTTATCATCCATAATAAAACCTAATTAATGGAAGTTTTGAGGATTAGAGTTAAATATATGAATGCTTAGAAGTGTGCCTAATATATGGTAAGTAATCAATAAATGTTGGAAATTATAATTGTTACTCTGGAGCTACAATGAAGGGAGCTATTAAAATTTAGTTGTTTCCAACTGAGCCATTTGAAAGAAATTCAGTTTCCTGTTTTAATGTGATGAATATTTGTCTGCTTTCTCTTCTATACTGAGCTCAGTCTTTCCAGTCTCAAAAAGAGCATATATGTGGTATTCAAAATATATACTAGGCAATCTTTCACTCAGAAACTGTTGGTCAGACATTCTAAGAAATTTATTTTGGGATAAGACCAGGCCAAGTATGAATTTTTAAAGGAGTTATGAAAAGAAATACTTGCCTGGACATTTCTGCCATCTTATTGTTTTTCTTCCCTGCATCACTTCTTTCCTTTATCACTGTCCACTCTTCATGTCCAGTGGATGTGGCTTCTGCCTCCTCCGCTCCAAAGCAACTTAATTGTCAAATTAAAATAAAGAATTGCCAGCATACAAACTGAGTCTATGTGTTATTACATTCTCACACAGCTATAAAGAAATACATGAGACTGGGTAATTTATAAAGAAAAGAGGTTTAATTGGCTCATGATTTTGCAGGCTGTACAGGAATCACTGTGGCATCTGCTTCTGAAGAGGCCTCAGGGAGCTTTTACTCATGGAAGGAGGCAAAGCAGAAGCAGGTGTCTTACATGGCAGGAGCAGGAGGAATAAAGAGAGCGGGGATGTGCCACACATTTTTAAACAACCAGATCTTGTGAGAACTCACTATCACAACAGTACCAAGGGGATGGTGTTAAACCAATCATGAGAAACCGCCCCCACTATCCAACACCTTCCACCAGACCCCACCTCCAACATTGGGGATTGATTAAAATTTGACACAACATTTGGGAAGGGACATAGATCCAAACCATGTTAGATTATTCCTAGGTCATAGCTGACGCTGACTCAATCTTTCTACAGCATATGACTATGTTGACCAACTAATTTATTGTTTATCTTTTCTTCCTTGAGGAAATAAAAGAGGAATAAGATTTAACACTTAGCATGTGCTAAGAGGTTTATACCTATAATTTTATTTAATTCTCACACCTTTAAGGTATTAACCCAACATTGCAAATAATGATACAGATTCTGAGAAGTTAAAATGAATTTGCCTGAGGCTACACAGCTGTATGTTATCGCATCCAGAGAAGATTGGTTTATGCAGTAGAAGGAACCATGATTCTGATTGAGACACTTCAAATTCTGGCTCCACCATAACTAGGTTTGTGACCTGAGAAAGTACCTGAATTCTATTTGTTCCAATTCTTCACTTGTAAAATTGAGAGAAGAATAGTATCTACCTCAGAATACTTATGAAGTTTACATGAGATAATTATGCTTATAAAAGTTAAACAGTCAGTAGTCAGGCACTTGAGGACCCAGACTGTTTCTCAGGTAACCAGCTCTTTGCTGCCATCGCCTGACAAATCTAGTGGTTTTAAGGAATAGTGAGCAATTGGAACAAGCAGATTTTCTTAAAAGTAAAATTGTCTGTAAACTCCCTACCTGAAGAGCCACTAAATTCAAGGCTCTGATCTTGCATTGAATTCAGTATAACATTTTAGACCCCACTTATTACACTAAAGATATTCTACTAAATTGAAATAGGTAATGAAGGCCATGATCCCAAATAATTCAGACAGTAGACAATCATGTAGAGTTTTAGAGCAGAGCTGAAACTGTTGAGTACTGTGCTTTCAGAAAATTAAATCCACCTAATCAGTCATAAGAAAGAAATAAAAGAGGGAGAGCCTAGAGACAAAGAGACTAGGCAGGAGGTAAATGAATCATATAAGTCAATGTTATTCACTGTCAGCTGCAATTCTGAGAGCCATCTGAGTGGAATGCAACCATATAGTCCCATTTTTGTAAAAAGAATAATTATCATCATATTACCCAGTGGAAGCTCATGATGATGTTCAGTTCCTCCTTTTTTCACCTTAATGATCCCTCCCTACAATCCAGTTAGTCACCAAGGCATGTCCATTCTGTCTGCAATGTCTCTCCCAACTCTTCTTTATTTACAAATTCCCTTTCCACCACATTTTCAGATTACTTATCCTGTAACTACAACAGAGGCTTTCAAACTGAATGTAATACATGTAAGAACAACATTTCACATCAAAACCAAACACACACAGACATACACACACACAGCAAAAGTTTCACAGAAATGATATGCCTTGCTTCATGTGGTGTATACTGATATTTTCTAGTTTAATGTAGTCTATTTTTTTGTTTAATTTTTTTTTTTTTTTTTTTTGAGACGGAGTTTTGCTCTTGTACAAGCTGGAGTGCAATGGCACGATCTCGGCTCACTGCAACCTCCGCCTCCTGGCTTCAAGCAATTCTCCTGCCTCAGCCTCCGAGTAGCTGGGATTACAGGCACCCACAACCAGGCCCGGCTAATTTTTTGTATTTTTAGTAAAGACGGGGTTTGGCCATGTTGGCCAGGCTGGTCTCAAACTCCTGACCCCAGGTGATCTACCCGCCTTGGCCTCCCAAAGTGCTGGGATTACAGACGCGAGCTACTGCGCCCAGCCTATTTTGTTTTTCTTAAACATAGTAATGATGTTCCATGAAATTAGATGCAGTTAGGACATTTAGGTATGAACACTTAATTAAGTTTGTCTAAGGTCACTCAGAAAGTAAGTGGTTATGATGGGATTCTAAGCCAGATTTGTCTGACCACAAAATCTGCTTTCTTAGCCACTGCATTGACTTTTCTCCAACTTCATTCAGTCCTGTTAACTTTCATGATGTTTTTCTTTTTAAAAAATTTGTGTAAATTTAGGGGTACAAGTGCAATTGTGTTACATGCATTCATTGAGTAGTGGGAAAGTATTGGGTTTTATTGTATCCATCAACCAAATAACATATATTGTACTCATTAAGTAATTTCTCATTACCCTCTGTCCTTCCACCCCCACTTTCCAGTCTCCAATGTATATCACTCGATACTCTGTCATTGTGTGCACATTATTTAGCTCCCACTTATAAGTGAAAACTTATGGTATTTGACTTTCATTTTCTGAGTTGTTTCACTTGAGATAATGACCCCCAGTTCCATCCATGTTGCTGCAAAAGATATTTCATTGTTCTTATGGCTGAATAGTATTCCACTGGGTATATATATATGCCACTTTTTCTTTGTCCAGTCATCCAATGATGAACACTTGGGTTGATTCCATATCTTTGCTATTATGAACAGTGCTTTGATAAATGTATGAGTCAGGTATCTTTTTGATACAGTGACTTTTTTTTTCTTTTGTGTATATACCTGGTAGAGGGATTGCTGGATCAAATGGTAGTTCAATTTTCACTTCTTTGACAAATCTCCATGCTGCTTTCCATAGAGGTTGTACTAATGTGAATTTCCTAACAGTGTATAAGTATTTCTCTTTCTTTGCATCCTCACCAACATCTGTTATTTTTTGACTTTTCTAATTATAGCCATTCTTACTGGTATAAATGATTTTGTGGTTTAAATTTGCATTTCTGTGATGTTTAGTGATGTTGACCATTTTGCATATGTTCATGGGCCATTTGTATGTTTTCTTTGAAAAAATGCCTACTCATGTCCTTTGCCCACTGTTTAATGGGGTTGTTTTTGTTGTTGGGTTCCTTATAAATTGTAAATATTAGTCCCCTGTTGGATGGATATTTGCAAATATTTTATCTCATTTTGCAGGGCATCTGTTCACTCTATTGATTATTTCTTTGGCTATGCAGAAGCTTATTAGTATAATTAAATCCTATTTGTCTGTTTTTCTTTTTCTTGCATTTGATTTTGGGGTCTCCATTATAAATTCTTCACCTAGGCCAATGTCCATAAGTTTTTCCTGGGTTTTCTTCTAGGACTTTTATAGTTTCAGGTCTTATATTTAAGTCTTTAATCCATCTTCGTTAATTTTTGTATATGGTGAGAGATAGGGATCCAGCTTCATCCTTCTGCATATGGATATCCAATTTCCCAGGAGCATTTATTGAAAGGATGTCCTTTACCCAGTATGTTTTTGTCAACTTTGTGAAAGGTCAGTTGGTTGTATATATGTGGCTTTATTTCTGTATTCTCTATTCTGTTCCATTGACCTGTGTGTCTATTTTTATACCAGCACTAGGCTGTTTGGGTTACTATGGACTTGTAGTATAATTTGAGGTCAGGTAATGTGATGCTTCCAGCTTTGTTCTTTTGCTTAGGTTACTTTGGTTTCAGCCTCCTTTTTGGTTCCATGAAAATTTTAGGATTTTTTTCCAATCCTGTGGCAAATGATATTGACATTTTTATAGAGATTGCATTGAATCTGTAGATTGTGTCGGACAGTATGATCATTTTAACAATATTAATTCTTCTAATTCATGAGCATGGGATGTTTTTGCATCTTTTTTGTGTTATCTACAGTTTCTTTCATCTGTGTTTTGTAGTTTTCCTTGTAGAGATCCTTCCCCTCCTTAGTTAAATATATTCCTGAGTATTTTTTTTTTTTTGGTAGCTATTGAAAATAGTATTGCCTTCTTGATTTGGTTCTCAGCTTCATCATTATTGGTATATAGAAATGCTAGTAACTTTTGTACATATTCTATTCAGAAACTTTACTGAATTAATTTGTTAAATATAAACGGTTTTTGGTATAGCATTTAGGGTTTTTTAGATATAAGATCATGTCATCAGTGGACAGCAATAATTTGAATTCCTCTTTTCCAGTTTGGATGCCTATTATTTATCTTGCCTGATTTCTCTGGCTAGAGCTTCCAGTACTATCTTGAATAGAAGTGGTGAGAGTGGGCATCTTCTTGTCCAGTTCGTCAGGTGAACTTCTCCCCATTCGGTGTGATTTTGGCTGTGGGTTTGTTCCATACACCCTTTATTATTTTGAGGTCTGTTCCTTCTATACCTAGTTTGTTGAGAGTTTTTATCACACAGGGATGCAAAATTTTATCAAAGGCCTTTTTTGCATCCATTAAGATGATATGTTTGTTTGTTTGGTTGAGACAGGAACTGGCTCTGTCACCCAGGCTGGAGTACAATGGTGCGATCTCAGCTCGCTGCAACCTCCTCCTCCGAGGCTCAAACCATCCTCCCAACTCAGCCTCCCAAGTAGCTGGGACTACAGGCATGTGCCACCATGCCTGGCTGATTTTTGCATTTTTTTGTGGAGACGGGGTTTCGCCATGTTGCCCGGGCTGGTATCAAACTCCTGGGCTCAAGCAATCCTCCCACCTCAGCCTCCCAAAGTGCTGGGATTACAGGCATGAGCCACCACACCTGGACAATTATATGGTTTTTTGTCTTTTATTCTGTTTATGTTTAATTACATTTGTTGATTTGAGTATGTTTTTTTTCTTTCTTTTTTTTAAGAGACAAGGTCTCACTATGTTGCCCAGGCTGGTCTTCAACTCCTGAGCTCAAGTGATCCTCCCGCCGTGGCCTCCCAAAGTGCTAGGATTACAGGTGTGAGCCACCACGCCTGGCCTGATATGAGTATGTTGAACCATCCTTGCTTCCCTGGAATACAATCCATTTGATCATGGTGTATTATCTTTTGATGTGCAGCTGGACTCAGTTTGCTAGTATTTCATTGAGAAGCCAGGTCACATGGGTTCCAACTAAGGAAGACACTGAGAAGACATTGGTGCAAATCTAGAAGGATTATAACATCTATGACTGCATCAATAACCTTGCTTGGGCTTGGGATGATGTGACCAAGGAGTGTATGTATGGTATCTAGAAGAAGACACTCAAGAGGTTCATCTATGACTTCAAAGGATTTTCCAAGAATGGGGAGGCTGTAAAAATCAACAAGGCTATAGTTGAGATAGCAAGAAACTTTAACTTGGATGAGGATGAGGATGAGGATGAGGATGACTCTGAGGAGCTCCTAGAGTGGTTCCTGAAAAACTGACTAATGAGGAGTTATTAGAACTGGAACAGCAATGCATAGCTTCAGAAGAGGCAACAGAAAAGGAAACTGCAGGAAAATAAAAAAAAAGAACCCTCAAGAAAATCCACAGTGAAAGGTTTATCATAAGCTCTTGCAAACCTCAATGAACTCATTAAAGATTTTGAAAAGACAGAGAAAGATGTCCATGGTGTTCTATCTGCTTACAAATTTATGATGGAAAAAAAAAAGAAACAAACCAAGCAAATCGTCATAGACATATTTCTGAAGAGTGACACCTTCTCAAGGGCCTTGGGCAAGTACTTCAGGAGACATTCTAGAAGAAGCACTATTGTCATCGACGATGACATCTCCATGCATGTTTTTGAGCCTGAAGATCTTCCAATGGGACAAGATGTGGTGGTGAAAGACAGTGATATTGATGACCCTAATCCTGTGTAGACCTAGGCTAATGTGTGTGTTTGTGTCTTCATTTTTAACAAAAAAGTTTTTAAAGTTAAAAAAATAAAATAAGAAAAGCTTATAGAATAAGAGTATAAAGAAAGCAAATATTTTTGGACAGCTATATAGTGTTTTGGGTTTTAAGCTAAGTATTGTTACAGGAGAGTCAAAAAGTTAAAAAAAGTAAACAGCTTATAAAGTAAAAATGTTATAGAGAGCTAAAGTTAATTTATTATTGAAGAGGAAAATATTTTTTCATAAATTTAGTGTAGCCTAAATGTAGAGTATTTACAAAGTCTACCGTAGTGTGTAGAATGTCCTAAGCCTTCATGTTTACTCACCACTCACTCACTGACTCACCCAGAGCAACTTCCAGTTCTTCCAGTTCAATTTCCAGATTGCCAATACCACACATGGTAAGTGCCCTACACAGGTGTACCATTTTTTAACTTTTATACCATATTTTTACTATGTTTAGATGTTAAAATGCACAAATACTTACCATTGCATTACAATTGCCTACCGTATTCAGTACCGTAACATGCAGGTTTGTAGCATAGAACAATAGGCTGTACCATAAAGCCTAGATGGGTAGCAGGCTATTCAATCTAGATTTGTGTAAGTCCACTTTATGAGGGTCACATAACGTAATTGCCTACTGACACATTTCTCAGAATGCATCCCTGTTGTTAAGCAACATGTGACTGTATAGATGAACAATGAGGGAAAATTTGCCCCACCAGATATTAAAATATATCAAGAAGCTATAATATTTATTTTTGGTGATAACACTTACAATCTACTCTTTTTATAATTTTCAACTATACAATACATTGTTTTTAACTATAGTTACCATGTTGTACCATGATGGATCTCTTGAATTTATTCTTCCTGTCTAACTGAAATTTTGTATGCTTTGATCAATATCTCCCCAGTATCACCCCCTAGTCCCTGGTAACCACCATTCTACTCTCTACTTCTATCAGTTTGACTTTCTTAGATTCCACATATAAGTGAGATCGTATGGTATTTATCTTGAAAAGGTATAATATTTAAGAGAATTAGAAATGAATGCATAATCAAAGAAAAAAGCTCACCATAATTCCCACTCTATGTGGTCAGTAACTTTTACCGGTTTCACTGTTGAATTCCCATCCCCTAGATTAGATATCAACCTCACACTATAAGCACACATGAATTCCAAAGTTTTAAAGAACTGAACATAAAAAACAAAACTATAAAAGATTAGGAGAAAATAAAGGATAACTTTCTAATAATCTAATAAACCTTGGCATAAGGACAGCCAGTCTAAGGAAGATGTAAAATACAGACACCATGATGAAAAGATTTATACATTTGACAACTTTAAAGTTAACTTGTATACACCCATACATACAAATAAAATGCCACATGTCACAGACTCGTTGAAAATATTTGTGACATGTACTACAGCCAAATCTTGATATCAAAAACACAAAGAAAGACTACATTAAATAAGAAAAAGACAATCTCATAGAAATTGGTAAAGTATATGAACAGAGAATTCATAAAAGAAATACAGATAGCCAAATAGGAAAATTTAAAAATTCCACCTTAGTAGAGACCAGAGAAAAGCAAATCAAAACTACCGTGAAATACCACTTTTCTCTCACAAGACCGACAAAAATTACATAATTAGTGAAATGTAATATTGGTAGAGGAGGAAAAACAGTTACTGTCATATGTTATTGGCACATATCCAATTCGGTTAAGCATTTTTGGAAGTTAATTTGGTAGAAATCAAATAAGATTGTTCACTTTCTTTAATCCAACAATTCCACCTTTATGTATCTATTTTAGAAAAAAAAAAAGAAAAATAAATGAGTTAGCCAGGTGGAAAAACTGAGAAGAGGGGCATTACAAGCAGATTGAAACAGCATGAACAGAAGCCCACATTGAGTACACAGAAAGTTAGAAATGCTCTGTGATGGCCAGGTGCGGTGGCTCATGCCTGTAATCCCAGCACTTTGGGAGGCCGAGGCAGGCAGATTGCCTGAGCTCAGGAGTTTGCAACCAGCCTGGGCAACACAGTGAAACCCCGTCTCTAATAAAATACAAAAAATTAGCCAGGCATGGCGGCATGTGCCTGTAGTCCCAGCTACTCGGGAGGCTGAGGCAGGAGAGTTGCTTGAACCCAGGAGGTGGAGGTTGCAATGAGCCGAGATTGCATCACTGCACTCCAGCCTGGGTAACAGAGTGAGACTCTGTCTCAAAATAAAAAAGAAAGAAAGAAATGCTCTGTGATACAGAATGTAAAACTCAAGGCAAGGGTGTTGCATTAGAGGAAAATGATATGAGGCAGGAAGCAGATATGAGGGCCTTGTATTCCATTCACAAGTACTATAGGCAATGAGGCATGTGTAATTATGAGGGTGAGAGAACTTTCACAAAGGAACCATGACAACAGGGACTTTACCAAGCTGGGTAGAAAAGGCATCAAACTAATGGTGTTCAGTTGGGCAACCCCTGACAATGTTTCCACTTCAGTGATGACACCGTTCTCCTCCTTCATTCAGTACTGAGATTGCTAATTCAAATTACTGACAGTATATTGGATTAAAACAAGGAAGGGCAGAGTGTAGTCAGAAAAACATAATGAGGCAAAACAGAATTCACAGATCCAAAAAGGAAGCCCATTTTTCACAAGGTCTAGCAATCTGATGATATGACATTAGTGTTTAAGTACCAAGGCTTCTTCTGTTTACATGGGAGATTCTTTCAAAAATAACAACAGTCCTTGTGGAGATGGCAGGGATTCCTGTGGTCCTAGACCCCTTGCTGACACTTCATCATCCTCAAGTTCAAGATCCCATCCTAACGGGATAAGCCAACATTTCCCAGGAGGGATGTGAGAAAGCATAAGTAACAAGAGCCATTGAGATCTCAGCTTGGGGCAGGCACATGAACTCGTGTTTAGGAGATCAGAGTAGGAGTATCTCAAGGAAAACTGAATAAGCACTTATTGAGAGCCTGTTATATAACATTTCATTTGAAGAAAGTGTTCTGCTAAAAAAAAATAAACAAAATAAGGCTATTACATAAACCACTGTGGTATAACATTCTGACAGTTGGAACAGCTATTTTTTTTTCCAGATTCTGACATGGTCTATGAGCTAACCAGGAAAGGCAGTATAGCTGCAGGTAAATGCACGGACTTGGGCCAAACAGATCTGGTTTCAGCTTCCAGTCATCCCAGCTGCATGATCTTGCCCAAGTCACTGTAAGACTCTATTTCATCATCTGTATAATGCAGGGGGTGGGAGGATAGATAATACTTAACTCACTAGGGTGACCGTGAGGATTATAAGATATATGTAGTGTCTGGCACACATTAGACACCCAATAAATGTTAACTGTCAATAAAAATATTTATGACACAATTAATACAAATTATTTTAGAGAAACTAGAACATAAGTATACGTAAATGTTAGAGGAAACAATATTCATAATCCCACAGCCTTTAAATATTTATTGTGTATCCATCTACACCACTTTTATGTAGATATGTATAAGCTTATAAATAGATGTGAATATATGATATATACACTTACATAATCTGACTTTTTCTTTAATAATTTACATACTGAACACTACTTCATATTAAGAAATGTGTGGGCTGACTCCTTTTTCGGACTCAGCCCGCCTGCACCCAGGTGAAATAAACAGCCTTGTTGCTCACACAAAGCCTGTTTGGTGGTCTCTTCACGCGGACGTGCGTGATATTTGGTGCCAAAGACCCAGGACAGGGGGACTCCTTTGGGAGACCAGTCCCCTGTCCTCACCCTCACTCCGTGAGGAGATCCACCTATGACCTTGGGTCCTCAGACCAACCAGCCCAAGGAACATCTCACCAATTTCAAATCGGGTAAGCGGTCTTTTCACTCTCTTCTCCAGCCTCTCTTGCTACCCTTCAATCTCCCCGTCCTTCCAATTCCAGTTATTTTCCTCTCTAGTAGAGACAAAGGAGACACATTTTATCTGTGGACCCAAAACTCCAGTGCCAGTCATGGACTCGGGAAGACAGTCTTCCCCTGGTGTTTAATCACTACAGGGATGCCTGCCTGATAATTCACCCACATTCCATTGGTGTCTGATCACCACGGGGACGCCTGCCTTGGTCATTCACCCACATTCCCTTGGTGGCAAGTCAATTGCGGGGACGCCTGCTTTGGCTGCTCACCACCCCCTTCTCTGTGTCTCTACCTTTCTCTTTAAACTTACCTCCTTCACTATGGGCAACCTTCCACCCTCCATTCCTCCTTCTTCTCCCTTAGCCTGTGTTCTCAGAAACTTAAAACCTCTTCAACTCACACCTGACCTAAAACCTAAGCGTCTTATTTTCTTCTGCAACACCGCTTGGCCCCAATACAAACTTGACAATGATTCCAAATAGCCAGAAAATGGCTCTTTCAATTTCTCCATCCTACAAGATCTAGATAATTCTTGTCATAAAATGGGCAAATGGTCTGAGGTGCCTGACATCCAGGCATTCTTTTACACATCGGTCCCTTCCTAATCTCTGCTCCCTATGAGACTCATCCCAAATATTTCTTCTTTCTCTCCTGTCTATTCCTTCAGTCTCCACCCCAAGCTCTGAGTCCTGTGAATTCTCCTTTTCTAGAGACCCATCTGACCTCTCCCCTCCTCCCCAGGCTGCTCCTTGCCAGGCCAAGCCAGGTTCCAACTTTTCAGCCTCCGCTCCCCCACCCTATAATGCTTCTATCACCTCCCCTCCTCACACTCGGTCTGGCTGACAGTTTTGTTCTGTGACTAGCCCTCCCCTACCTGCCCAACAATTTCCTCTTAAAGAGGTGGCTGAAGCTGAAGACATAGTCAAGGTTAATGCCCCTTTTTCTTTAGCCGACCTCTCCCAAATCAGTTAGCATTGAGGCTCTTTTTCATCAAATATACAAACCCAGCCCAGTTCATGGCCCATTTGGCAACAACTCTTAGACGTTTTACCACCCTAGACCCAGAGGGGCCAGAAAGCCATCTTATTCTCAATATGCATTTTATTACCCAACTGACTCCCGACATTAGAAAAAGCTCCAAAAATTAGATTCTGGCCCTCAACCCCACAACAGAACTTAATTGACCTCACCTTCAAGGTGTATAATAATAGAGAAGAGTTGCAATTACTTGCCTCCGCTTTGAGAGAAACCCCAGCCACATCTCCAGCACACAAGAACTTCAAAATGCCTAAACCGCAGGGGCCAGGCGTTCCTCCAGGACCGCCTCCCCCAGGATCTTGCTTCAAGCGCCGGAAATCTGGCCACTGGGCCAAGGAATGCCCACAGCCCAGGATTCCTCCTAAGCCATGTCCCATCTGTGCAGGACCCCACTGGAAATTGGACTGTCCAACTCACCTGGCAGCCACTCCCAGAGCCCCTGGAACTCTGGCCCAAGGCTCTCTGACTGATTCCTTCCCAGATCTTCTCGGCTTAGCGGCTGAAGACTGACGCTGCCCGATCACCTCGGAAGCCTACAGGACCATCACAGACGCTCTGGGTAACCCTTACAGTGGAGGGTAAGTCCGTCCCCTTCTTAATCAATATGGAGGCTATCTACTCCACATTACCTTCTTTTCAAGGGCGTGTTTCCCTTGCCTCCATAACTGTTGTGGGTATTGATGGCCAGGCTTCTAAACCTCTTAAAACTCCCCAACTCTGATGCCAGCTTGGACAACATTCTTTTATGCACTCTTTTAGTTATCCCCACCTGCCCAGCTCCCTTATTAGGTAGAGACATTTTAACTAAATTATCTGGTTCCCTGACTATTCCTAGGCTACAGCCACACCTCATTGCCACCCTTTTCCCCCAGCTCAAAGCCTCCTTCACATCCTCCCCTTGTATCTCCCCACCTTAATCCACAAGTATAGGACACCTCTACTCCCTCCTTGATGACCAATCACACACCCCTTACCATCCCATTAAAACCTAATCACCCTTACCCTGCCACACTTTAAAAGGATTAAAGCCCGTTATCACTCACCTGTTACAGCATGGCCTTTTAAAGCCTATAAACTCTCCTTAAAATTCCCCATTTTACCTGTCCAAAAACCAGACAAGTCTTACAAGTTAGTTCAGGATCTGCACCTTATCAACCAAATTGTTTTGCCTACCCACCCAGTGGTGCCAAACCCATATACTCTCCTATCCTCAATACCTTCCTCCACAACCCATTATTCTGTTCTAGATAAACCTAGCTGACCCCATAAATCCTAAATCCTTTCCCCACTCCCCTTTCCATTCCTTAAAAAACAGCCCTAAAAGCTGCTCCCACACTAGCTTTCCCTAACTCATCCCAACCCTTTTCATTACACACAGCCAAAGTACAGGGCTGTGCGGTCAGAATTCTTACACAAGAGCCAGGACCATGCCCTGTAGCCTTTCTGTCCAAACAACTTGACCTTACTGCTTTAGCCTAGCCCTCATGTCTGCATGCGGTGACTGCTGCTGTTTTAATACTTTTAGAGGCCCTCAAAATCACAAGCTATGCTCCACTTACTCTCTACAGTTCCCATGACTTTCAAAATCTATTTTCCTCCTCATACTTGATGCATATACTTTCTGCCCCCAATCTCCTTCAGCTATACTCACTCTTTGTTGAGTCTCCCACAATTACCATTGTTCCTGGCCCGGACTTCAATCTGGCCTCCCACATTATTCTGGATACCACACCTGACCCCCATGACTATCTCTCTGATCCACCTGACATTCACTCCATTTCCCCATATTTCCTTCTTTCCTGTTCCTCACCCTGGTCACACTTGGTTTAACGACGGCAGTTCCACCAGGCCTAATCGCCATTCACCAGCAAAGGCAGGCCATGCTATAGTATTTTCCACATCTATCATCGAGGCTACTGCTCTGCCCCCCTCCACTACCTCTCAGCAAGCCGAACTCATTGCCTTAATTCAGGCCCTCACTCTTGCAAAGGGACTACATGTCAGTATTTATACTGACTCTAAATATGCCTTCCATATCCTGCACCACCATGCTGTTATATGAACAGAAAGACATTTCCTCACTATACAAGAGTCCTACCATTAATGCCTCTTTAATAAAAACTCTTCTTAAAGCCACTTTACTTCCAAAGGAAGCTGGAGTCATTCACTGCAAGGGCCATCAAAAGGCATCAGATTCCATCGCTTAGGGCAACGCTTATGCTGATAAGGTAGCTAAAGAAGCAGCTAGCGTTCCAACTTCTGTCCCTCATGGCCAGTTTTTCTCCTTCTCATTGGTCACTCCTATTTACTCTCCAAATGAAGTTTCCACCTATCAATCCCTCTCCACTCAAGGCAGATGGTTCTTAGACCAAAAAAAAAAAAAAAAAAAAATCTCCCTCCAGCCTCACAAGCCCATTCTATTCTGTTGTCATTTCATAACCTCTTCCATGTAGGTTACAAGCCGTTTAGCCCACCTCTTAAAACCTCTCATTTCTTTTCCATCGTGAAAATCTATCCCCAATCTGCCACTCTTGACTCCCTCTTGGAGTGGATAGATAATCTTTGCTGACAGGACACACTCCAATACTTTCACCCTGAGGAAGTCCTATTCTTTACTTTTATACTCATTCTTATTCTCGTTCCCATTCTTATGCCACCCTCTACCTCTCCACAGCTATCTCCACAACACTATCAATCTCATTCACTCTCTCCTAGCCATTTCTAATCCTTCTTTAACAAACAATTGCTGGCTTTGCATTTCTCTTTCCTCCAAAATAGCCGAGGCCTCGATTTACTCACTGCTGAAAAAGGAGGACTTTGTATATTTTTAAATGAAGAGTGTTGTTTTTACCTAAATCAATCTGGCTTAGTATATGACAACATAAAAAAAAACTCAAGGATAGAGCCCAAAAACTCACCAACCAAAATAATTACGTTGAACCCCCTTGGACACTGTCTAATTGGATGTCCTGGGTACTCCCAATTCTTAGTCTTTTAATACCTATTTTTCTCCTTGTTTTATTCGGACCTTGTGTCTTCCGTTTAGTTTCTCAATTCATACAAAACTGCATCCAGGCCATCACCAATAATTCTATATGACAAATGCTCCTTCTAACAACCCCACAATATCACCCCTTACCCCAAAATCTTTCTTCAGTTTAATCTCTCCCACCGTAGGTTCCCATGCTGCCCCTAATCCCACTCGAAGCAGCCCTGAGAAACATCGCCCATTATCTCTCCATACCACCCCCCAAAAGTTTCGCTGCCCCAACACTTCACCACTATTTTGTTTTGTTTTTCTTATTAATATAAGAAGACAGGAATGTCAGGCCTCTGAGCCCAAGCTAAGCCATCATATTCCCTGTGACCTGCACATATACATCTAGGTGGCCTGAAGCAACTGAAGATCAACAAAAGAAGTGAAAATAGCCTTAACTGATTACATTCCACCATTGTGATTTGTTCCTGCCCCACCCTAACTGATACAACGTAGTCTCCCCCGCCCTTAAGAAGGTACTTGGTAATATTCTCCCCCACCCTTAAGAATGTACTTTGTACGCCTATCCTAAACCTGTAAGAAGTAATGATAATCCTATCACCCTTTGCTAACTCCTTTTTCGGACTCAGCCCACCTGCACCCAGGTGAAATAAACAGCCTTGCTGCTCACACACACACACACACACACACACACACACAAAGAAATGTGTATACATTACTGTTCCTACAGGTGTGAAGGATAATTTAATAAATTCTACAGTTGAACTTCTATATTGTTTCCAACACTTTACCACCATAATCAGCACCTGAAATAAACATATTTGTACACATTTTAATTAATATTTTATTATCAATAAAATACATTCTTTACAATGAGAAAGACTAAGAAATATTTCTTACTAGCTCTTTTGCTCATTCTAGGTAAATTTTGCAGGCCTTTAATTCCAGTCTATTTTTACATGTCCATTAAAAATAATCTGCTCTCTCATTGTCTTATTTTGTGCCTCCCTGCTACATAGGCTCCCAGAAAAGCTGATTTCACTCCTATTCCTAACCTACTCCTTTTTCAGTCTATTTCTCACTCCCTTACTCCTTGTTACCCTTGCTTGGTCAGTTTCTGGTTATTGCATCTATCAGAGGCCCCCCTGAGGAAGTGAAAAAGGTCGAATCAGACCTCAAAGGCAAATTCTTTCCAAATATTGCCATCTGGGGAAAAGTTGTTCTACGTAAGATCTAAGATTAACACAATAAACACTTCTTTATGCCATAGATGATGAGCATGAGGATGATAATAAAAGAAGCAAGCATTTATTGCACATTTGCTATGTGCCAAATGCTGGTGTGAAACACTTTATGTGCCTCATCCTGTTTAATCCATACAACAACCCTGTGAGGTAGATACCAATTCAACAGACTAGGAAACTGAAGTGTCTAGAGGGTTAAGGAACTTGCCTAAATTCAATTAAGGCAGAGCCAGTATTAGAAAATAAATACTTATTTGATGTAAAAGCCTATTATCTTAAACTTTACTTCACACAGTCTTCCTGGTTTTGTCTACAAGTCATGGTGAACAGCTTTCAGGAAAATTGTCTTTGTAGAGAGAGCTTTAGTGCAGTGGTTTTCTAATTATTTTCCCCCTTTTTGTCATCAGAACTATTTTTATTTAATGAAAATCTTATTCTTAACTGCTGAATCCATGACCATTATTTATGTTCATTGGCTCAAATAGCACCATTTGGGCACTAAGTGTAGAGAAGGCACATACATGAGTCACACATACCTCTCTCTCAAGGAGCTGCACTCCAGTGGGAAATACCAAAGTGAAAAGGAAAATCACTCTAATAATGTAGGGTAGGGGTTATGTTAAATATAAGTATAGGATGCTAAAGGAATAAGGGTGGAACAGGGGCAAAGCCTGATTCACTGTGGCAGTGTCATTCAAACTGAGTCTTACACAGCAGTAGGTGTGAGTCAAGCAGAAAATTGGAAGGCATGTCTTTTCACTATCTCAGTTTGCTCCAATCATATTGTTGTTTCTTAAAGCAACATGATGTCTCACACCTCCAGGACTCTTCTTACCAGTGTGCTGGTCTCTTTGCTTGGAATGCCCTTATTTTCTCTTGGAGGCCTTCCTCAATGCCTCCAAGCTGCATTAAAGGTCCCTCCTCTGAGCTTTCTCTTTCCTTCTAGCACAATGCTGCTCACTCTCTGGTCTAATGTCTGCCTTTCTTGTAAAACCACAGAAATTTCAATGGCAGAAATGTCAAAGTCCATGTCCTATCCAATCTATGTACTCCCAGTATCTGGCATGGCATGTAGAAGGTGTTGAATAAATGTTTGTGGGGTTTGCTCATTCATTAAACAAGTATTTACTGAGTCCTTTACTGTATGTCAGATTTTGTTCCAGATGCTGTGCATACAGTGGTGAACAAGGTCCCTGCCCTCATGTGGACCTACAATTCTAGTGAGAGCCAACAGAAAATTATCAAATAAATAAAATAATAATTTCAAGTAATGATAAGTTTTATAAAGAAATTAAAACAGGATACTATGTTAGAGCATAACAGGGGGTGAGATAGTAGTAGTTATGATGAGGTGTTCATGGAGAAGATATCTGATGTGGTAATGTGAACAGGGACTTGAATAATGAGAATGAACAAGTCATGGGAAGAACATTACAAGTAGGAACAGTTAGAACAAAGATCCTAAAGTAAGAATAAGCTTGATATGTTAAAATTAGCAAGGCCAGTTATGGAAGGAGCAGAATGAATTGAGAAGAAAATGGTAAGAGATGATGTTGAAGAAGTAGATAGAAGCCAGATCACATAAAATCTTTTTTTTTAAATTTTATAATTATTATACTTTAAGTTTTAGGGTACATGTGCACAATGTGCAGGTTAGTTACATATGTATACATGTGCCATGCTGGTGTGCTGCACCCATTAACTCGTCATTTAGCATTAGGTATATCTCCTAATGCTTCCCTCCCCCCTCCCCCCACCCCACAACAGTCCCCAGAGTGTGATGTTCCCCCTCCTGTGTCCATGTGTTCTCATTGTTCAATTCCCACCTATGAGTGAGAATATGCGGTGTTTGGTTTTTTGTTCTTGCTATAGTTTACTGAGAATGATGATTTCCAATTTCATCCATGTCCCTACAAAGGACATGAACTCATCATTTTTTATGGCTGCATAGTATTCCATGGTGTATATGTGCCACATTTTCTTAATCCAGTCTATCATTGTTGGACATTTGGGTTGGTTCCAAGTCTTTGCTATTGTGAATAGTGCCACAATCAACATACGTGTGCATGTGTCTTTATAGCAGCAAGATTTACAGTTCTTTGGGTATATACCCAGTAATGGGATGGCTGGGTCAAATGGTATTTCTAGTTCTAGATCCCTGAGGAATCGCCACATTGACTTCCACAAGGGTTGAACTAGTTTCCAGTCCCACCAACAGTGTAAAAGTGTTCCTATTTCTCCACATCCTCTCCAGCACCTGTTGTTTCCTGACTTTTTAATGATCGCCATTCTAACTGGTGTGAGATGCTATCTCATTGTGGTTTTGATTTGCATTTCTCTGATGGCCAGTGATGGTGAGCATTTTTTCATGTGTTTTTTGGCTGCATAAATGTCTTCTTTTGAGAAGTGTCTGTTTATATCCTTTGCCCACTTTTTGATGGGGTTTTTTTTTCTTGTAAATTTGTTTGAGTTCATTGTAGATTCTGGATATTAGCCCTTTGTCAGATGAGTAGGTTGTGAAAATTTTCTCCCATTTGTAGGTTGCCTGTTCACTCTGATGGTAGTTTCTTTTGCTGTGCAGAAACTCTTTAATTAGATCCCATTTGTCAATTATGGCTTTTGTTGCCATTGCTTTTGGTGTTTCAGACATGAAGTCCTTTCCCATGCCTATCTACAACTATCTGATCTTTGACAAACCTGAGAAAAACAAGCAATGGGGAAAGGATTCCCTATTTAATAAATGGTGCTGGGAAAACTGGCTAGCCATATGTAGAAAGCTGAAACTGGATCTCTTCCTTACACCTTATACAAAAATTAATTCAAGATGGATTAAAGACTTAAACGTTAGACCTAAAACCATAAAAACCCTAGAAGAAAACCTAGGCATTACCATTCAGGACACATAAGATCTTGTAGGCCATGGTCAGGAGACTGCTTGGTGTAAGGGAAAAACATCTGTGGATTTGAGAAGTAGTATCAAGACGTGGTTAAGTACACAGGCTCCAGTATAAATTTCTTAGATTCAAATTCCATCTCTGCCATTTTATTGGCTACCAAATAAAAGAGGCTTAGTCTCTGTGATGGTTAATATTAGGTGTCAACTTGATTGGATTGAGGGATGCCTAGATGGTTGGTAAGGCATTGTTTCTGGGTGTGTCTGTGAGGGTGTTGCCAGAGATCAACATTTAAGTCGTGGGACTGGGAGAGGAAGACCCTCAATGTAAGTGGGCACCACGCAATCAGCTGCCGGCATGGCTAGAACAAAGCAGGTGGAAGAAGGTGGGATAAGCTTGCTTGGTGCGTTTTCTGGCTTCCCGTGCTGGACGCTTGCTTCTGTTCCTCCTGCCTTTGGACATTAGACTCCAGGTTCTTCAGCCTTTGTACTGTGGGAATTGCACCAATGGCTTGCAGGTGTCTCTCAGACCTTCGGCTGCAGACTGAAGGCTACAATGTTGGCTTCCCTGGCTTTGAGGCTTTTTTACTCAGACTGAGCCACTACTGGCTTCTTTCTTCCCCCACTTGCAGGTGGCCTATTGTGGACTTTACCTTGTAATCATGTGAACCAATTCTCCCTAATAACCTCCCTTTCATATACATATACATCCTATTTGGCTCTGTCACTCTGGAACCCTGAATATAGCCTCTTCGTATCTCATATAGAAATAGAGGATAATAGTAGCATCAACAGCAAAGGTTTCCTGGGGCAGATTAGATGACACAGTCCAGATAAAGTGCTTAAGCAAATGCCTGGCAGAGTGAATGCTCAATAAGTATTAACTACTATTTTAAGCAGAGAAGTGAACGCAGCCACCAGACCACTGAATGCACTGAGAACCAGACTAAGGTTTTGGATGCCTCTCCCACATTCCATTTCCTCCTGGTAGAAAGAACACAGAATGCACACAAGCAGAGTATATCAACAGAGAGAAGAATGACTCAGAATAAATGGTCATCTCTCAGAGAGCATGACTGTGACCTCAGCCGATTAGTAGAAGCTGCTCTTCCTCAATAAGAACGCTGATCTCTGTCAACTTAACAATGAGTTTTGCCTCCTGATACACTCACTGAAAGCAAAGCAAAGGCCCATCCTAGTGCAGCAGATACCTAGGGGGAATGATGAAGGGATCATTGGTCACTTCCAACAGATTTCTCCTCTACACAGTGGCCTTCCTGCTGGCCTTTCATTCTGGTTCAGCATGTCAATGTATCTACACTGACACCAGTGCCTGATGTGTCATAGGTATTAAATAATCACTTACTAAATTAATAATTCATATTTCCTCTATGTGACGGTGTATTGCTAACATCCTGTGTAGAAGAGCATGGTTGGGAGGGAGACCACTAGGGAAGACAACTGCTATGGTAATATTAGTAACCATTTCGTAAGTATTATGCCCACTAAATCTCCAACTTTTCCCCAGATGGTTCTCTCCCACTCTGAACAATGGCTATTTAAACCTTTTCTACCCACCTTAAACCTCAATCTCACCTTTAGGTAGAAACTCAATTCCTTGCAATAAAACTTTCAAATATATCTGCAGACTAAGGATTCCAATCCCAGGATTACACATTTATGTTGGCTTACTGCATACTGTTTTCTTGCCTTTTTGCTCCTGATTAAGGTCTGAGTGGAGCCAGACCCTCTCAGTTCAAATCCTGGTTCTACCACTTACTTGCTGTTGCAAAGTAAAGGCGATTTACTTGTTTTCTGCCTTAATTTTCCCATCTGTGAAATGGAATTTAACACAACTCACATAGCTACATATGCAAAAAAATGACATAATGACATGCAAATTATTTAGCATAGGACCTGGCAGAGAGAAAACAGTCAAACACATAGCTGCTAATAAAGAGAAAAAAATAGAGCAATTAGAAGTTCACTTGTGTGAAGAGGTCAACAACTAGGACATAAGAGAGGGACAGGAAAATAGTTCTTGAAAATCTGCTTCAGAATACTACAGGTCTCAGTCTCATTCTCCTTCTTCATACAGCTGAATCAGGTGTGGGGCCACATGTACCACAGCACAACACCAGAGATGCAGCACAGTATAAACTCACTTCACATTGAGCCAGACACAAAAAGCCACTTATTGTAGGGTTTCATTTCGCATTGGTTGGCCTTAGGCATTAGACAGAGAAGCTAACCATTAACTGGATCGTGAGGAGGTGAGAAGTGCAAAAGAGACCAGAGCTAATATGCTAAGATCCATATAAGAAACTACGATGACTATTGCTGATATGAAACTATCCATAAGGTGCAGGGAAGTGTGTATGGTGTGATATTATTTGTGCAAAAATAAAAACTAAAGTTGAAAAAGGACACTTATACATAATTAAATGTAAATGTATGAAGTGTCTCTGGAAGGGTACATAAGAAACCATTAATAGGAGTTGCCTCCTGGAAGAAGAAATGGGTTGCTAGGAACAGATGTGTGAGAGCAATTTAGTTTTATTATATTTTCGTTCTTATGGCATGGGCATACAGGACATTTTTGGCAAAGAAGTTTTAATTTAAAATTAAATTAAACTAAAAAATCCTATTTCTTTTGGGAGAATCCAGGGAAATATAAGGATATATTCAATGCCAGTTACTGTACAAAGCCCATGATTGAGGATAGGTAGTAGGTGATGTGTTAGAAAAGTAAGAAATAAAAGACACTCCTCTGCTTGAGGGAAGGATTCTGTCTTAAGAACTTGGAAAGGTAATGGCCCAGATGATGACCTTCTTTGATGCTTCTCTTCAGAACAAAAGGCAGTACTATGAGAAAACCCTAGTTCAAGGGCTCAAGAATTATGTTCGGGAGTACCTGAAGCACCTGGAGACGGAAACTGCAGTGGACTAATGAGGCCAGGATCTTGACATTGAGTGACTGCCTCCAGGAATGGGGTTGGGATGAGAAGTGACAAAAAGGCATTTCTGTAAAATATGGTCTTTACAAATTTTTGCTCACATACCTACCCTAAAACCAGAGCTCTCTACTTTAGCTATTAGATTTACCTGGGGAGCTATAAAAACTTCTGGTGCTCAGGCTGTACCACATACCAATTCCGTCAGAAACTCTGGAAGTGGGACCCAGTCATTCATGTTTCGAAGCTCCCCAGGAAACTCCAATGTGAAGCCAAGGAGGAGAACCATTACAAAAAAAGTTTGCAAACTATATAGGCCCTCATATATTTTTAGGTCGACATCTAAAAATGTTTAAGATAATTTTAAATACTTGCAAAAGATATAATTTTGGGTGTGCTATAAATGTTGACATTTTAAAATTGTTACTTCATGCTTTTGACTTTCACTAAGGGAACTAAATACCACAGAATTTTTTTTTCCCGTAAGTTATTGGGGTACAAGTGGTATTTGGTTACATGAGTAAGTTCTTCAGTGGTAACTTGTGAGATTTTGGTGCACCCATCACCCGAGCAGTATACGCTGCACCATATTTGTAGTCTTTTATCCCTCACCCCACTATCACTCTTCCTTCCAAGTCCCCAAAGTCCATTGTATCATTCTTATGCCTTTGTGTCCTCATAGCTTAGCTCCCACATTTCAATGAGAACACATGTTTGGTTTTCCATTCCTGAGTTACTTCACTTAGAATAATAGTCTCCAATCTCATCCAGGTCACTGCAAATGCTGTTAATTCATTCCTTTTTATGGCTGAGTAGTATTCCATCATATATATGATACATATGATATATATGATACATATGATATATATGATACATATGATACATATGATATATATGATACATATGATACATGATACATATGATACATGATGCATATGATATATGATGCATACGATACATATATGATACATATATGACATATGTATCATATATAATGATATATATCATACATATATCATATGATATATATGGATATATATCTACATATATCATATGATATATATGGATATATATCTACATATATCATATGATATATATGGATATATATCTACATATATCATATGATATATATGGATATATATCTACATATATCATATGATATATATGGATATATATCTACATATATCATATGATATATATGGATATATATCTACATATATCATATGATATATATGGATATATATCTACATATATCATATGATATATATGGATATATATCTACATATATCTACATATATATCATATCTACATATGTGTATATATATGTACACATATATGTGTATATACACATATATATATATATATATATATCACGGTTTCTTTATCCACTTGTTGATTGATGGGCATTTGGGTTGGTTCCATGATCTTGCAATTGTGAATTGTGTGGCTATAAACATGTGTGTGCAATATCTTTTTCAAATAATGACTTCTTTTCCTCTGGGTAGATACCCAGTAGTGGGATTGCTGGATCAAATGGTAGTTCTACTTTTAGTTCTTTAGGGAATCTCCACACTATTTTCCATAGTGGCTGTACTAGTTTACGTTCCCACCAGCAGTGTATAAGTGTTTCCTGATTACCACATCCATGCCAACATCTAGTGTTTTTTGGGTTTTTGATTATGGCCATTCTTGCAGGAGCAAGGTGGTATCACACTGTGGTTTTGATTTGCATTTCCCTGATCATTAGTGATGTTGAGCATTTTTCCATATGTTTGTTGGCCATTTCTATATCTTCTTTTGAGAATTGTCTATTCATGTTCTTAGCCCACTTTTTGATGGGATTGTTTGGTTTTTTCTTACTGACTTGAGTTCATTGTAGATTCTGGATATGAGTCCTTTGTCAGATGTATAGATTGTGAAGATTTTCTCCCACTCTGTGAGTTGTCTGTTTACTTTGCTGACTGTTCCTTTTGCCATGCAAATGCTTTATAGTTTAATTAGATCCCAGCTATTTATCTTTGTTTTCATTGCATTTGCGTTTGGGTTCTTGGTCATTAAATCCTTGCCTAGGCCAATGTCTTGAAGGGTTTTTCCAATGTTATCTTCTAGAATTTTTATAGTTTCCTGTCTTAGGTTCGACTACTTAATCCATCTTGAGTTGGCTTTTGCATAAGGTGAGAGATGAGCATCCAGTTTCATCCTCCTACGTGTTGCTAGCCAATTATCCCAGCACCATTTGTTGAAAAGGGTGTCCTTTCCCCACTTTACATTTTTGTTTGCTTTGTCAAAGATCAGTTGGCTGTAAGTATTTGGGTTTATTTCTGGATTCTCTATTCTGTTCCATTGGTCTATGTGCCTATTTTTATACCAGTACCACGCTGTTTTGGTGACTATGGCCTCATAGTATAGTTTGAAATCAGGTAGTGTGATGCCTCCAGATTTGTTCTTTTTGCTTAGTCTTGTTTTGGCTATGTGGGCTCTTTTTTGGTTCCATATGAATTTTAGAAATTTTTTTTTCTAATTTTGTGAGGAATGATGGTGGTATTTTGATGGAGATTGCATTGAATTTGTAGATTGCTTTTGGCAGCATGGTCATTTTCACAATATTGATTCTACTGATCCATGAGTATGGGATGTGTTTCCATTTGTTTGTGCCATCTATGATTTCTTTCAGAAGAGACATTTTAAGTAACACTATGGCTTATGGAGGTATCATTGAATAGGCAGGTTCATGACCGTCTTATGTGTTGGTGTGGATATTATTTGCCTGGAAAAAGCAGTTTAATACTAAATTTAAAGAGCTTTAAAAATGTTTCTATCCTTTGATCCAGCCATTTCACTTCAAGAAATCTGCACTAAGAAGGTACAGTTAGATAAACAAAGATTTTTGCTCAAGGAATGTTCATTTCTGTGTATTAAATTTCTGTGGTGGAACTGGAGGCCATCACCCTTTGCAAACTAATGCAGGAACAGAAAACCAAATACCACATGTTCTCACTCATAAGTGGGAGCTAAATGATGACAACACATGGACACAAAGAGGGGAACAACAGACACTGGGGCCTACTTGAAGATGGAGGGTTGGGGGAGGGAGAGGATCAGAAAACGTAACTATTGAGTACTAGGCTTAGTACCTGGTTGATGAAATAATCTGTACAACCAACCCCTGTGACACAAGTTTACTCATATAACAAACCCATCCATGTACCCCTGAACCTAAAATAAAAGTAAAAAAAAAAATTAAGCTGCTTTTATGTCCAAATTGTCCATTTACCATGCCCCTCCTTAAGTGGGAATGACCCCACAGCACTAAAAACTCCTTCTCTTGAGAAGCTGAACTGAGTAATACTAAAAGCCAATTAGAGTTAGTTCACTGCAGTCTACCAGGAAAATGCCTTATTTCTTTTAGCAGTAGACAATCCCTGCTAAAGAGGCCCCAGGCTATAGACATGAGGGCAAGAGCCAGGAATGTGAGAGCCCTGTGCTACCAGTATACTCTGAGGGCTGGAGCTCCAAAGCACTGTGGGATGAAAATAAATAGCTTGCATATTTTACTCTAGGCACTGGAGGTACTTTTCTTGTGTTAACTCTTTTAATCTTCACATTACCCTAGGAAGTAGGTACTGTTACTGTCCCCATTTTAAGATAATGAGGCTAAAACCAAGAGATGGGAAGTGACTTGCCAACATCACACATCTATTCAGCCTTAGGCAATCCATCCCCAGAGTCCTTGTTCTTAACCATTTTCCTGCCTGCGTTTTTATGCCAAATAGCATAAGAGAAATAACACAGGTTTTGGATTTGGAAGGATATGGTTTGGAATTTCACTTTCTGGCTCTGTGACCTGGGGAAAGTTACTTTGCCTCTCTGAGCTTCTATTTCCTCATCTTTAAAATGGGAGATATTTAATATCCCTATATCATAGGATTGTTGTGAAGATAAAATGAAATCACATAATATTTGCTTATGAAATAAATGTTAGTTCTCCTTCCCATCACTGCTCCTTCTTAAATTACCCAGCACAGCCCCATTGAAGCAACCTATCAAGGTTTCCAGACAGGAGCCTTGTATTGTTTGCCCAGGGGAGTGAGGCTGAGGCCAGATCACCATTCTCCACACATAACGCATAATCCATAAAATTTGTGTCTGGAATGAGAAGTGTTACGTGGCAATCACACTGACTCTTGACTGATCACCACCCTCTCAGCCCACACTCCAGTTGCTTTTCTAGATCTTCCTGTTTGGCAGTGAGAAGCTGGTCCCTTGTTCCAAGACAGTGGGAATGGAATAGAGGAAGTCACTTCCTTGGTCAATTAGATGACAGCCTTTTAAAACACTTTGCCTCAGGATATTACTAAACATACTATAGTAATTCTATAATTACTATGCAATTATTACAAACATGTGTGTATGTGTGTGTTTGTGTGCATTTGCTAAAGGGATTATAGACCTCTCTTACATGCAGATACACACATACACACCAAATATTGATCCCTATATACCTTGCCAGACACACTGAAAAGTATCTAAAAGAGAGTGGAACATGGTCATTAGGGATCCAGAAAAAAATATTCACATATTATAGAAAAGTGTTTTACTGAACTGCAGAGAGATCTAAAGATTTAGGCAGAATCCCACAGCATATAAGTAGCAATGTTGGTATTTGAAACCATGATGCCTTGGCCCTCCATATGGCACATTGAGCTTGGGAACTGACACAGAAATGCATTTTCTTAGGTTCTCAGGTGATACTTACCTGTCCCTTGAATGGCTGCAAGGTTTCTCCATTCATGCTGAAAGGACTTAAAGGACAATCTTCAGTGGAAGCTGTGAAAGGATATATATCTTGCACCCCCCAAATCACTAAGGAAAATTCAAGCTGGAAACTGCTTAGGGCAAACCTGCCTCCCATTCTATCCAAAGTCACTCCTCTGCTCACTGAGATAGATGCATATCTGATTGCCTTCTTTGGAAAGGCTAATCAGAAACTCAAAAGAATGCAACCATTTGTGTCTCACCTGTGATCTGGAAGCACCCTCCCAGCTTCCAGTCTTTCTACCGTTGCTTCAAGATGTCCCGCCTTTCCAGACCAAATTAATGTACTTCTTACATATATTGATTAATGTCTCATGTCTCTCTAAAATGTAGAAAACCAAGCTGTGTCCCAACCACCTTGGGCACATGCCTCAGGACTACCTGAGGCTGTGTCATGGGTGCATCCTCAACCTTGGCAAAATAAACTTTCTAAATTAATTGACACCTGTCTCAGATTTTCTGGGTTCACAAAGCACAAAGCACTTGGTCAGAATGTCCAGGACTGCACAATCTCCAAGAGCTGGGACCATAAGCACCTCCCTCTGTCTGAGCAAACCCAAAGGGATAGCACAGAACCAAAAGAAGGCCCAGATCAGAACAGGTGACTACTTATCTGTAAGATCAGTTGGAAGCCTTGAAATGCAAAGTAATGTTAACATAGAGAGATCCTGGTGCTTTTTTTTAAAAAAGAGTAAGCCATGATCTACTCCAAAAGACATAAAGAGTCAGTCTATCACAACACATTTCCTGGCCCCAGCCCTTTCCTGACTGCTGTCCATTGCAACAGCTGTTTCTAACAGGTACTCAGTCCATTCTCTGCCTTCCGCCTGTACTTCGAAAGTGCCTCCAGTTTTTCTAGTCACTTTGCTGAGGTTATCCATGAGTAAACCATATAATCCTTGCTTTTAGTAACCCTCCAATCCTCACACAGTCAAATGTTTATGCATTCCTAGGGCCCTGCCTCGACAACTTCCATGTGTCATTTTTTGTTCTGATTTTGGACATAATTTTTTGAAGCTGACTATCTGACAGAACACAAAAACCAGGACAGAACCAAAACTGAGAATGACAAACTGCATAAGAACAAGATTAGGCAACAAATGGCTCTTCTAAATGAATAGGTTCAGTTTCTACCTACAGGTTCAGCATGCCCCATGCTTCACAAAGTAGTCTGAGAATATGTCTGGTATTACTTATTCTCTGGCCAGGTTTGCCTAATTTCACTTTTTTAAGTCATGGAGGCATATATGTTTGGACAAAGAATAAGGGTAAATCAGACTACACTTGAGTGCATAATAGAACACACAGAAGAAAATACAGACCACTAATTGTGCGTTGAACACTTACTGAAAGCCTACTACTTGCTAGGCACTATGTTAGTACTAAAGATACAACAGTAAGCAAAACAGGCATAATTCCTGTACTTATCAAGCATACAGTTAAATGTAAGAGATAGATTTTAATCAAATAATCACACTAATGAATATATAATTATGTCACAGGTATGAATCTTATTCCACAAAATTAGATATGTAAGAAATGTCATATATCTTTTATTTTCTTTAAATCAAAATAAATATGACTTTGAGCATCCCATCCCATGCCCCATCCTATCAGAATGGTAGGAACATCAACACAAATAATTAGTAATGCACCGCATCTACATTCCCATGCTCTCTTTACTTCTTCAGCATTGCCTAAAGGCATAATACACCTTTAATTAATTAATTCAGCCTCCTAATGCACATTAACAAAGCCCCTGCTAGACTCTGTTCCATAATGGTAAACCTGTATGATCACTTGATATTAACATTTTAGGGAATGCTCATGGATTTGTTTCCAGACTTAGAAAATTTGAGGTGTGCTGAAGATAATCCTAGTGGAGATATCATGTAAGCATTTGCACATATTACATAGGCAGTTGTAGAGATCATATAGGCATTTGGAAGGCTTAGCATATAATGGAATTTGAAGCATATAAACTTGTCTAGGTAAATAGTATAGCTGAGAGAGGCCTTTACTTTTTTGCAAAGGATGCTGACAAGAGCAGCCAAAGAGGTGGGGACAACTATGCTATTAAGAAAGATAAGGGAACAGAGTGTTCCAAAAACAAGTGAGTGCTCAGTTGGCCGAATAGGAACAGCTCTGGTCTGCAGCTCCCAGCGTGATCAATGCAGAAGACGGGTGATTTCTGCATTTCCAACTGAGGTACCTGGTTCATCTCATTGGGACCGGTAGGACAGTGGGTGCAGCCCACGAAGGGCAAGCCAAAGCAGAGAGGGGCATCGTTTCATCCGGGAAGCGCAAGGGGTCAGGGGATTTCCCTTTCCTAGACAAGGGAAGATGTCACAGACTGTACTGGGACAATCAGGACACTCAGGACACTCCTGCCTTAATACTGTGCTTTTCCAATGGTCTTAACAAATGGCACACCAGGAGATTATTTCCTGTGCCTGGTTTACTGGCTCCCACACCCACGGAGCCTTGCTCACTGCTAGTGCAGCAGTCCAAGATCAAACTGCGAGGTGGCAGCCTGGGTGGGGGAAGGGCGTCTGACATTGCTGAAGCTTGAGTAGGTAAACAAAGTGGCTAGGAAGCTCGAACTGGGTGGAGCCCACCGCAGCTCAGTGAGGCCTGCCTGCCTCTGTAGACTCCACCTCTGGGGGCACAGCATAGCTGAATAAAAGGCAGGAGAAACTTCTGCAGACTTAAATGTCCCGGCATGACAGCTCTGAAGAGAGCAGTGGTTCTCCCAGCACGGTGTTTGAGCTCTGAGAACGGACAGACTGCCTCCTCAAGTGGGTTCCTGACCCTCATGTAGCCTAACTGGGAGACACCTCCAAGTAGGGGCTGACAGACACCTCATACAACCGGGTGCCACTCTGAGACAAAGCTTCCAGAGGAAGGATCAGGCAGCAATATTTGCTGTTCTGCAGCCTCTGCTGGTGATACTCAGGCAAACAAGGTCTGGAGTGGACCTCCAGAAAACTCCAACAGACCTGAAGCTGAGGGACGTGACTGTTGGAAGGAAAACTAACAAACATGAAGGAATAGCATCAGCATCAACAAAAAAGAAATCCACATCAAAACCCCATCTGTAGGTCACCATCATCAAAGACCAAAGGTAGATAAAACCACAAAGATGTGGAAAAACCGGAGCAGAAAAGCTGAAAATTCTAAAAATCAGAGTGCGTCTTCTCCTCCAAAGAATCACAGCTCCTCGGCAGCAATGGAACAAAGCTGGACAGAGAATGACTTTGACGAGTTGACACAAGTAGGCTTCAGAAGGTCGGTAATAACAAACTTCTCTGAGCTAAAGGAGGATGTTCAAACCCATCGCAAGGAAGCTAAAAACCTTGAAAAAAAGTTGGACGAATGGCTAACTGAATAAACAGTGTACAGAAGACCTTACATGACCTGATGGAGCTGAAAACCATAGCACGAGAATTACATGACGCATGCACAAGCTTCAGTAGCTGATTCAATTAAGTGGAAGAAAGGGTATCAGTGATTGCAGATCAAATTAATGAAATGAAGTGCGAAGAGAAGTTTAGAGAAAAAAGAGTAAAAAGAAACAGACAAAGCCTCCAAGAAATATGGGAAGATGTCAAAAGACCAAATCTACGTCTGATTGGTGTACCTGAAAGTGACGGGGAGAATGGAACCAAGCTGGAAAACACTCTTCAGGATATTATCCAGGAGAACTTGCCCAACCTAGCAAGGCAGGCCAACATTCAAATTCAGGAAATACAGAGAATACCACAAAGATACTCCTCGAGAAGAGCAACCCCAAGACATGTAATTCTCAGATTCACCAAAGTTGAAATGAAGGAAAAAATGTTAAGGGCAGCCAGAGAGAAAGGCTGGGTTACCCACAAAGGGAAGCCCATCAGACTAACAGTGGATCTCTCGGCAGAAACTCTACAAGCCAGAAAAGAGTGGGGGCCAATATTCAACACTCTTAAAGGAAAGAATTTTCAACCCAGAATTTCATATCCAGCCAAACTAAGCTTCATAAGTAAAGGAGAAATAAAATCCTTTACAGACAACCAAATGCTGAGAGATTTTGTCACCACCAGGCCTGCCTTACAAGAGCTCCTGAAGGAAGCACTAAACACGGAAAGGGACAAGCGGTACCAGCCACTGCAAAAACTTGCCAAACTGTAAAGACCATCAAGGCTAGGAAGAAACTGCATCAACTAACGGGCAAAATAACCAGCTAACATCATAATGACAGGATCAAATTCACACATAACAATATGAACCTTAAATGTAAATGGGCTAAATGCCCCAATTGAAAGACACAGACTGGCAAATTGGATAAAGAGTGAAGACCCATCAGTGTGCTCTATTCAGGAGACCCATCTCATATGCAGAGACACACATAGGCTCAAAATAAAGGGATGGAGGAAGATCTACCAAGAAAACGGAAAGCGAAAAAAAAGCAGGGGTTGCAATCCTAGTCTCTGATAAAACAGACTTTAAACCAACAAAGATCAAAAGAGACAAAAAAGGCCATTACATAATGGTAAAGGGACCAATTCAACAAGAAGAGCTATCATAAATATATATGCACCCAATACAGGAGCACCCAGATTCATAAAGGAAGTCCTTGGATACCTCCAAAGAGACTTAGACTCCCACACAATAATAATGGGAGACTTTAACACCCCACTGTCAACATTAGACAGATCAATGAGACAGAAGGTTAAGAAGGATATCCAGGACTTGAACTCAGCTCTGCACCAAGCAGACCTAGTAGACATCTACAGAAGTCTCCATCTCAAATCAACAGAATATATACATTCTTCTCAGCACCACATCGCACTTATTACAAAACTGACCACATAGTTGGAAGTAAAGCACTCCTCAGCAAATGTAAAAGAACAGAAATCACAACCAACTGTCTCTCAGACCACAGTGCAATCAAATTAGAACTCAGGATTAAGAAACTCACTCAAAACTGCACACAACTACATGGAAACTGAACAATCTGCTCCTGAATGACTACTGGGTAAATAACGAAATGAAGGCTGAAATAAAGACATTCTTTGAAACCAATGAGAACAAAGACACAATGTACCAGAATCTTGGGGACACATTTAAAGCAGTGTGTAGAGGGAAATTTATAGCACTTAATGCCCACAAGAGAAAGCAGGAAAGATCTAAAATTGACACCCTAACATCACAATTAAAAGAACTAGAGAAGTAAGAGCAAACAAATTCAAAAGCTAGAAGAAGGCAAGAAATAACTAAGAGCAGAACTGAAGGAGAAAGAGACACAAAAAACCCTTCAAACAATCAATGAATCCAGGAGCTGGTTTTTTGAAAACATCAAGAAAACAGACTACCAGCAAGACTAATAAAGAAGAAAAGAGAGAAGAATCAAATAGATGCAATAAAAAATGATAAAGGGGATATCACCAATGATCCCACAGAAATACAAACTACCATCAGAGAATACTACAAACACCTCTATGCAAATAAACTAGAAAATCTAGAAGAAATAGATAAATTCCCAGACACATACACCCACCCAAGACTAAACAGGAAGAAGTTGAATCCCTGAATAGACCAATAAAAGGCTCTGAAATTGAGGCAATAATTAATAGCCTACCAACCAAAAAAAGGCCAGGACCAGATGGATTCAGAAGAATTCTACCAGAGGTACGAAGAGGAGCTGGTACCATTCCTTCTGAAACTATTCCAATCAATAAAAAAAGAGGGAATCCTCCCTAACTCATTTTATGAGGCCAGCATCATCCTGATACCAAAGCCTGGCAGAGACACAACAAAAAAAGAGAATTATAGACCAATATCCCTGATGAACATTGATCCAAAAATCCTCAATAAAATACTCGCAAACCGAATTCAGCAGCACATCAAAAAGCATATCCACCACGATCAAGTTGGGTTCATCCCTGGGATGCAAGGCTGGTTCAACATATGCAAATCAATAAACGTAACACATCACATAAACAGAACCAATGACAAAAACCACATGATTATCTCAATAGATGCAGAAAAGGCCTTCAACAAAATTCAACAGCCCTTCATGCTAAAAACTCTCAATAAACTAGGTATGGATGGAACGTATCTCAAAATAATAAGAGCTATCTATGGCAAACCCACAGCCAATATCATACTGAATGGGCAAAAACTGGAAGCATTCCCTTTGTAAATTGGCACAAGACAGTGATGCCCTCTCTCACCACTCCTATACTGTTGGAAGTTCTGGCCACAGCAATCGGGCAGAAGAAAGAAATAAAGGATATTCAATTAGGAAAAGAGGAAGTCAAATTGTCCCTGTTTGCAGATGACATGATTGTATATTTAGAAAACCCCATCATCTCAGCCCAAAATCTCCGTAAGCTGATAAGCAACTTCAGCAAAGTCTCAGGATACAAAATCAATATGCAAAAATCACAAGCATTCCTATACACCAATAACAGACAGAGAGCCAAATCATGAGTGAACTCCCATTCACAATTGCTTCAAAGAGAATAAAATACCTAGGAATCCAACTTACCATGGATGTGAAGGACATCTTCAAGGAGAACTACAAACCACTGCTCAATGAAATAAAAGGGGGCACAAAGAAATGGAAGAACATTCCATGCTCATGGATAGGGAGAGTCAGTATCGGGAAAATGGCCATACTGCCCAAGATAATTTATAAATTCAATGCCATCCCCATCAAGCCACCAATGACTTTCTTCACTGAATTGAAAAAAACTATTTTAAAGTTCATATGGAACCAAAAAAGAACCCACATTGCCAAGACAATCCTAAACAAAAAGAATAAAGCTGGAGGCATCACAGTACCTGACTTCAAACTATACTACAAGGCTACAGTAACCAAAACAGCATGGTACTGATACCAAAACAGAGATATAGACAAATGGAACAGAACAGAGGCCTCAGAAATAATACCACATATCTACAACCATCTAGTCTTTGACAAACCTGACAAAAACAAGAAATGGGGAAAGGATTCCCTATTTAATAAATGGTGCTGGGAAAACTGGCTAGCCATATGTAGAAAGCTGAAACTGGATCCCTTCCTTACACCTTATACAAAAATTAATTCAAGATGGATTAAAGACTTAAATATTAGACCTGAAACCATAAAAACCCTAGAAGAAAACCTAGGCAATACCATTTAGGACACAGGCATGGGCAAGGACTTCATGACTAAAACACCAAAAGCAATGGCAACAAAAGCCAAAATAGACAAATGAGATCTAATTAAACTTAAGAGCTTCTGCACAGCAAAAGAAACTGTCATCAGAGTGAACAGGCAACCTACAGAATGGGAGATAGTTTTTGCAATCTACCCATCTGACAAAGGGCTAATATACAGAATCTACAAAGAACTCAAACACATTTACAAGAAAAAATCAAACAACCCTATCAAAAATTGGGCAAAGGATATGAACAGACACTTTTCAAAAGAAGACATTTATGCAGCCAACAGACACATGAAAAAATGCTCATCATCACTGGCCATCAGAGAAATGCAAGTCAAAACCACAATGAGATACCATCTCACACCAGTTAGAATGGCGATCATTAAAAAGTCAGGAAACAACAGGTGCTGGAGAGGATGTGGAGAAATAGGAACACTTTTACACTCTTGGTGGGACTGGAAACTAGTTCAACCATTGTGTGGCAATTCCTCAAGTATCTACAACTAGAAATACCATTTGACCCAGCAATCCCATTACTGTGTATATACCCAAAGGATTATAAATCATGCTACTATAAAGACACATGCACACGTATGTTTATTGCGGCACTATTCACAATAGTAAAGACTTGGAACCAACCCAAATGTCCATCAATGATAGACTGGATTAAGAAAATGTGGCACATATACACCATGGAATACTATGCAGCCATAAAAAAGGATGAGTTCATGTCCTTTGTAGGGACATGGATGAAGCTGGAAACCATCATTCTCAGCAAACTATCACAAGGACAGAAAACCAAACACCACACATTCTCACTCATAGGTGGGAATTGAACAATGAGAACACTTGGACACAGGGCGGGGAACATCACACACCAGGGCCTGTCGTGGGTTGGGGTGATGGGGGAGGGATAGCATTAGGAGAAATACCTAATGTAAATGATGAATTAATGAGTACAGCAAACCAGCATGGCACATGTATACATATGTAACAAACTTGCACATTGTGCACATGTACCCTACAACTTAAAGTATAAAAAAAATTTAAAAAAAAGAAGTGAGTGCTCACCAGAGCCAGATATTGCTTTAATAGTCAAATAAGATGAATACTAAAACGTGTCCATTGAATTCCATGGCATGGATGGCACTGGTGTCCTTAACAAGAGCTATTTTGGTGGAATGGTGAGGACAGACGCCAGAATGGAGTAAGTAGAGGAATGAATGAGAGTTGAGGAAAGAATTGCTTTTTAATAAAACTAAAAATAAGTTAGCAACTTAATAATGATGGCTTTTAAAAATAATTATTCAAGTCATGTTTTGATCTTTTTCAATGTACATACTTGTGTAATTAGTATTTTCAACTCCCTGAAAGTCTAAGACTTAGTAATTGGTCATTTTCCTCTGGTACAAATTTGAATTATACAAAAGCAAGTCACCCTCCCCTGTTAAAAATAACCAGCATCCCTAATTCTTTTTTTTCCTCTGTACTTGTTGTTATATAGGCAGCACTCTTATCAAGCGAGAAAAATAATTCTTTCTGAAAAATAGTTATCGAGGAAACTTAACGAAATTGAAAGGGATTAACTTGTGTTGTGAGACAAAGCATAGGAAATACATAACTCAACAGAAATGATTCCAGAAAAAAGCCAGGCACTTAAATCAACATTTTCACTTTTACAGATCTAGAATTTTTAAGATCTCTGATGATACCCCCTCATAAATGCCAAGAGTCGGCTATGCATATCTCCACTTATCAACTCAATCCATAGACATAACTATAAGTAGCAGCTTGTGGCAAAATCTATTTTCCTACCACAACATCCATTCTTCCCTTGCTCCTTAGTAACAAAACATTGTTTCATTTGGGGAGGCAATGTACCTAACTAAAAGATGGCAGCTGGGCACAGTGGCTCACTCCTGTAATCCTAATACTTTGGGAGGCCGAGGCAGGTGGATCACTTGAGGTCAGGAGTTTGAGACCAGCCTGGCCAACACAGTGAAACGCCACGTCTACTAAAATACAAAAATTAGCTGGGTGTGGTGGTGTGTGCCTGTAGTCCCAGCTACTTCAGAGGCTGAGGCATGAGAATCGCTTGAACCCAGGAGGCGAAGGTTGCAGTGAGCCGAGATTTCGCCACTGCACTCCAGCCTGGGCGACAGAGTGAGACTCTGTCTCAATAAATAAATAAATGAAATAAAAGATGACATTTCTGAATCTCCCTTGTAGGTACATATGATCGTGTGACTAGATTCTGGACAGTGAGATATGAATGAGTGCTGTATGTGGTTTTCAGGAAGTCTGCTAAAATATTCTGCTGGCTGAAATGTAGATGTGATGGCTGGAGTTTAAATAGCCATATCGGACCATGAGATAACATTTAAAAGATAACAAAGCAACAACTAGAAGGAGCCTGAGTCTCTGATTTTACCATACAGCCAAATCTTAGAGGATCTATCTCCAAACTTCTATTATTTGAGAAAAAAATAAAGTCTTATTTAAGATACTCCATTTTGGGTTTTTTGGTTATCTGTAGCCAAACATAATCCTAGACAATATGATACTCTACTGTATTCCATTAAGTTGCTGCATCAGATGTACATCTTTAATCCACTGTTAGGTATTTGAAATGTTCCTATTGTTTGCTATTATTTATAGTGCAGCATTAGTCATATTTAAAAAATTTTCCCTCTAAAACCACATATACTTTGGATATTTTCTTAGGATATCTTGCCAAAAAGGAATCATCACCACATCAAAGGGTAAGAAAAATTTTGTAATATTATTTTTGCCAGATCCCCTGTCAGAAAGGACCGATTAGGAGCTTTCAGCAATATACAAAGTATATTTCAGCAATATGCTGACAATAGCCCTGTCATTTTTTGCATTTGAATGGTACATAATGGTACCTTAAAAATGTATTTTTGATGGCTACATAGGCAATGCATTTTTTTCTACTTCAGGATCTACTTTGTGTATCACCTCATGCATTCTCCCCTACTTGAAAGGAAGCTCCCTAATGAGGCTGAAGCAAAGCCAGTGCATCTTTGATTTCCCTAGTATATTAGATTTTATTTCTGTGTAACAAATTACACTAAAACTGAATGGCTTAAAACAATAAGCATTTATCATTTCAGTTTCTGCAGGTCAAGAAACTAGGTGAGGCTTAGCTGAGTGTCTCTGCCTCAAGGATTCAAGATCTCTTACAATCTGGCAATCAAGGTGTTGGCTGGGGCTCTGGTCTCATCTGAAGGTTATACTGAGGGAGGATCTGCTTCCAAGCTCACTTATGTGGTTGTTGGAAGAATTCAACAACCTTGTGAGCTATTGGACTGAGGGCCTCAGCTTCTTGCTAGTTTTTGGCCAGAGGCCATCCTCAGTTCCTCAGTTCTTAATGCTAAACATGCAAGAAAAGGCAAGCAAGACAGAAGCGAGTCTTTTTGTAACCTAATCTAAGCGACATCTCATTATTTTTGCAAAATTCTGTTTGTTAGAAGAGAGTCACTATATCCAGTCTACACTTAAGGGGAAGGGATAACACAAATGCATGGAGACTGCCTATCACAACTACTGAGGGTCCTGGAGTAAGCATTTGTTTAATTTGTAAACTGTCAAGTAAAATTTGGATATTAAACAGAGTGACCATTTAGATTGTTTACCTACTCTAACTTTTACTTGTGTCACACATTATTTGTCCTTTTGGTGTTTTTTTCTATATAGCTAAATTTATATTTATTTTAATAAATATATTTATTATAATTTTAAATAACCACTCTGTTATAACAATTTTAAGCTGAAATTTCTACTTGATGATCATGTGGAATACTTGCAATGTGTGGTTTGCCAAGCCTATTTAGAATGACTGATGTTCATAAGTTATGATCAGCCTGAAATTTTCATTTGTGGTAAAGTTATTTTGGGGTTTGGGGATCAAAACCTTATTTGTCTCATCAAGCTAGACAGCATAGCATCCTTTTCTGTATTTTGAAATAGTACAATACAGGATTAACTCTTCTTGAAACAGTTGGAAAAAATTCACCAGGGTCTATTTGTGACACAAAGAGATGTGGAATTCCATAGTAACATTTTCATATAATCTTCATTTGCTAATGATTATTCATATTCTTCAGCTGCAATGTCCAACATGGCAGCCACTAGTCACATCTGGCTATATTCATTTAAATTTAATTAAAATTAAATAAAAAATTACTTGCTTAGTTTTGTTAGCCACATTTCTTTTTTTTTTTATTTTATGTTCACTCTTTTTTTAAGTTTTTTTTTTCTTTTATTATTATACTTTAAGTTTTAGGTACATGTGCACATTGTGCAGGTTAGTTACATACAATGAGATCACATGGACACAGGAAGGGGAACATCACACTCTGGGGACTGTTGTGGGGTCGGGGGGAGGGGGGAGGGATAGTATTGGGAGATATACCTAATGCTAGATGACAAGTTAGTGGGTGCAGCGCACCAGCATGGCACATGTATACATATGTTAGCCACATTTCAAGTGTTCAATAGCCACATGTGCTGAGTGGCTACCATACTGAACAGCACAGATTAGAAAATTTCCATTTCCATCATCACAGAGACCTCTATTGGACAGTGCTGTCTTAGAGCAAGTTTGTATGGCATGTATAGGTGAGGTTGGCTTGGAATCAGAACTGGGGTTTAAGTGCCAACTACACTCTTCACTAATTTGTGATACTGGATAAATCACAACCTTGTTGATGCTCACTTGCCTTATCTATAAAACTGTGCTACTACCTTTCCTATCCATTTCACAAGATTGTTGGGAAGAACAAAAAAGACAATGTATGAGAAACTAATGTGAGAACTACAAAATATATTCACAAGACAGAATTATAAGTTTAGAGGGATTTTTGATTAAAGTACAAATTGGTCTCTTCCTACAAAATAAAGAAATAACAATACCCATTTCATAAGGCTGCTGTGACAGTTAAGTAAGTGAATACATGTAAAAACAATTAGATCCTATGCCTGGCACGTCTTAACAGATCAGTAAATATTATTTGCTATTCTTGTTGTAGGCATTCAGCCAATCAATATTAAGGACATATACAGGCCTGAAAGTAAGCTTAAGGAGTTATCCATTTCAATCCCACAGTTTTTCAGAAAATGACAATATAGTTTTGCATTGCTTAATGATGATATGTTCTGGGAAATGGATCGTTAGACAATTCTGTTATTGTGCAAACATCATAGAGTATACGTACACAAACCTAGGTGGTATAGCCTAGTATACACCTAGACTATATAATATAGCCTATCACCCCTAGGCTACAAACCTGTACAGCATGTGACTGTACTGAATACTGTAGGCAATTGTAACACAATGGCATTTGTGTATCTAAATATAGAAAAGGTAATGTGTCATGCTACAATGTTAGATGGCTACAATGCTACTAGGCAATAGGAATTTTTCAGCTCCATTATAATATTATGAAGCTTCCATCATATATGTGGTCTGTCATTAACCAAAATGTCATTATGTGGCGCACGACCGTATATATACAAGAGTCTGAGATTCTACAACATCAGCTATCTATTCTAATGCTTGTGGCAAGCTATTTCCTCCTTTCTTTATAAATTTTAAATAATTACTTAATTATTTTCTTTATCTACACTTGCCATTGAGTTGATCTCATCCAATGTCAAAATGAAATTTGAATCTGTAGCTCAACCTCTCCTCTGAGTTTGACACTTATGCATCATACTCATATTCATACTCATACTCAGCAACTCCATTTGTGTATTACAGGTATCTCAAGCTTACCATACCATGTGCAAAACTCCCAACCCTTGTTTTCTTCTTCAAGCCAGGTTCTCCCTCAACATTCTCAGTTTCAGGCAGCTTCATTAATCCAGTTGCTCAAGCCAAAAACTTTGAAGTTATCTGATTCCTCTTTCTCCTACACACTTCATTAAGAAACCCTGTTGGCCTGACATTAGAAACTTAGCAAGAATCCTACCATTTCTCATCACTTCCTCTGGTACCATTCTAACCCAAGCCAAGTCACCATCATCTCTCACTTATTACTTTAATAGTTGTATTAGTCAAGGTTCTCCAGAGGGACAGAAACAACAGGAGATACACACACATATACACAGGTACTCCCCTGTGTATATGTGTGTATGCGTATACACACACACATGTGCTCCCTCATGTGTGTATATATGCTCCCCACATACACGGGGGAGCACGTTAGGGAAAATTGGCTCACACAGTTACAAGGTGAAGCCCCACAATAGGCCATCTGCAAGGTGGGGAAAGAGAGAAGCCAGTAGCATGGCTCAGTCTAAGTCTGAAAGCCTCAAAACCAGGGAAGCTGACAATGCAGCCCTCAGCCTGAGGCCAAAGGGCCAAGAGCCCCTGGGAAGCTGCTGGTGCAAGTTCTAGAGTCTAAAGGCCAAAGAACCTGGAGTCTGATGTCCCAGGGCAGAAGGAAAGGAAGCCAAGCATCGGGCATAGCATGTGAAGAAAGAACAAGCAGACTCAGTAAACAAGCTGCTTTTATCCCCCTTCTTCCGCCTGCTTTGTTCCAGCAGTACTGGCAGCTGACTGGATGGTGCCCACCCACAATGAAGGTGTCTTCCTCTCCCAGTCCACTGACTCAAGTGTCAATCTCCCCTGGCAACACCCTTACAGACACACCCAGAAACAATACTTTACCAGGTATCTAGGCATCCCTCAATCCAGTCAAGTTGATACCTAATATTACGTATCACAGTGGCTTCTTCACTGGTCTCCCTGCTTTTACTCTTATCTCCAAATTGTCTATTCTTTAGCTGTGATCTTTTTTAAAAAGTAAGTCTGATCACATCACCCCTCTGCTCAAAACTTTCTAGTGGCTTTCCCATCTTACTGGTAGTAAACACAAACATCCTTACAATGGCTTACAGGGCCCTACACAGTCTTCTCTTCCACCCCATCTTTATCTAATTCCTCACCTCAGTCTCCTATTCTTCTTACCACTCTTGCCTCCAGTCCTGCCACATTGGCCTTGCTGCTGCCTCTCTAATATTCCGAGAACCCTCCCACATCAGGGACTTTGTACTTGCTGTTTTCTCTGCCTAAAATGTCTTTTTTTTTAACGTGCTATACACATGGCTCTCTCTCACACTTTATTCAGTTCTTTGTTCAGATGTCATCTCATGTTAGAGGCTATCTCTGATCTCCCTAATTAAATAAATCCTTGGTTAATTTTACATGTTGACTTGACTAGGCTGCAAGGTGCCCAGATATTTAGTGAAATATTATTTTAGGTGTGTCTGTCAGGGTGTTTTTAGATGAGACTAACATTTGAATGGGTAGACCGAGTAAAGCAATTGCCCTCTCTAATGTGGGTAGGCCTCATCCAATCAGTTGAAGGCCTGAATAAACAAAAAGACTGACTCTCCCATTAGTAAGAGGGAACTTCTCCTGCCTGACTGCCTTGAGCCAGGACATCAGTCTTTTCCTGCATTCAGACTTGAACTGAAACACTGGTTCTTTCTGAGTCTCAAGCCTGCCAGCTTTTGAACTGGAACTTATATTATCAGTTCTCCTGGTTCTCTGGCCGTTGGACTCAGACTTAACTACATCATTGGCTCTCCTGGGTCTTTAACTTGCCGACTGCAGATCTTTGGATTTCTCGGCCTCTCTGGAGAACCCTGATTAATATAGTTTCCTATTACTTCTCTAACAAATTACCACAAACTTAGTGTCTTAAAACAATAAAAATTTATTATATTATAGTTCTTGATGTCAGAAGTCTGATGTGGGTTTCACTGGGCTAAAATCCAGACGTCAGCAGGGCTCTGTTTCTTTCTTGAGGCTCTAGGAAAGAATCAGTTTCCTTGCCTTTTCCAGCTTCTAGGCTGCTCACATTTCTTGGCTCATGGCCCCCTGCCTCCATCTTCAAAACAAAGAACAGCAAATTGAGTCTTTCTCATGGCAAGTCATTCTGACACTGACTCTCCTACCTCCCTCTTCCACATTTAAAGGACCCTTATGATTACATTAGGCCATTTGGATAAACCCGGATGATCTCCTTATCTTGGGGGCAGCTGATTAGTAGCCTAAATTCCATCTGCAAACTTACTTCCTCATTGCCATGCAACAAAACATATTTATAGGTCCAGGGATTAGGATGTAATCCTCTATGGGGCCATTACTCTGCCTGCCCCCAGCCCCTTCCCACATTACTGCTTAAATTTTCTTCATATACCTGTCTTTCCTAATATATTATGTTTACTTAATTGGTTGTCTGTCTCCTCTTCCTAGAATATAAACTCCATGAGTACAAGGGCTTTATTTTGTTCACTCTCATATCCTGGGCTTCAAAAACAGTGTCTGAAACATAGTAAGTATTGAAAAAATATCTTTTGACTAAACTAACTAATGAGGCCAGAAATTTTGTCAGTGAGAGCTACAGGAGGGCCCTAACTACTTCTTGCTTTATAATGAAGAGTTAGGAATTTGAGCGGGAAATATTAAACTGGCCTATGCAAAGCACTGTTGTGAGAGACCTAAAAAAGTTACAAAGTTACACACTTTCTCCCTCTTATTTTTATTAACAAATGGCCCCAGAGAAGTGGAGGCTATAACTGCTTACAGTAACCCAATTCAGGGACAAAACTTCTAAATATTAAAAGACTGTTTAGGTTTGACCTAAATCCTTCAAGCTGGAGGGATTTTTGCTTTGTTTTCCTGGTGACTGCTTTGTACTGCCTACTGTGGTAAGGCTTCCTATGCTCCAGTAAAACCAGGAGTAAGACAGGTTCACGAGTGTTTGCTTTACTATTTCATAGTAGCCAAATAGTGGTAGTCTCACAGTGAGGTACCACACCTGGGTGCACCTCATACTCTCCACCCTGAATAGGCCCTTACATTCAGGAAGGCCATATAACTTCAAGGTTAAGAATAAGTACATGAGCTCCAGTTAGACCGAATTCAAATCCCAGCTTTGCCATTACCACAATAACTATTAGCAAGTTTCTTATCTTCTCTGAGCCCAGTTTCCCCATCTTCAAAATGGAGACAGTGATAGTACTTATGCCATGTAGTTCTTGTGAAGATTAACTTAGATAATCCTTATAAAGCACTGATACTTGGTAAGTACTCAACTAAAGGATAGCACCATTTTCATTTGGCAATCTACCTAACTTTTCTTGGTATCCTATTGAGTTAGCAAATAAAGCTGGATGAAACTGGAACAAGCTAGGTCGTCCCAATACAAATCAGTACCCACAGTCTCTTTATACTAGCAAGGGTTTCCATTTGAACATATTACTTATGAAACACAAGCTTCCCAGGCATTGCTTTTGTCTACAACAGTGCTTCTCAAACTTATAGATCACTTTGAGAATTAGTGGTTTAAAACATATATATTGTACTTGGTATAATGCCTTCACTTCAGTATTGCCAAAGTGGTGAACACATGCTTTTCCCATACTTGTTTCCTGTCTACATTTCGTCTTCTCTTCCCTAAAGCAGTGGTTTCCAAAGTGTAGTCCCTGGACCAGCAGGATCAGCATCATCTGGGAACATGTTAGAAGTGCAGATTCATGAGCCTCACCCCAAACCTGCTGAATCTGACACTTTTGGGGTGGGGCAGCAATCTGTTTTAATAAGCCCCCCTCCCAGTGATTCTGAGGCATGCTCAAGTTTGAGACCCACTGGCCCCTATCCTACTGACATAGGTAACACGGCCTATAAAAAGCATTATTTCATTGTATCATTTCATCTCTAATTTTGATTTCTTTTCTCCATCTGTTTCTGTGTGCATGACTTCACCATCCACCTGATTCCACTTCTGTTTCTAAGTGACTGCATCTTTGGATAAATATATATCTCAAAACTCTTTTGTCTTCAGTGACAAAGACAGCTATCTGGCCATCACCATAAGAAGGATTAAGTCTAATCAGAACCTCATTTGTCTAACCTTTCAAAACATCTATGTCCAAGTTATAACTATAATCTGAGCAAGGACTGAATGAACTAAGGGCAAATAGGATAAAGACATAACCTTATGATTTTTCTGGGCTCATCTAATTTAATGTCTCTATATGTATCAATATCTATCCACCTTATAAAGAACACATTCAAGTAGTGTGAATGTCTGATTTAGAAGTGAATCCCACTTCTAAATCCCACCCCAGATATTGAAAATAATAACATGCCAAATAATGACTCATTACTAGTCACAGAATACACCCCTGTTCAATGACTCTTCACCTTCCTGAACTCTTTTCATTTTCCTAGATGCTAATAGGATAAAGACTCTGGAACACTTAAATCTCTCCTTCTGCAGAAGATTAACACAGCTGTTGATAGAAATATTCCCATAAAATTGTTTTACAAGTTGAGAGTTTTAGTCTACATAACATAGGTCACGTAGCAAAAAAACATGTTTTTTGCTGCTCAGTGAAAACTCTACTTATCCCTCAACTAGGACTATTAAACTAAGATGAGAAAAGGTGAGAGACCAGTGGTTTAGAAGAAGTTCCTTAATGACATGCAGAAGAAGAAATGAGATGAGTCTACTGTCTACTGTGCTATAGATTCCCTAAATGGTTCTGTCTTCTCTTTTCCTGCAAATGGAAACTGAAAATGTTAGGGCTTTGTGTTATCAAACTCCGTTTCTCACAGTTCACAGTGCTTCATTTTTTCCTTAGAGGACAAAATTAAAGACAACTGCCAGCTTGAAAAAGGTTTTAATACTGCTTGATAGAATAATGAAGGTGCATCTCATTAGGTGTTATGGAATTACACCTAATTAACCACTCCTGGACCTCATAAATCCTATTTTCCCTCCACTTTTTATGCATTCCTTCTCCAGTTGCATCCTGAATAGACTTTAAATATACTTCAGGCATGGATTACTACCAGAGTTTCCCCAGCTGCTATCAGTCAGTACATATGGTCTAACTTAACTTTCTTTCAAAATTGCTTTCACATAATTCCCTTGCTCAAAGGCCCACAATGCTTTCCTATATCCTATCGCATTTAGATGTCTTATATCTGAATTCTTCTGCCTCGCTTTAAGGCCATAATCTGGCTACATTCTTCCCATCCAATTTTATTTTGTGCCTTCCCAACCAGAAGGTCCCCTTCACCTAGGATAACTGTGAAATTCCTTTACTCTTTCTTAGGACAAAGTTGAAGAAACAAGGAAAAGAAAAATAGACACTGAAATCCCTAACACCAAAAGTTTATTTACAATTGAAGTTAAGGAATATTTTTAATGCATGCTGAGAAAACAGTAATACTCCAAACTTACAGGTTACTTACTATCTGATAAGGAATACAAGATGATGCCGAGAAAGGCTTGGGCAAACACAACTATTGGAACCAGGTTACCAGTACATTTAAACACTATTAGAACCTTGTTATCAGAAAACTTACATATCACCTACTTTTATGTAACACCGACTTCATGAACAATTCATCTTCTAACTCCTCAATGGCTATTTAAGTTAATAGCATTCAAGGTTAAACATTAAGACTAGGGAGTAGAGAAGAAATACAGAAGCAATAAGCATCACAACATTTCAGAGCCTACATATATGAATACAACATTAATTAGGAAACTTTTAATTTTTGTGTGAAACAATATTCATCAATGTTTAGCGCATGAGAAGACACTGCTTTGGTCCATCCACTCTTTCCAGCTTTTCAAAGTGTTTCCTGGCATTGCGGATGTTGATCAGAGTAGCTGCAGAAGCTGAGGGCGGGGGCGGAAACACCCAACAGAATTAAGTATGGGCAGCCAAAGGAATGTCTGACTAGTAAAACAAATAAACAAAAGAGAGCCAAATCCCTCAATGTATGTCAGAGAACATACAGGAATAGGAGGTCCCAAGTTATCAAGGTTTAATTTTTCTGAATAAGCAGATTTATTCATATTCTAAACACAAAATTTCCAAAATAAATTTCCAAAATCTTTTGGTTTGGAGCTAACAGCATAAACCCCAAAAATGTATGTTATATTTTAATATTAACCTAAAGTAGCAAAAGCCAATGGATGAGAGATTAATTTAAATTTCTGGGACCATCCTGAAAATACTGCAAGAACCTTTATTTCAATGGTTGTGATAGTCATGGTTATTATGGCATGGAAGCATCAAACACCCCTTCATGCCCATAACAGAAATATGAGAATGTGGTACATAGGAATATGCAATGACATATGAAATGGTTTGTCATTTAATAGTTTAGAGCTTAGATTGACTAGTCTTTTAAAAATCTATACCAGATGCAGCATAAATCATGTATTTGGGTTTTTTCTTTAAAATTCTTGGATTTAGTGACTTGCTTTTTGAAGTTCCCATGAAGAAAAACGTAATACCCTAGAAGCTAAATTATTTTTAAGCTTTAAAATATAAGTCTATTAAATAAAAACTATTTACCACTAGTACTAAAATACTTTTTCTTATTGTGGTAAAGTATACATAACACAAAGTTTATCATTTAAATTATTTTTAAGCATACAGTTCATTGGGATTAAGTGCCCTCACATTGTTATGTAACCATCCCCACTATAAAATAGCTTTTAAGTATCTAATAAAGTACTACCTCTGGGACAATTGTTTAAAGAGTATGTGGCTTTGAACCTAGGTCAGCTAAGTTTAAACTTACGAATGGACGGATCAGACATCACAACCATCACATAAGTGTTGGATGTAAAGATGTCAATGAAAGCAGCGAAGTTAGAGTTCCTGACTTCCATACTCTGGAAAGAGGCAGCCAGCTTGCTATAGGAAAATGAAGAAGAGAGGTTAAAGAATGAAATAATAACACTACAACAAGCTCTTATTTATGTTAAACATCTTTTGATGATTGAGGTATAGCACTATACCTCAATTCACCACTTCATTAAGATTGTTAATCACTAACTCTACTTTTTCCAAGGAAACTCTTATACTGAATTTAACATGTTTTGAAAAGTAACTGGGACAAAAGTGGGCTAGGACTTGACTTTTAAAATTTTTTAAATTTCAATTTATTTTTTTATGAGTCAAGAGTTTCGCTCTGTCACCCAGGCTGGAGTGCAGTGGTGCCATCATGGCTCATTGCAGCCTTGAAATCCTGGCTCAAGTGATCCTCCTGCCTAAGCCTCCCAAGTAGCTGGGACTACAGAGGTGCATGCCACCACATCTGGCTAAAGCACTTGAAACTGACTGTGAAATGAAAATTGGCTTAGACCTAGATCCATGTTTAAAATCATGTTTCAGAAGACTTCTTCAATATTTAATAAGCATCTTAAGTTGAAATTTCCTTATCATTGAGATTAATATAACTTTTCAGTTACATTTAAATTCAAGAAATGATCTTTTTTTCTTTGAAAACAAACAAGGCAACTATATTTGCTTGTCATTGGCTATTTCTTCTTCAAAATGTTAGCATAAACATTCCAGAAAGTCTCAAAGTGTGCTAAGGCATAAAGAGAGTAAACTTATTCCTGCTGTTCTGGAATCAAACTGTTATCAGGGTAAGGATTTTGATTATTAAATCTTTGCTAAATTATGATGTTCGGCCATTCCTTTTTCCTAGATTCACAATGCTATGATTCAAACTTTATTTAACAATAGCTGACACAATGTGATTAAACATTTCTAGACTCTCCATTCTGTACCATTTCTGAATCAGTACCTCACTATTTTAAAGTCAAATAGTAAATACTTAAAGTAGTAGTTTTAGAGTAAATTTTGGTATTCAGTAAGGCAAATTCTCCTTCCTCCTTCTTTTTCAAAACTCCCTTGGATATTCTATTTATTTCTTCGCAAATAGTATCAATCATCTCAAAAGGATATTCTGTTTGGATATTTTTCATACACTTCTGTACCAGCTGAGTTTGCATTAAAGGACAACGACCTGCATTTCAGTCAACTGGAGGCCCCTTAGAATTTAGCTTTGTCTTTGATTGAAGGAACTATTCTGAATATAGAAGTACAGTTAACTATAGTTATTTGAACTTCTAAAAAATGACAATAATTTTTTCAAGAGATAAACAGATCATTCCTACTAGATCTCTTACCTGCAGCTCAGCTTGAACTGCTTAATAATGTTGCTTATTTTCTCAAATCTATGGGCATCACGCTGCTCTTTACACTGATAGTGAGAAATTACCTATGAAAAAGAATATTGTCCTTTGAATCCATGCAAAATAGTTACATCATCCTCTGCTACTCCTCAAAGCAGACATTTGTCAGTCCCTTGGTCACTGGTTTTTAGGGTAGACTTGGCACCTGGCTTATTGTCTCTTTTCCTCTGTCCTATATATTATCAACATTCTGTGTGGTTTCAACGTCCATTCAGATGGCCCATCTAGTACCATTTGGTTATAATTAAATCATTTACGTATTGCCTATTTTGGTTCACTGCTATTTTTTCTAACTTTAATCACTAAATATTCATTTTATTTCAATATTTCGCATGATGGTCTTCGATTTTTAAAAAGTATCAATCAAAAAGAAAAACAAATAAAAATTCCTAGCTGTTCTTGAGGTATACTTCATGTGTTTAATTTTAATAAAGGCCAAGCTAACCAAATAGCTTTTGGAATTGTATTTTAAAAGCTTAACTGTTTGATTCCAATCCCTGAGGAATATTTACAAATGAACTTATTCAGGATGGACACCCACACCAGCTGAAAATACTTTTTCTAACTTTTTCAGATTTTAATAAAACCACACAAGTATTACCTATAGGCTGAATATACAGATGCAGAGTGTCTAGTAGGAAGCAAAACTGAGTCACTCACCAGAAGAAAACTCACAGGGAAATTCCATGAGACAATGTGAAAATTTCAAAACATAATTTCTATACCAGTGGAAGAACAAATCCCCCTTGCTTGACTTCACCCCGCTCAGTGAAAATGTTCAGTCACATCTAAACTTGGTCTCAAGAGAAACAAAAACTACCTGTTACTATTAGTAAGGAACAGGGAGCTTATATTAGGTTAACCTCTACAACCATGTGTGGCAGACATAGTAGGGGAATACTGCTGAAGCAGGTTTCGGTCCTGCCACGTACATCAAGACAGAATAGCTTTCTTGCTCATTGTTACTCACACTAGCAGGAAAAACAGGCTCAGGGTAGCACAATTCCAAGCAAGTGACCTCTGCCAGTGGGCTGAGACAGAAAGATACTCTAATTAGGACTCCTTGCCCCATCTATACCAGCTAGAAAGATGGCTCCCAAATACCTCTGGGGTTACAAATAATATTTCCACAAAGGAAGAGGGAAAAATTGTACTTTGGATTCTCTGCCCTGTTGCTATAGTAGCAAAAGGAATCAATATTTAATAGTTTGTCAACTAAATGCCAAGGCTTGCTGGGTGCTCAATGTTCCTGTGTCCCATTTTCATCTGCACAATAAATCTATGATATAGATATTTGTAGAAGGAAAACAAGCCCCTAGAGATTAAGAATTGTTTCTAAAATCACCAAGCATTGGCAGGGCTCAGAAACAAATTATTTACTGGGAACTGCTCTTAGAGTTACATTTACCAAGGCTAATTAGCAATTACTTATGCAGTGTGTTGTGACACCTTAGTTTCTATTATTGCTATTTTTAAAATGTATTTACAAATACAATACTGGTTTTTGCATCCCCCTTTCAGGGTTATACAAACAATAGGCTCTAATATAGTTGCTAAGTTCAATTTACAAGAAAAATAAAAATACCAACATGCCTCTTTCCCTCTCCACTTCTTCATGTGAACTCCTATGTCACTGAGATGACCATAACATCTCTTCTACATTAAAAGTTTTCAATGAGTCTTTTAGAGAAAAGGATAGGATGTGAGTTTTCTCAAAAGGAAAATATCCCACATTTCATAATAAAAGTCCACAGGAAATAGGAATCCTTTAACATAAATGAACAGTTACTAGCATAAATAATCTGAACTCTCTTTTTTTTTGAGATGGAGTTTCGCTCTTGTTGCCCAGGCTGGAGTGCAATGGCATGATCTCAGCTCACCCCAACCTCCGCCTCCCGAGTTCAAGCGATTCTCCTGCCTCAGCCTCCCAAGTAGCTGGGATTATAGGCATGCGTCACCACACCTGGCTAATTTTGTATTTTTTGGTAGAGACGGGGTTTCTCCATGTTGGTCAGGCTGGTCTCTAACTCCCGACCTCAGGTGATCCACCCGCCTCGGCCTCCCAAAGTGCTGGGATTACAGGCGTGAGCCCCCATGCCCAGCCAACAATCTGAACTCTCTAATAATACATACCTGGAAAAATCTAAGTTTCACTAACTTCCAAAGAGCTACACACCAAAGGGCTTCTTTCAGGTCACTTGCTGACAATACTATTTTATAAATAAGTCTGTACATGCTAAAGTTGACAAGAGGGAAAAAGGTTCTTCCTGAAAGTAGTGACATGCTGTTCTCTGTTGCTGAAAACAAAGAACGTACAGTGTGAAGTACATCTGCAAAGCAGAAAGTTCTTACCAGAAAAGTAGCTCTCTCAAAAAGAAGTACTTCATCAGCTTCGATAATTTCAGCAAAATTCCTTAGGTTCATTTCCAGCTGCTGAACATTGGGAATCAGCTGATAAACTATGCTGGACCAAGCCTAACAGAACAGAAACACAGTGTACTATTATTAACAGCTAGTCAGTCCCAGACCTTTGAAATTAGTAAGTACACTATAATATGTGGACAGCAAAATATGATGATAATCCAGTCCCAAACAAATACTGACATTAAATATGATATAACACAAATGAAATGAGAAAATGAAGCTAGCATCTGATTTTTACCCTTGAGTTGAATTTTTTTTAAGTTCAAACACTTTTGTAAAATGCTGGAGAAACTTCTTTCCATTGATAATTGAAAGCAAACAAATATTTAATGCCATCATGTTGCCTTAGGAAAAAAGTTGAAAAATATGATCTACTTTGTTAAAAAGCTCCTAATCTAGTCACAAATATTTAAGTCCAACAGTGTAGATTTCTCTAAAGATCAGAACCTAATTATGCTATATTTAACATATACCTAAGAATCAATTTTATGAAAGTAGCAGAGCCACATAGACAAATGGCCCCTCCCCTCAATAGAATAATATACCATTAAAAGAGAAACTAGTGGCATTATCATTCCCAAAGGTTTGTTGTTATCCATATAAATTATTGATCCAATTGAATTCAAAATGGTCTACTGTGTTTTTGCCTAAAACTGACTTCATCCAGGAGTATGACTAATGTAAGCAGTTGAAATTAACCACACTCTCCCTCTATTCTTGTAGGCTCTTTTATTTGTATTTTCATTATAATACTTCCTTCACTCTCACTCCAATTTGTCTGGTAAGGTGTACTTTGTTCTTCTCTCCCCTACAAGAGGGCAGGAACCTGGTCTTAGTCATTTGTGTATCCAACAGCATCAAGCAGGTATGTAAAGAGTGCTTGTTGAATAAAACTTAATATAAAAATTTAAGTTAGCTCTATGCAACATTGATGTAAGAGACAGAAGTGCCATGTCTCTGTTCCAATTAGTTTTATTACTTAGGCATGAGGGTTCAGGTTCCAAGTTCCCAGGTCGGTGTTAATGTCACTGCTGAATTTACCTTGGAGAAGGCACCAAAGCTAACCACAGCAGAGACATTGTCACTCACAGCAGTGTTGTGATTAGCCAATTGTCTTTGGTCGTGTTATGTATTGCCATCCTTCACACCGCAGTTGGTTCTTATCAGTGCGTCATGTCCATCCTTATTCACGGTTACCTGTTCTATGGGAATAAGGCTTTGAGAGAAATTCGGCCCATATTAATCTAGAACAGTATTTCCTAGACAGGTATCTCAAAATGATCTGTTATTAGAGTGAGGCTGGGTCAACATAATATTGGGGAAAATGAATTAGTTAAAAAAAAAAAAAGCAATGGCTATTTAAAAGTCCAATGGTTTTTCTCCTTGCCACATCAGGTTTCTGTGCTTCTGGTTGTAGATACTTGTCAGATGCTGTTGATACTGAGGCTGTAGCTACCAGTGACAGAGAAGGGTGCTTTCCTACCCAGAGTCAGACTTGTCAATGGATACCAGAAGCAGTCTGAAGGGAAGGGCTAACTACAGAAGGATCCAAAAGGACCTAGTCCTTCAAATAACTAGATCAGTAGGAGAAAGGGAGGAATCAGAATAAGGAGCCTATGTGCCAATAAGGTAATTTCAGCTTCATCCATAACAAAGCTATTGTTGTAACCTCCATAATTAGTGTAAGCAGTGTGGTATCCATTCCAGCAATGGGAACAGTACTTCTGGTTGAAAGAATGCTTGTCTCCAATTTGGCATGAAAGTTGAAGCTATTATACCATATGCTAGGCATAACATGTCTGATTCTAAGACTCCTTCTCCAATCTCTTCCCTAAATATTTTCATTTTATTGCCATCCAAACTTAGGCAGACTAGCTTATATCATGTAGAAGTACCTGAATACTAGATACAACTCCAATCAGCATTGAGACCACAACAGGTCAAAATGGATGATGGCCAGTAAGTGAAACCTCTGCTATTACAAAGACCAGTATCAAATTAATCATGACCAAACTGGCTAATTCAGTGTGACTTGGTAGCTATGTCAACCCAATATAAGATCAAAACCCAAGTCTCTTAATGTTAAGTTTGATATTCTTCAAACAATTTGTTGCAGATTATTTTTCTTTTTAGTACAACAAATCTAGATGGCTATGAAATAGTTTAAAATCTTTTAGGTTTGTTAATATCCTTCTAGGTTTTTTTTCATGCTCTTAAAATGAGGGAACTCAGGGAGACATACACACCTTATAGAGGGTTTCATCCCAGATAGATGTTCGGAAACAAGAACATTCCAATGGGCGAGACAAACGCCTCAAATCTTCTTCTCGCTCTTTAAAAATCTAAATTAAAAAGCCCAACATACTGATCAGCATATAATAGTTCCCATCTTTCAAGCTAAGATGTAGTTATTTTATCATATTTTAACCAGGAGCTTTTGTTCCTTTCTAAGAGGAATTTTAAGTATGTCTATTTCACAAACTAGGATGGCAGAAACTGTTTCTGGTCAGGTCTAAAAGCACAATAGTTAGAATTCTTCAGGCCTATCCTGCTTATGCTGAATACTCACTACGAGCACTATGTTTATAAATAAAGCTTATCATACAGAGGAGTCTTAATAAAATACATCAAACACTCCAAAGCACCAAATCTGGGTCATTTTAAGATAGTTATACACATACCAAGAATATATAAATGAAAATATTTTAACCCTTGTATATATCTTTCTCAGACACATATATAGATATGGAAAAATATCTATATAAATATATATACACAGATATTTTCCCAGGAGTCAGTGGATTGTTGTTAAATATGTACATACACACTGTTATGGTTAATTTTATGTGTCAAGTTAGCTAGGCCATGATACCCAGACATTTGGTTAAACACCAATCTGTATGTTGTTGCAAAGGCATTTTTTTAGTTAAGATTAACATTTGAAACAGTAGACTCTGAGTATTATTCTGTATAATGTGGGTGGGCCTCATCTAATCAGTAGAAGGCCTTAAGAGAAAAAGCCTGTCATTTCCCCAAGAAAAAAGAATTTTGCCTCCAGATTGCTTTCTGACCCGAACCACAAAATTAACTCCACATTAACTCTTCCATGGGTCTCCAGTCTGTCAGCCTGCCCTGCAAATTTTGGACTTGCTAGTCTCTACAATTACTTGAGAAAGTTCCTTAAAATCAATCTCAATCTTTCTCAATCTCTCTCTCTCTAAACACACACACACACACACACACACACACACACACACATACGTATGTATGTATGTATATGTATATTCACATATTCTATTAATTCTGTTATTCTGGAGAACCCTAACACAGACTTCAGTACTGAGAGTGATTCTAGAGAATAACCTTTTTTTTTTTTTTTTTTTTTTTTTTTTTTAATTGATCATTCTTGGGTGTTTCTCGCAGAGGGGGATTTGGCAGGGTCATAGGACAATAGTGGAGGGAAGGTCAGCAGATAAACAAGTGAACAAAGAAACAAGTGAACAAAGGTCTCTGGTTTTCCTAGGCAGAGGACCCTGCAGCCTTCCGCAGTGTTTGTGTCCCTGGGTACTTGAGATTAGGGAGTGGTGATGACTCTTAACGAGCATGCTGCCTTCAAGCATCTGTTTAACAAAGCACATCTTGCACCGCCCTTAATCCATTTAACCCTGAGTGGACACAGCACATGTTTCAGAGAGCACAGGTTTGGGGGTAAGGTCACAGATCAACAGGATCCCAAGGCAGAAGAATTTTTCTTAGTACAGAACAAAATGAAAAGTCTCCCATGTCTACTTCTTTCCACACAGACACAGCAACCATCCGATTTCTCAATCTTTTCCCCACCTTTCACCCCTTTCTATTCCACAAAACCGCCATTGTCATCATGGCCCGTTCTCAATGAGCTGTTGGGTACACCTCCCAGATGGGGTGGTGGCCGGGCAGAGGGGCTCCTCACTTCCCAGTAGGGGCGGCCGGACAGAGGCGCCCCTCACCTCCCGGACGGGGCAGCTGGCCGGGCGGGGGGCTGACCCCCCCACCTCCCTCCCGGACGGGGCGGCTGACCGGGCGGGGGCTGACCCCCCCACCTCCCTCCCGGATGGGGCGGCTGGCCGGGCTGGGGACTGACCCCCCCACCTCCCTCCCGGACGGGGCGGCTGGCCGGGCAGAGGGGCTCCTCACTTCCCAGTAGGGGCGGCCGGGCAGAGGCGCCCCTCACCTCCCGGACGGGGCGGCTGGCCAGGCGGGGGGCTGACCCCCCCCACTTCCCTCCCGGACGGGGCGGCTGGCCGGGCAGAGGGACTCCTCACTTCCCAGTAGGGGTGGCCGGGCAGAGGCACCACTCACCTCCCGGACGAGGCGGCTGGCCGGGCGGGGGGCTGACACCCCCACCTCCCTCCCAGACGGGGCGGCTGGCCGGGCGGGAGGCTGACCCCCCCACCTCCCTCCCGGATGGGGCGGCCGGCCGGGCGGGGGGGCTGACTCCCCCACCTCCCTCCCGGACGGGGCAGCTGGCCGGGCGGGGGGCTGACCCCCCCACCTCCCTCCCGGATGGGGCGGCTGGCCGGGCAGAGGGGCTCCTCACTTCCCAGTGGGGGCGGCTGGGCAGAGGCACCCCTCACCTCCCGGACGGGGCAGCTGGCCAGGCGGGGGGCTGACCCCCCCACCTCCCTCCCAGATGGGGCGGCTGGCCTGGTGGGGGCTGACCCCCACCTCCCTCCCGGATGGGGTGGCTGCCGGGCGGAGACGCTCCTCACTTCCCAGACGGGGTGGCTGGCTGGGCGGAGGGGCTCCTCACTTCTCAGGCGGGGCGGTTGCCAGGCGGAGGGTCTCCTCACTTCTCAGACTGGGCGGCTGGGCAGAGACGCTCCTCACCTCCCCGACGGGGTCACGGCCCAGCAGAGGCGCTCCTCACATCCCAGACGGGGTGGCGGGGCAGAGGCGCTCCCCACATCTCAGATGATGGGCGGCCAGGCAGAGACTCTCCTCGCTTCCTAGATGGGATGGCGGCCGGGAAGAGGCACTCCTCACTTCCTAGATGGGATGGCGGCCGGGCAGAGACGCTCCTCACTTTCCAGACTGGGCAGCCAGGCAGAGGGGCTCCTCACATCCCAGAGGATAGGTGGCCAGGCAGAGACGCTCCTCACTTCCCAGACGGGGTGGCGGGCAGGCAGAGGCTGCAATCTCGGCTCTTTGGGAGGCCAAGGCAGGCAGCTAGGAGGTGGAGGTTGTAGCAAGCCGAGATCACGCCACTGCACTCCAGCCTGGGCACCATTGAGCATTGAGTGAACGAGACTCCCTCTGCAATCCCGGCACCTCCGGAGGCCGAGGCTGGCGGATCACTCGGGGTTAGGAGCTGGAGACCAGCCCCGCCAACACAGCGAAACCCTGTCTCCACCAAAAAAATACGAAAACCAGTCAGGTGTGGCGGCGCCCGCCTGCAATGGCAGGCACTCGGCAGGCTGAGGCAGGAGAATCAGGCAGGGAGGTTGCAGTGAGCCGAGATGGCAGCAGTACAGTCCAGCTTCGGCTCGGCATCAGGGGGAGACCGTGGAAAGAGAGGGAGAGGGAGACCGTGGAAAGAGGGAGAGGGAGACCGTGGGGAGAGGGAGAGGGAGAGGGAGAGGGAGAGGGAGCGAGAATAATCTTAAGGATGAGTTTTCTAAATTGGTTCTGGGGTTGGTTCTCTAATCTGATTAGATTTAAAGGCCCTAATGACTCACTTTCCAGTAGAAAAGACAGTACTGATAATCTATAGTGTGATGTGGCAGCAGAGATACACAAAATACCACCACTGGATATTCCTAATAAAATACTTTTAAGAGGCAAGGTACCACGTGACCACATACATAATTTCGAACATTTTTGTCAAAATAACAAATATGAGATTGGCTGGCTGATCCTAATTGTGCTGAACAAAGTAGAGAAAGGATGAGCTCAGAGATCTGAATTATCAGTATAAATACTTTATAAACGACCACAAAGTTTCTATGACTGCCCTGAAAAAAAACTCTTACCCCCTATAGCTGCAGAGCTGAGACTGATGAAACCAAATTCAGAATCTCATCCTTTAAGTGGATGAATTACAATGCGAACTGAATTCACAACCTCACAGGGCATCTGCTAATAAAGTGAGGGCATTGGCCAAGAAGAAGTAGGATTCTAAAATTTGGAATGGAGGTTATTTGGGAAGATCCTGATGAAGCTGGCAAAATTGAAACCTTAAATTCTCAGTCTTCTTTGCCAGTAGAAGCAGCCACTCCATCCATATCTGATATTAACTCTATTTGGCCTGAGAAAACTGCAATGGTCTCCTCTGAGGTATCTGCCATGCAAGACACTCCTGATTCACTCCCACTACCCCTCTTTGCTTCTACACCTATAACTAGTTCAAGTCTCAGCAGACTCCTAAAGGTGACGTGTGAAGTATGACCCATGAGGAATTATGCTATACTCCAAAGAACTACATAATTTCTCCAATTTACAGACAAAAACCAAGGAAATATGTATGGGAATAGATATTAAAGGTATAGGATAATAGTGGAAAAAATATAAAGTTGGATCAGGCTAAATTTACCGATAGGAGCTCATTAAGCAGAGGTTCCACACTTAATGTTGCAGCCCATGGGGTAAGAAAGAGCTTTTAACAGTTTGTTTGGATGGTTGGATGAAACATGGACCAAAAGGTGGCCTAAACGACATGAAGTTGAAATGCCAGAACTGCCTTGGTATACTCTAGAAGAAGAGATCCATAGAAAAAGAGGCTTTAGGGACATTGTAATGTTCAAGTATTAACAGATTCATTTAAGGCCTACTCACCAAACCTGCGAGGTTCCAGAAGACACACCTTTCTTTCATCATGACTATGAAAAATAAATTTGTAAGGGCAGCCCCAGCTTCTTTCCTCAATTATGTGATCATTCTTCTCTGTAGGCTAGAACTTTCAGTGGGAACTGCTGCCACTGAATTGGGAAACCTAAATGCGACGGGAGTAGTTGGATCCTAGAATGGCAGGAACCAAGTGGGGGCACTTAATCACCAAAGACAAGGTGGTCATAGTACCATAACTGAAGCAGAGTCAAAGCATTAATCAGAATAGTCTGACTCGTAGAGACCTATGGTGTTGGCTAGTTATCATGATGTTCCTAGAAGTGAAATGGATGGGAAGTCTACTAATTTTTTACTTGATCTGTATATGTGGAAGAATTCTAGGTCAAGTGATAAAAAATTTAATTTGAATTATTAAATTGGAGACTCACGGCTTCTCAATCAATACCCAGACTTGTACCAGTTTACAAAACCAGACCCCTTGAATGAAGGGGAGCCTGGGTCCCCTTGAGGAAGGACACTGCCAAGTATTTATACTGTTAATCTTCCTCCCAGCCTCCTCCAAATGGACCTATGTGGCCTTTTAGCAGGGTGACTGTGCGTTACAGAAAAGGAAATAATCTACTACTGAGCATTAGCTCTGAAATGACCCTAATTCCAGTGAGACCTAAAATGTAACTGTGGTCCACCAGTCAAAGTAGGGCCTTATAAAGGTTAAGTAATCAATGGAGTTTTAGCTCAGGTCTGTCTCATGTAGGCCCAGTGGGTCCTTGCAACCTTCTTGTGGGTTATTTTCCCTGTTCCAGAGTACAAAATTGAAACAGACATGCTCAACAACTGGCAGAATCCCTCATTGGTCTCTTGACCTGTGGAGTGCAGGCTGTTGTGGTGGAAAAGCCAGGTGGAACCCATTAGAATGACCTCTACCTAGGAAAATGGTAACCAAAAGCAATATTGCATATTCCTGGAAGGATTGCAGAGGTTAGTGCCACCATCAGACTTGAAAGATGCAGAGTTGGTGATTACCACCACATCCTCCTTCAAATCTCCTATTCAGCCTGTGTAGAAGAAAGATGGCTCCTGGACAGTGGACTGTCATAAACTTAACTAGATGGTGACTACAATTGTAGCTGCTGTGCCAAATGTGGTTTCATTGCTTGAGCAAATTAACATATCCCCTGGTACCTGTATGCAGCTAGTTTTCTAACAAACGCTCTTTTCTCCATACCTGTCTTTATTAAGGCCCACCATAAGTACACTGTAAGTTGTTTGCTTTCAGCAGGCAAGGCCAGCAATACACTTCACTGTCCTGCTGCAGGGGTATATCAGCTCTCTAGTCCTATGTCATAATTTGCTTCACAAGAATCTTGACCACCTTCACAAGAATCTTGACCACCCTTTTACAAGATATTAGGCAGATCCATTACATTGATGACATTATGCTGATTGGACCTAATGAGCGAGAAGCAACAACTACATTAGACTTACTGGTAAGATAGCTGCATGTCAGAGGATGGGAAATCTGACAAAAACTCAGGGGTCTTCTACCTCAGTGAAGTTTTGAGGGGTGCAGTGGTATGGAGAGATACCCCTTCTAAGGTGAAGGATAAGTTGTTGCATCTGGCCCCTCCTACAACCCAGAAAGAAGCACAACATCTAGCAAGCCTCTGAATTTTGGAGGCAACACAGTCTTCATTTGGCTGTGTTACTCTGGCCCATTTACCAAGTGACCCAAAAACCTGACAGTTTTGAGTAGGTCCCAGAACAGAAGGTTCAGGCTGCAACTCAAGCTGCTTTCCACTTGGGTCATATGATCCAGCATATCCAATGGTGCTTGAAGTGTCAATGGCAGACAGGGATGCCATTTGGAGTCACTGGCAAGCTCCCATATGTGAACTGCAGCACATGCCTTCAGCATATTGAAGCAAAGCCCAGCTGCTGTTCACAGATAACTATACCCCTTTTGGGAAACAGTTCTTGGTTTGCTATTAGGTCTTAGTATAGACTGAACACTTAATCATGGGCCACTAAGTAACCATGAGACCTGAGCTACCCATCATGAACTGGGTATTATTTGACCTACCAAGCCATAAAGTTGTGCATATGCAGTAGGACTCCATCACCAAATTAAAGCGGTATATATGAGATCAGGCTCAAGTAGGCCTTGGATGAACAAGTAAGGAACATGGCCACAGTCCCCATTCCTGCTATACTACTTTTTTTTTTTTTTTTTGGCTCACTCTGTCACCCAAGCTGGAGTGCAGTGGCGCAGTCTCGGCTCACTGCAACTTCCACCTCCCGGGTTCAAGCAATTCTTGTGCCTCAGCCTCCTGAGTAGCTCGGACTACAGGCGCATGGCACACACCACCACGCCTGACTAATTATTGTATTTTTAGTAGAGATGGGGTTTTGCCATGTTGGCCAGGCTGGTCTTGAATTTCTGACCTCAAGTGATTTGCCCACCTCAGCCTCCCAAAGAGCTGGGATTACAGGCATGAGCCACCATGTCCGGCCTATACTACCCTCTCTTTTTTAGCCTGCAACTATGGCCTTATGGGGAGTTTCCCACAATCAGCTGACAGAGAAAGAAAACTCAGGACTGGTTTACAGATAGTTCTGCATGATACGCAGGTGCCATCTGGAAGTGGACAACTGCAATACTACAGCAGCCCTGTAAGAAAGTGGTAACTTTCTTTACAGAAAGAAAGTTATGGGACAGCCCTGAAAGAAAGTGGTAAAGGGAAATCCTCCCAATGGGCAGAACTTTGACCACCTGGTTGTTCACTTTACTAGGAAGAAGAAATGGTTAGATGTACAATTAGTTATCAATTCATGAGCTATGGCCACTGGTTTGCTGGATGGTCAGGGACTTGGAAGGAACATGACTGGAAAATTGGTGACAAAACGGTCTGTGGAAGAGGTATATACACAGATCTTTCTGAATGGGTGAAAAATGTGAGGATATTTGTGTCTCATATGAATGCCACCAAAGAATGACTTCAGCAGAAGAGGATTTTAATAACCAAGTAGATAGGATGACCTGTTCAGCCCCTTTCTCCAACCATGCAGGTAACTGCCCAATGAGCTCATGAATAAAGTGGCCATGGTGGCAGGGTTGTTATATATGGGCTCAGCATCATGGACTTCCACTCACCGAGGCTGATCTGACTACAGCCATGACTGAGTGTTCAATCTGTTAGCAACAGAGACCAACACTGAGTCCCTGATATGGCACTATCCCCCAGGGTGATCAGCTAAGTACCTGGTGGCAGGTTGATTACACTCATCTGCTTCCATCATGGAAGGGACATGATTACTGAATTACACATTCTGGATATGGATTTGCCTTCCCTGCATCCATTTCTTCTGCCAAAACTACCATACATGGATTTACAGAATGCCTCATCCACCATCACAGTATTGTACACAGCATTGCTTCTGATCAAGGAACTCACTTCACAGCAAATAAAGTGAGGCAATGGGCTCATCCTCATGAAATTCACTGGTCTTACCATGTTCCCCACCATCCTAAAGCAGCTGGCTTGACAGAATGGCAGAATGGCCTTTTGTTTTGTTTTAATTAGAGATGCATCTCACTATGTTCCTAGGCTGGATTTCAACGAGGCTAGGCAACCCTCTTGCCTTACCCTCCCACAAGGAGGTAGAACTACAAGCATGAGTCATCATACCTGGTTAGAATGGCCTTTTGAAGACCCATTTACAGTGCCAACTATGTTAGATAGTTGCAATACTTTGCAGAGCTAGGCAAGGTTCTCTAGGAGGCTGTATGTGCTCTGAGTCAGCGTCCAATAAATGGTGCTTTTAATTTTATAGTGAGGATTCATGGGGTGGAAACTGGAGTGCCACCACTCACTCCAGTGACCCACTAGCAAAATTTTTGTTTCTTGCCCCTGTGACCTTATGCTCTGCTGGCCTAGAGGTCTCAGTTCCAAAGGCAGAAATGTGTCTACCAGGAAACATAGTGATTCCACTGAACTGGAAGTTAAGACTGCCAACCAGCCACCTTGGGTCCCTCAAGCCTCTGAATCAACAGGCAAAGAAGGAAGTTACTATGCTGACTGGACTGACTGATCCTGACTACTATGGGGAAACTGGATTGCTCCTCCAAAATAGATATAAGGAAGAAGAGTATTTCTGGAATATAGGAGAGCTCTTAGGATGTCTCTTAGTAATACCATGCTCTGTGATTAAACTCAATGGAAAACGACAATGCCCAATTCAGGAAGGTCCACTAATGGTCTTTGGGTCACCCCACCAGAGAATATACAACAAGCTGAGGTGAGTGCTGTGGGCAAAGGTAATCTGGAACTGAATAAGGCAGTTATAAAGACCAGTTAAAAATCACGTGACCAGTTATACAAATGAGAATTGCAATTGTCATGAGTACTTCATCTTGATTTTGTTATGAATATGTATATATGTATATAAAGTAAATGTCTGTTTTTTCCCTTTTAATCCCTTATCATGAACATATCATATGATATATCATAATATTTAAGTATTGTTAACTTTACATTATAATGTAAAAGAAGAGTAAACAGTCAATAACTTTACATCCTCTTCTGGGAAAATGATTATTGCATTTTTGGTTGTACGCAGGATTACTGTATCATGTTAAATGGAAGTATGACCTTGTTATTGTTTTTATTTGAAGATTAGGTATGGTTTCAGTAGATGTGTATGAGTGCCAAGTTGACAAGGGGTATGACTGTAATATTTAGTTTTATGTGTTAACTTGACTAGGCCACAGTATCCTGACATTTAGTCAAACAGCAGTCCAGATATCACTGTGAAGGTAGTTTTCAGATGAGATTAACATTTAAACCAGGAGACTCTGGGTAAAGATTACCCTCTATAATATAAGTGAGTCTTATTTAATCAGTTGGAGGCCTTAAAATAAATACCCCTCTCTCTGCGTGTGTGTGTCTCTTCCTGTCTTTCTATGCACGCGCACATACACACACACATGATTAGTTAGTTCTGCTTCCCTGGAGAACCCTAAGATACACACATAGAAGAAAATAACTAGGTGCGGTTTTTGTATTGTTGCAATTTGCCATTTGATTTTGGAATACATTCTTAAGTAAATGTGGTTATGTTAGACATCATTTTAATGTCCATTTCTCGCTTTATGTTTTTTTGCTAATGACTTATTACTTGCTGTTTATTTTATATTTATTTTAGAATATGGAAATGATGTTAGACAAAAAGCAAATTTGAGCGATTTTCTTATTCGAGTTCAAAATGGGTCGTAAAGCAGTGGAGACAACTCACAACATCAACAACGCATTTGGCTCAGGAACTGCTAACGAACGTATGGTGCAGTGGTGTTTCAAGATGTTTTGCAAAGGAGACACAAGACTTCAAGATGAAGAGCATAGTGGCTAGCCATCAGAAGCTGACAATGATCAATTGAGAGCAATCATCAAAGCTGATCCTCTTACAACTACATGAGAAGTTGCCAAAGAAATCAACGTCGACCATTCTACAGTTGTTCAGCATTTGAAGCAAATTGGAAAGGTGAAAAAGCTCAAAAGGTTTGCTCACGAGCTGAGCAAAAAAAAAAAAAAAAAATCATTTTGAAGTGTTGTCTTCTCTTATCCTATGCAACAACAAATGATCTCTCAATTGGATTGGGATGTGCACCAAAAAGTGGATTTTATATGACAACTGGTGACAACTGGCTCAGAGGATGGACTAAGAAGAACTCTAAAGTACTTCCCAAAGCCAAACTTGCACAAAAAAAGTCATAGTCACTGTTTGTTGGTCTGCTGCTGGTCTGATCCACTACAGCTTTCTGAATCCCGGGGGAACCATTACATATGATAAATATGCTCAGCAAATCAACGAGACGCACCAAAAACTGCAACGCCTGCAGCCAGCACTGGTCACAGAAAGGGCCCAATTCTCCATGACAACACCCGACCGCACATTGCACAACCAACACTTCAAAAGTAGAAGAAATTGGGCTATGAAGTTTTGCCTCATCCACCATATTCACCTTACCTCTTGCCAACCAACTACCACTTCAAGCATCTCGACAACCTTTTGCAGGGAAAACACTTCCACAGCCAGCAGGATGCAGAAAATTCTTTCCAAGAGTTTGTTGAATCCCAAAGCACGGATTTTTGTGCTACAGGAATAAACAAATTTGTTTCTTGTTGACAAAAATGTGTTGACTGTAATGGTTCCTATTTTCATTCCAAAAGATGTGTTTGAGCCTAGTCATAATGATTTAAAATTCATGGTTCAAAATCACAATGATTTTTTTTTTTTTGAGATGGAGTCTTGCTCTTTTGCCCAGGCCAGACTGCAGTGGCGCTATCTGGGCTCACTGCAAGCTCCGCCTCCTGGGTTCACGCCATTCTCCTGCCTCAGCCTCCCGAGTAGCTGGGACTACAGGCGCCCGCCACTGCGCCCAGCTAATTTTTTGTATTTTTTAGTAGAGACGGGGTTTCACCGTATTAGCCAGGATGGTCTCGATCTCCTGACCTTGTGATCCGCCCGCCACGGCCTCCCAAAGTTGCTGGGATTACAGGCGTGAGCCACCGCGCCCGGCAAAATCACAATTATTTTTGCACCAGTCTTAGCTGAAATGGATATTTAGGGAAGTACACTAACCATTTTACCTTAAAACTTCTAAGTACATTTTTAATAAAATAAAGAATATACTTTTCTTAACTAAGCTTAAAGTATCTTGAAGAATATTAATCTATCTTTGGAAATCTTTATATACGCATTTAGAAAATAATAAGATGATTAATCAAAAGTGATTTTTTTTTTCCAAGATGGTAGACTGAAGGCTTTGTTAGCAGACCTCACCTGCTTGGAAACAGCAGAGTGGTGTGTAGAGATTCACAGTGTAAATTTTTATCCAAGAAGGAACACAGGAACTCAACAGAAAAACTGAAAGAAGCTTCAGACACTTTGAAAGAAGTGGTGGGCAGCAACCTACACCATGAGCCAGGCAGACCACTGTGAGTCTCCAGAGCATGAAAGGGGGAGACAATGTCTCCTTGATACACATTCCCACTGAGAAGCTGAGCAAGCCAGGCCACAGGGGAGCACCTTAACCCTACCCAGCACTGCAGTTGATTTGGTGAGCAGTGGGAAGTATATGAAAAAGAGCGGTATTGAGAAGTACTTTGCATGTACCCTGAAACCCCAGTGGGGACAGAAGGAAACCATTCCTGATAAGAGGAACCTCACAGCTAACTCAGGCAGTGGTCACAGGATGGGAGAAGCTCCCAACTGAGATCTGCAGTCTAATCTCTCGAGTGAGGACAAACTCCCTTGGCCAGAACTGAGGGGCAAGTGGGAAGTACGCTCTTGCCACAGGAGCAGCAGCCAAGTGCCCCAGCTTCGTGAACAAACAGGGAGAGGTGAGGCCTGAAAGGCATAGTTTCTGTCTCAGGCAGCAGGAAGGCTTATGGCCTGGGGCGGTTTTGCATTCTTAACAAAGACTGCCTGGGATCCAGCTAGCTGCTGCTAGCAGAAGACTGTGGATGTGATACCTACCTTGTCAAAGCTGTGGGAGTTGGGTGGGTCTCACTGACACCTGCTACTCCTTCTCCCAATGTGGATTCTTTTGTGCAGCAGAGTCAGTTGTGCTTCTCCCTGGAACATTACCCTAGTGGCCAGGGAACTGCCCTCCAAGCCCCACTGGGACCACTGCTTGTGCTTACACATGGGGAGCCAGAGTGCAAATCTGTTTGACCCAGCCCAAACCCGGTTTGCCCCTCCACCTGCCCTGGTAGCATAACACAACAGACAGGGACTTTTGGGAGTTCCATGGCCTTGCCCATCGCCTGAGACACAAGTTCTTCCCCTGAGTATCATAAGCCAGGCACAAATCCCATGGCCACCATCACAACTGGCTGTCTCCTACAAACGCCACCTCCTGGCTAGAGGGCAACTGGTGCAGCCCATTACAACATCTGCTGACACAATAACACACCACTTGAGAAGGAGAAAACTTCTGCGTGATCTCAGCTAACATCATTTACCCACACCATCCCAGCTAATCGGGAGGTCTTGAGCCTACTCATGTGCCTAGTACATTACTACTATAGCTGGGATTTGAGAAAGCCATCACACTAAGGCTATTTTTAGCCAGGGAAATCTTTCAGAGTCTATGTCACTCTCCTGCTACCCTTATCATAGCTTGTGCTTACACCTGCTGGGAGACCAGAGGGCAGGACAGCTTGGTCCAGATCCACTCAACATTGTCCCCCTCTGAAGCTCAGAGCAGAGCCTAAGACACTGCACATCCTGCAGACCTGTCCCACAGCCTTTGGCATCAGAGAGCTTCTCCACTTGGCTGATAAGAAGCATCAGTGACCAATTCTCCTCAGAGGGAAGAACCAAAATTACAGGTGAATAATCATAGCCCAAATGGAATGTTAAGCGGAGAGTGCTGGAGCTTATCAGAGAGTTCAGTGGAAGAATCTGTGACACACCAAAAAAGAAAAAAGAAAGTAACAAGAAGCTGGCAGAGATCAAACCCTCAGAGACTTAATAATCTGCGGACAGAGGAGGTGGGAGTGCTCTTGGCCTCTCTGGCCCTTGCAGCAGACTGCTGGTATCCAAGCTCAAAGACGACTTCTTTGCACTCACGAGCACAAGTACCAGAGTGGGCTGCGATTTAGGGACTCCTCAAGGGCATTACCTTGCTCGCACAAGGTCCCTTCACAAGTTCCCCCTGGACCTGAGCTATAGCAGTGGGTGCCATGCTGGATGTGCACCCATTGTGAGACTTTGTTTTGCTCAGGGACCTTCAATCCTTGTGTCTTCACATCACTGGATGCCTTGCACATATTCCCCCAGCACCAGCTTAGAGTGTGGAAGCCCCACAAGGCGGCTAGACCAGATGCGCAGCAGGATTTGCAGTAGTCTGGCCCTGAGGGACTGCCACACCTATGGGAACAGGGAGTGCACCACATCAAGGGAGCACCCTGTGGGACAAAAGAAACCAGACTGCAGGCCTTGAGTCCCAGAAGTTTCCACTTGTGGGAAGTTTCCTTCAGCAGAGACACAGGTGCAAGGCCATGCTCAGTGGTGAAAAACTGCAGTTCTACCCCAGCAGTCAGGCAGCTCCAGTGCTCATGAAGGGACCCAGAGAAGGAAACTTCTCTCCCTTGCCCACCACTTGCAGATACAGCTGGGGCTTCTCTTCCAGGAACTCAGCATGAGTGTGCCTATAGACAGTCTTTCTGGAGCACTTCAGGGTGACTACATCTCCACAGGAGGAGTGCCCTCTGGGTTCAGGCTTGCACAAGAAGTAAAGTCACAACCCCTCTTTACATGGAATGTCAGCATTCCTGCAGATGGACAGAGGTGCTTGTCTGATCTGAATATCCAGAACACTGGGACAAAAGCATGATGGGGAAGCAGATGGCTTTCCTGCTGGCCTGGGAGAGGAGCTGAGGTGGCTCCCTTCTGTCCCCCTGTAAAGACCTCAGTACATTTCACTGAGAGCTCCCCCAGCCAGCTCAGTCAAGGCTGGGCCTTCTGCCCACAAATGGGGTACTGCATATACCCACCTACTTCAGCTGCAGCTGGTTTTTACCTGTGGGTGCCTGTACTAGCATGAAGGCTGAACTATTCAATGGCAGAGGTCTCATGAAGCTTATCTCATTCCCCAGTGGTATGCACTTTGTTATTTTTTTCCCCAGTATATTTTTCACAAAAATAACAAAATATACACCACGGGGAAATGAGATATGCTTCATGAGACCTCTGCCATTCTGGCCCATGGGAGACAGTGAGCCTTCTCACACACCCAGCACACTGCTACTACAACCAGCAGCTAAGAAAGCCACTGCACAAAGATTCTCTACAACCAAAGAGCTCATACACAGTCTTTGCCACTGAAAGCACCCAGAGCCAAAGCTAGGTGACCATACACTACACACATTAAAGTCACATACTCAAGGGGAGAAAAACATTTAAAAACCCAGTAAAATCAGAAATAAATTCAAAAATAATAAGACGAAATTGTCCACCCAGATGAGAAGGAACCAGAAAAATGATTCTGGCAACATGCAAAAACAGAGTTCTACAACACCCCCAAAAAGATCACACTAACTCTCCAGTGATGGATCCAAATCAAAATGAAATCTTTGAAATATCAGATAAAGAATTCAAAATGTTAATTATTAGGTTGCTAAATGATATCCAAGAGAAAGTTAGAAACCAACATAAAGAAATAACTGGACCAAGTAGAAGAAGAATTTCAGAGCTTGAAGACAAGGCTTTCAAATTAACACAATCAGATAAAAATTTTAAAAAAGGAATTAAAAGAAATGAACAAAGTCTCCAGTAAATATGGGTTTAGGTATAAAACATCCAAATCTAAGAATCACAGGTGTTCCTGAGGGAGAAGAAAAAGCAAAAAGCTTGGAAAACCCATTTGAGGAAATATTTGAGGAAAACTTTCCTGGTCTTGCTAGAAATTTAGACATCCAAATACAAGAAGCTCAAAGAACTCCTAGGAGATTCATTATAAAAAAAGACATTACCAAGTCATCAGGCTATCTAAAGTCAACATGAAGGAAAGAATTCTAAGAAGAGTGAGACAAAAGCATTGGATAACTTACAAAGGAAAACCTATCAGACTAATAGCAGACTTCTCAGCAGAAACCTTACAAGCCAAAAGGGATTGAGTCCTATCTTTAGTCTCCTCAAACGGAATAACTGTCAGCCAAGAATTCTGTATCTATCAAAACTAAATTGCATATGTGAAAGAGAAATGAAGTCTCTCCCAGACAAGCAAATGCTGATGGAATTTGTCTCCACCAGACCAGACCTATAAGAAATGCAAAAGGAGTTCTAAATATCTAAATGAAAGGTCATATGCACCAGTATAAAAACACTTGAAGGCAAAAAATTCACAGGACTTATAAAACTGTAACACATTGAAGAAAACCAAGCAACTAGGTAGCAGCATGATGACTGCAACAGTACATCACATGTCAATATTAACATTGAATGTAAATGGTCTAAATGTGCCACTTAAAAGATAATAGATGGACAGAATGGAAAAAAACACAAACCAAATATCTGCTGTCTTCAAGAGACCCAGTTAACTTGTAAAGATTCTTATAGACTTAAGGCAGATGGGTAGGAAGAATATTCCATGTTAATGGAAACCAAAAGTGAGTGGGAATAACTATTCTTAGATAAAACAGACTTTAAATCAACAACAGTAAAAAAGACAAAAAATGTCATTATATAATGATAAAGAAATCAATTCAACAAGAAGATATAACAACCCAAAATTTATGCACACCTAACTCCAGAGCTCCCAGATTCATAAAAACAGAAACTACTAGACCTAAGAAAAAGAGATAGAAAGCAATACAATTATAGTGGAGGACTACAACACGCCATGGACAGCACTGGATAGATCATTGTGGCGGAAAGTCAACAAACACTGGACTTAAACTGGACTCTAGAAAAAGTGGATTTAACAGACATTTACAGAACATTCTACCCAAAAACTGCAGAATATACATTCTTGTTGTCAGCACGTGGAACTTTTTCAAGATAGACTATATATCAGGCCACAAAAGAAGTCTTAATAAATTTTAAAAAATCAAAATCATATCAAGTATCAAATCAGCCCAAAGCAGAATAAAACCAGAAATCAATTCCAAGAGGAATTCTCAAAACCATACAAATATATGGAAATTAAATAGTCTATTCTTCAATGATCTTTGGGTCAAAAATAAAATCAAGATGGAAAAATTTTTTGAAATGAATTAAAATACTGACACAAGTTATCAAAATCTCTGGGATATAGCAAAAGCAGTGCTAAGATCAAAGTTTATTGCACTAAATGCCTACATCAAAAGGACAAAAAGATCACAAATTTACAACCTAACATCACACCTCAAGGAACTGGAGAAACAAGAACAAGCCAAACCCAAAGCTAGCAGAAGAAAAGAAATAAGAAATAACAAAGATTAGAGTAGAACTCAAGAAAATTGAAAATAAATTAAAAAAATACAATGGTCAATGAAACAAAAAGTTGGTTCTTTGAAAAGATAAACTAAATTAATAAACCACTAGCTAGATAAAGCAAGAAAAGAAGATTCCAATAAGCTCTATCAGAAATGAAAATGGAAACATCATACTGATAAACACAGAAATACAAAGGATGACTGAGACTACTATGAACACTTCTATGCACTCAAAGTACAAAATCTAAAGGAAATGGATAAATTCTTGGAAATATACAACCACACAAGCTTCAATCAGGAAAAGAAATAGAAATCCTGAACAGAGCACTAACAATTAGTGAGACGTAATCAGTAATAAAAAAAAAAAAAAACCCAGCCGGGCACGGTGGCTCAAGCCTGTAATCCCAGCACTTTGGGAGGCCGAGGCAGGCGGATCATGAGGTCAGGAGATTGAGACCATCCTGGCTAACATGGTGAAACCCCGTCTCTACTAAAAATACAAAAAATTAGCTGGGTGTGGTGGCGGGCACCTGTGGTCCCAGCTACTCGGGAGGCTGAGGCAGGAGAATGGCGTGAACCTGGGAGGCAGAGCTTGCAGTGAGACGAGACCACGCCACTGCACTCCAGCCTGGGTGAAAGAGCGAGACTCCGTCTCAAAAAAAAAAAAGAAACAAAAACTCAAAATTTCCCAACCAAAAAAAAAAACCCCAGGACCAGATAGATTCATAGCCAAGTTCTATGAGACAGTCAAAGAACTGATGCCAATCCAACTGAAACTGTCCCAAAAGATTGAGAATGAGGGAATCCTCCTTAACTCATTCTACAAAGCCAGTGTCATCCTAATACCAAAGCCACGAAAGGACATAAAAAAAGAAAGCTACAAATCAATATACTCAATGAACATAAATGCAAAAATCTTCAACTAAATATTAGCAAACCTAATCTACCAGCACATCAAAGAGATCATTCACCAAGATCAAGTGGGCTTCATCCCAGGGATGCAAGTATGGTTCAATATACACAAGTCAATAAATGTGATTTGCTATATAAACAGAATTAGAAACAAAAACCATATGATCATCTTAATAGATGCAGAAAAAGCATTCAATAAAACCCAGCATCCCTTTATGATAAAAAAACCTCCAACAAACTAGGCACAGAAGAAACATACCTCAAAATAGTAAGAGCCCTTTATGAGAAACCCACAGCCAACATCAAAATGAATGGAGATAAGTTTAAAGCATTCCCCTAAGAACTGGAAAAAGACAATTATATCCACTTTCAACACGTCTATTCAACATAGTACTAGAAGTCCTAGCCAGAGTAATTAGGCATGAGAAAGAAATAAAGGGGATCCAAACTGAAAAAAGGAAGTCAAACTATCTCTTGTTTATAACTCTGGAATGGAAAACCCAATACTGCACATTCTCGCTTGTAAGTAGGAGCTAAGCTATGGGTACATAAAAGCATACAGAGTGGTATAATGGACACTGGAGACACAGAAACGGGGAGGTTGTGGGGGGTGAGGGAAGAAAAATTACCTATTGGGTATAATGTACACTATTTAAGTGATGAATGCACTAAAAGCCCAGACGTGACCATAGTACAATTCATCCATGTAATCAAAAACCACATATAACCATAAAGTTACTGAAATAATAAAATAAATTAAAATACTAAAAAAAAACCCCACAAAATTACAAGTGAATAAAACACTTCTAAATGTTTAAAGGAGCTCATTTATTGGAATGCTGTAAGTTTTTCTACTGCAATTTTGGATAGGAAATAAAGTGATTTTTAAAGGAAACGAGAATAAAACAGCAAGAGCAATAACAAGGCCCTCACAAACTCAAGACCCAAGCTGCGTACATGATTTTCTGCTGAAGTAAAACCATATTAATTATTAGGTATTAAACAGTAATTAATACTTCATGACAGAAGTTGAGGGAGAAAGAGCTAAAAAGACTACTAAATAATCAAAAGCAGTTTTCTGAGTCAAATATGGAACCCTTCAAATGGTTTTTGAAAGCCTATAAGCTAACCTATAAATACCAAAACACTAGAAAACAGTGGAGGCAATCCTGTAACTAGTCATATAAAAAAGTATTCCTTACCACAGCAATTACCAAAAAATCCTTTCATTAAAGGATTTCCTTAGATTCTTATACTCCAACTCAAAGAGAAACTGTATTCCTCTATATGACCAGCATATCCTAAAACTGCTTTCCTTAGTTTTATACCCTTAGAAATAGAGGAGGATCTTCTCTTTTAGCATAGACCTTAAAATCCAATCCTCTTATTTTATACTGAGCAAACTAGACAGACTATATTGCAGCTAGACTATATGACTTGCCAATCCTGGAGTCTCACAGCTAAGCAGGAGTTTACCCATTTTACTACGTCTTTCTATAATGGGCCTCGGAGCCTTCTCAGGGCTATTTTGGTTTGTGGATAGCTATCTATATTTGTTTTTTTGTAGGGGAATGAAGACTGGTTATCTCCTACTCCACTATCTTGGTGACATCACCGCTACTGTGCCTTCTCTGGTTTAAATTTGTGTGTACTAACTCCCATGTCAGAAAAGAGAAATCTAGTAAATCAGTGAAATTATGAGGGACCTGGCATAGTGCCTAACACACTGTGGTTAGCACTTGAACTGGTGCATACCAGTTTCCTAAGTCAATCTAATGAAAGCAGCAACCTCTCTTCATCTCACTCCTAGTGGGTCTTAACCTTGACACTATCTCCCTGCTTTGAAGGACAATAAAACTGGGGCAGCAAATATATTTTAAAAATAAATAAATGCTGCTTAGTGAGATCACTTGGACAGAATCCTTGCCTAATTCTGAAAATTATTTACTAATAAATCTTTCCCTTATTGAAAATGTGTTTAAAAGAGTGTTTAGTTAAAGTAAATGACAAAACTTTACTTTCAAAACTTCTGCTGACTTTTTATTCCTGAAAAAATGGTACAAATTTACCTATACCTCTACAAAATAAGTTTGCAAAGCATGTCGAGCATTTGGTGCAGCACTTCTTCTGTTTCTTACCAGGTCCCGTTGATCCTCCTGTACCAGATCCATTTTGTGTACCAAGCAAAATATTTTGGCATCTGGAGAATTCTGCAGAATGGCCTCCAGGCATGATTGGTAATAGTGCATGTCCTTTTCCAGTTCGCGGCTCTCCACATCAAAGACATAAATCAGAACCTCCACATTTCGGAAGATGTTGTCCCGTTGGCTAGTGAAATAATTTTCCATGAAGGTGTCTTGCCTGATAGAAAAAATATATATATAGTAAGCAAATCCTCAATTCAATCACTCCTACTTATAGCCTATTTTTGTTGGCTTGATCAATGTGAAAGATAATCTTAAGGCTTCAATTTAAAGGGCAAATCATAACAAATAAGTCTGGCCTTACCTTCTCACCTCTTGAGCCACAACTTGAGCCAACAAAAGAAGTTTGCAGAGCGTGTCAATCATTTGGTGCAGCCCCTTTTCTGTTTCTTACCCGGTCTCATTGATTCTCCTGTACCAGATCCATTTCTCTGCCCCTCTCCTTATGTTCTAAACACACTGACTTTTTCTCAATTCCTCAAGTGGCACATGGTTTATCCACTATGTGGCCTTTACACATGCTGTTCACTCTGTCTCAGATGCTACCCCCCACCTCCTCATCTAGTTAACTCCTGCTTGTCTCTTTAGATTTCAGTTCAATCCATATTTCCTCACAGAAACTACCCATGGCCTCCTGACAGGTCAATCCACTAAGCATAGGCTCTTATATCAATACATTCCTCTTACTTCTAACATTTACCACAAGTTATTACACTTGTTTGTGAGTTTTTCATTAACACCATTCACTTCCCTAGACAGCAAGTTCCATGTCTGTTACTATCCTTCATTGTTTCCCAGCTTCTAATGGAGTGTTAAGTACTCAATGAAAATTTGCTGAATGAATAACTCAATAGTCAAATATTCTAAACTACATTAAAATGACTCCAATGGTAACTTTTTAACAGAATGTTGCTCTTTGCTCGTTAGGCTAAGTGCTGCTTTCCAGGAAGTTCTCAATTACCACTTGGCCAGCAGAAAACAGTAGCATCCGGTAGTAGGAGAAAAAAATCAGGAACCTAGGTTCTAGTCCTGCACTTTGCTATTAATTAGCTGTGTGAACTCAGCAGAATGATAATCTCCCTGGACCTCAGTTGCCTTATCTCTAAAAATGAAGATCATCACATCTTAGTGCCTAAAAGCAAGGGACTTGGGACTAATGTCTTAACACAGATTAGAAAATTAGAACCAATGATAATGAGGAAGGATTTGTATGGAGATATGTGCTAGGATGTTAAGTGATCCATCTGCTAGCAGGAATGGAGTCATTTTCTTAAAGAGTATTTAGCTATTGCATTATTCTTTCAACAAATATTCACTGAGCACCCACTCTATGGCTGGCTCTATGCTAAGAGCGAGATACACTGAGCTAACAATATCTATGTATTTTGTGAGGCACTCTGCTATGCAACTTTGTATAAATTATCTTACTTAATCATCAAAACAACCCTATGAGCTGGTACCATTGCCTTCACTACTGTACAGATGAAGAAACTGTGGCTCAGAGAGTTTAAATGATTTACCCAAGATAACACAGCTAACAGAGCTGAGGTACAAACCCCAATCTGACTCCAAAACCTATGCTCCTATCCACTGTGCAGTGCACACTGTTCCTTCAGCACAGAGATGCACCATAGCCAGCATACATCCACAGTGTGTGTACATTTGTGATGGAATATGTGGTGAATATTTTGCTCATAAGAGGAAGAGCTAACTCCTACTCTTCCAAAAAGTAGGTAACTTAGCTAGAGAATGTGTGCTCAGTGTCTGATCTACAGTATTGAGACTGCCTGGAGAAAATTATTGACGTATTATAACTAAGAACAAAGTAGTATGGTGTGACAGCTAAGAGCTCAGCACTGGTGTCAGGCTGCCTGAGACAGAAACCTAATTTATTCCTCCACGAAAGGGGATAATCTATCCCAAACTACAGATACCTAGATGGAGCTTGGATTAGCGCTATTTAAACATGTCACATACAGAGGGCATTTTCACAATTCCATAAAAGTCAGAGATGTTTATTGACTCAAGTGTCAATTTTAAAGTAATTCTATCCAATCTATTACAAATGATAGTTACTCTAGGTGTATTCGCCATGCTGATATACTAGATGCCACGATTACTGACATCGGCTTCACAAACAAGTAAGCAGATGGTACTTACCCACCACAATCCCACAGGTTCAATACCAGGTTTCCCAGAAATCGAACATGAGAATGTTCTACATCAACTGGAAGACAAATATGACAAATCTAGTAATTATAACAGGTGAAGTGAAATTCAAAATAAGCAAAGCACTAACCCATGAAATTTAGAAGGACCAAAGTGGAGTGAAATGCTCAAAGCCACAACAAGAAGGTGATTTTCAGCTGAGTAGTGTGGTTTAGTGGCAAGGTAGGCACCTAAACTACCCTGGGCTATAGAACTGGCTCTCATGTTAAGTCATTTCACTTTTTAGTAGTTTAATACTTAGAGCAGAAACAATCTCCAACTATAATACTGTTAAAATTTCAACATGTAATAGATATATACCATATAATCAGTCTTCCCTGTCCCACTTGCCCCCACCAACCTCACATACACACAAAAATTAAAAAAAAAAGTAACAAAAAACAAACATAAAACAATAACCAAATGAACTCCTGCTATTGATTTCCTTTCCAGTTAATGACCCTAACTTTTTCCCACTTTTGACTCCTCTATCCACATTCAATACATTGCTAATCCTTTGTAATCTCTCTCAAATCCATTCCTTATTTTATAACCTACCACAAACATTAAGGAAGCCCCTTATCATCTCATGTCTACACTACTACAATAGCTCCATAACTCACCTCCCCACCAAAAAGCCTTACTCAATTTTACTTCATCCGACAGGCTACTGCCAGGCTCATCTTCTTAACACTACTTTGAACATGTCACTCCCCATTCAAAACACTTTCAATGGCTCCTCCATGCCTATGGGGAGGCATTCAAGGTCCTTCACAATTTGGCTTCCAATCTACCTATACATTCCCCAATGATCCACATTAATAAAGCCTTTCACTCCAGCCCAATTTGGTTTATTCACAGTCCTCCCAAACCCCACTGCCTCCCCAACCCCCAAAATACTTTACACCAGGGGTCGCAAACTTGCTAACAGGGGCCAGGCCAGTAACCGTACATGAGCAAAGTTGGCCACATATGGAGTGTAAACATCTACCCAATGAGATAGTAGAGTGAGCAGCAGTTACTCAGCTCTGGTTCATTTGCCATGCAGGAATGGGGACTCTGGGTTACCAGATCTTTAAGTTTTTCAGCAGTAGTGGGAAATCCATATTTTTATGAAAACTTTTACATGCTGATAACTAATTCCCATTTTTAGAAAACATCACATGGGCCAAACAAAACACATCTACAGGCCTTATCCAGGATATAGGCTGCCTGTTTGCGACCTCTGAGTTACACTTCCCTCCCCTCTATTCTTCACCTACTCTGTTCATCTGCCTGGAAATCCCTCCCCATCTTTCTTTCAAAATATATTCATCTTTTAAGAGCCAGCCTAAATCCCACCTCCTCTAAAAGCCCTGCCTAGCTACCCCTACTTACCATCATCTCTCCCTCTGAATTCATTCAAACACTCATTAAGCATCTACTCTCTGCCAGGCACTAAAAACCCCAAGGAGTAATAATGAAAGATTTTATCCTGAAAATTTATCAAAGTCTAGGAATTATCATCTATACAATTTGTGATAATCAATCACACAGTGATATCTCTCCTATGACTATCTCAAAGCTGTTGCTTAAATTGACTGCTATCTAACTTTTGTGCAATTTTATCTTCTTATAAACTACATCACAAGCAGCAGAGCATTATTTTAAAAAGCACAGGCTTTGGAATCGAACAAATCTTCATTCAAATATCAGCTCTACCTCTCTATGTGACCTTGGGCAAGTCACTTAAGCTCTGGGTATTAGTTTCCGCTTCTATTAAAAAAGAAAGCGGGGGGGCGGGGCATAGCACTGACCTCACAGGATTACTATGAGGATTCAATGAATTATCATACATAAAGTGCCTGGCACATAGTAGGTGCTCAAACTACTTCCCTTCTCCCCTTTACTTCCCCCTCCTTGGAAAAGGAATCATATCTTACATGTCTTTGTATTTCCAACAGAGTCTACGAGAGAGTAGGTGCTCAAACTGCTATTAATTTGAAGACTATGTATACGGTCTAGTACTAAAAAAAAATGGAAAGAAGTGCTACTGAGAAAGGGAAAGACAATAACAAAAGAAGTGACAGGAGTCAGTGACTGTTTAGACATGGGGCACATGGGATAGAAATCAGGTTTCTACTCCCATATCATAGAAATTATTCTCATCAAGTGACCAATGGCCCCATAACCAAATCCAGTGGACTTTTTAGTCCTTGTCTTACTTTCTGCAGCATGACACTGTTGACTACTCTCTTCTCAAAAAATTCTCTTCTCTTGGTCTCTGATATCATACCTACAACTTCTCTGGCAGATCCTCCCTTACAATTCCTATTCTTCTTTCTGTCCCTTAAATGTTGGAGCTCTTCAGGACTCCATCCTTGGCCACCTTCCCCAAGGCAAGCTAGTCTATTCTTATTATTTTATTTGCCATTTGGACACTGACGACTCAGAAACAGGTATCTCTAGAACAGATTTCTCTACCTTTCTGACATATATTACAAATCTCCATTTGAATGAACCACAAGTATCCAAAACTCAACGTATCCAAGTATATGTAACTCATCATCTCCCCCTTTCTTCCTACAAAATCTATTCCTCTTTCAGTCTTATCTTAGTGAATTCAACCAGTTGCCTAAGCCAAAACCTCAGTTTCATCCTTCAGTCCACTTTTTTCCTCATCATTCTCCCCAAATCTACCAGAAAGTCCGGCTGACTCTATCTCTTAAATAGATCTCAAATCCATTTGCTTCTCACCATATCCACTATCATCACCCTAGCCCAAATCAAGCCCCCATCATCTCTCACCTGGTCTATTAAAATAGTTTCCTAACTTACCAACCTGTTTCTAGCCTTCCCTCCCTCCAATCTATCCTCCATATTACAGACAGAGTGATCTCTCTCCAAAATGCAGATTTTTATTCTTCTTTAAACAGAAAAAAACCATGTCTCTCCGCATATGCACGATTGTATACACCCAGAAAAGAAAGGGCCAGAAGGATAACCTCAAAACTACTAATTGTGGTTGTCCCTAGGAAGCAGGCCTGAGAGTGAGGGAGAAAAGAGGCTTTTTACACGTCTGTAATGTTTGAATTTTTCACAAGTACTACTTTTGTAATTAAAACTGAAAATTAAAAACAATAAAATATAAATCAGCTCATGTTGCTTTTCTTTTTTTTTTTAACATTTTCCTTAATCCCTGGGACCTGTAAAATATCGCTCTTCTGTTTAAAACTCTCTTTACCCTCAGTTCCTACTATCTAACTTGGCTTACAAGACATTTTATGATCTAACCACCCACTTCCTGCTTCCCTCTTTAGTCTCATGTCTTCCATATATGGATCTCTAGCTCTCCTAGTCTTCCTACCCTATTATCACAAGAACAACTAAAAAGAACCAAGAACAGAGCTTTGGGGAATGACACACACTTACGGGGCAGAAAGAAGAAAATACTATGATAAAGATTTTTTTTTAAAGAGGGATGGGATAATTAAAGATAATGGAAGAAAACCAGGGTAATAGAGCATTAAATAAAAGCCAAGGGAACAGAGAATTTTGAGAAGGTAGGAAATCTTGGAGCCGTCAACAGTGTTTGAGACTAAAATACTTCATAATCATTTTTATTGACAAGTTTACTGTTCCAACAAATACATTTTAGCAGCCCCCTAATAAGTTAATAATATCACCATCATGTATTCTTACTTCAAATTTCAAAACACAGCAGGCTCTAAGTTTAACAAAATAAAACTGGACTATTTTCAGCAATGAGAAACTAGAAAAACACTAAAACATTAAAATCAATGCAATATTTTAAAAGTACTCTTACTACTTTTAAAGAAAATCAGCAACTACATAAAGAGGACTATCAAATAAAAAGCAGAGCACTATATATGCATTTTGAACTTGTCTATAAGTTTAGCAATAGAACGCAGGTATTTCTTTAGCAATGACAAACTAGCTAATGATGATATCCTAAAGCCTTAAGACCAACATAATATTTTAAAGTATACTTTCACTACCTGTAAGGAGATACAGTGATTACTAACAAAGTATTAGTAATAAAGGTCCTGCTTGAGATATTCTTAAGGGCAAGAGCTCTGTCCCGTTCTCTGTGCCTGCTACATAAAAAGTTTCAGAAAAGTACTTGCTGAATAAATGGTTTGCCTTAATGTATGGGGTTCATATAATTTGCAAAATTCTGTTCACAATAAGGCTGCTAGGTTATGTCAAAACTATTTCAAGCAGTTTGAATAACTCTGAAATGCTGGTTGCAAGACTGTTCTCTGGATTCAGGGTAATAAGTCAACTCTGATCAGCTATATAAAAACAGCAACAGCAATTGGACTAGAAAAAGATGCTTCAACAAAAGTGTTCAGAATTTAAAACAGAAATAAAAATAAGTCTGCCAGGAATCGTTAGCAGAGGGTAAGCTAGATAGAATGTGGCATAAGGAATAAAGCAAGAGCATAGATTGACATTCCAGCTCTGATACTTCCTAGCTGAGTAATATTAATTTCTAAGTTGTACCTCCTTCTTTATTCTCTATAAAAATGAAGTTAACATGAGAACTAAAGTAAATAAAACAGTAAACAAAAGTCTGACAAATAACAGTTGTTCAATAACCATTAGCTTCCTCTAATCTACTGAAATCATAAGGGTAATTAGGCCCAGATATTTAACTTGAAAGAAAAAAAAAGTTTTAATCTATCAAATCAAGCAGAGAGAAGTTTGGACAGGTAGACATTCCAGAGGCCAGAGCTACAGATGTCAATTATAGAGGCATGACAGGCCATAGGACACTATCCTGACCAAAACTTTTGGTCAATGACTTAGATGAAAACTAGATGAGATATTCATCAAATGTACAAACTCCATGGAGTTAGGAAAGATAGCTAATGTATCAGATATTAGAGTTAGGAAAGATAACTAATATATCAGATAAGAGAATAAGTAGCTAAAATGAAAATAGGATCCAATCCCTTTTTTTATGGATGAGGAAAAAGGGATTGGACTTGTTCTGGATTTCACAGTTAACAAACAAAGGGTACAGGAACATATCATGGGCTAAAACAAACAAAACTAAATGATTTAATAGAAGTAAGCATTTATTCTTTGGTTCAAAATATTAACTGCACAAGAGCCAGAAGGGTATGTGTTTTAATAACAACATATCTGAAAGGGAATTTGAACTATTTGAAAGAGTTTTTTAGTAAGTCTCCTCATAACGAAAGTTACTCCAAAAAAGGAGGATACATGTTAGACTGTGCTAACAGCAATGTAATGTCCTGAATAAGAGATGTGATAGGCCCACTCTGCCCTGATCAGACTCCACCTGCATCTAACTCTCAATACCATAAGAAAAATGTAAACAAGTTTGAACAAGTCCCCAAAAATGTTTCAAAATATGTCAAATGAGAAATAGATGGAAGAGCTGGACATTTTTAACTTAAGGAAGACATGATTTGTGAGGCAAGATGGCCGGGCATGGTGGCTCATACCTGCAGTCCCAGTACTTTGGGAGGCCGAGGCAGGCGGATCACCTGAGGTCAGGAGTTCGAGGCCAGTTTGGCCAACATGGTGAAACTCCATCTCTACTAAAAATAAAAAAAATTAGCTGGATGTGGTGGTACACACCTGTAGTCCCAGCTACTTGGGAGGCTGAGCCAGGAGAATCCCTTGAACCAGGAGGTGGAGGCTGCAGTGAGCTGAGATCATGCCACTGCACTCCAGCCTGGATGACAGAGCAAGACTCCGTCTCCAAAAAGAAAAAAAAAAGATTTGTGAGGCAAGAGATCGCTAGGACAAACTGAGACACTGACTATCCTCAAATATTTGTAGAGGCTTAAGAGAACAGAAAGAGAACAAGCTAACAGAAAAAAAAAAAAAGAAATAGGCCAGGCACGGTGGCTCACACCTGTAATCCCAGCACTTTGAGAAGCCGAGGCGGGCAGATCACTTGAGGTCAGGAGTTAGAGATCAGCCTGGCCAACATGGTGAAACCTCATCTCTGGTAAAAATACAAAAATTAGCTGGGCGTCGTTGTGGGTGCCTGTAATTCCAGCTACTCGTGAGGCTGAGGCACAAGAATCACTTGAACCCAGGAGATAAGACTGCACCACTGCACTCCAAAATGGGCAACAGAGCGCAAGACTCCATCTCAAAAAATACATATATATACATTCAAGAAACAGCTTTCTAGACAACAAAGCTGCCCCAATTATGAGAGTCTACACTTACACTCCAAGCACGATAATAACAGAAATGAGGTTTCCTTCTCCTTTATTTCCTAGGGTCTGAAACATACTGTGTTTTTAAAATGTTGTTCTTGAAACTTCAGGAAATGTGTAGAGTAGTGGGTGGCCTTTCCCTAAAAATCAAGGACCAAGCAGAATCCAGAAATGCTTGAATGCTGCAGAATGAAATGGCAGTACAACCCAGAGACAGAAGGGCTCTCCCAGGATCCTACATTCACTGTCCATGGCAGCCCAATTAGTATATACTAACACTCAAACTATAAAAGGCAACAACATATTCCCTAAGTCAGAACCAAAACTCTAATGAGATCATCTATGTGTATCCAGGAAAAGAAGTAGCAGAGTACAGATCAAGTTAACTTCTTTCCTTCCCACCACCGTAATTTACCTTTCAACGAAGACAAGGTGTAACTACTGCTTTAAAAAATCTTAGCATATTTTACTGTTATGCTTGTTAATACCTATGGATTTCCCTTTGTATAAGAGTTAAAAACACTCTCCCCACAAGACGAACAAACAATGCTTGTTTAAGAAATAGCAGAATAAACAAAAAGTTGGACAAGGGCAATCCACTTCATAAACAACCTAGAAAGAAAAGAACCTCCCCCAAGACAGCAAGCAGTAGTAACTGGTATTAGGCCACACCTCTTTGAAAACGAATGCAAAAAGGGTAAACATGCTCCATAACAAATTCCCCAACCTCTCTGCATCCCCAAGGTACTGAAACCAAGTGTGTTATGCAGATTATTAATAGTTAAGATCACCTGACTTTACAATAAGATAAAACATCTTACTTGTTGCGCCAAGGCGACGTGTGTCTCTGGCAATATAATTTGCAAAGATAATAGACCTCATGCTGGTCTTACCAGACCCACTTTTACCCATCAACAGCACCTAAGGACAAAGTAGGGAAAAGGAAAGGAAAAAAGTTAGCAATCTAGAGCAAATCAAGTCTAAAGGGATCTATTTCTCTCCTGGATTTGATATTTTCCTGAACTGACAGTACCAACAACCTGGTGCGCATACTCACAACTAACTAAACTCTTCCCAACGAAGGGTGAATGCAGAGATACTTAGAATTCCAGGAGCCAGGTACTTACCTGTCACAGGACATACATCCTTTAGGTGACAGAATTACACTGAATTTATGCTATTAAGATGCACCATTAATATGTTCAGAAACAGGTTAGAAAAATACCAAGTTTAGAGGAAACTAAACCCTGTTCTATCATAACCCAATGTTTTGTTAACTGAATTACCTAGTAGAGGATTGCAACATAACTGAAAGTTCTTCCTCCTTCTGATCAAGGTCAATCTTTCCACCTCTGCCTTTGATCTCATCCCTTCTACTTACCTCTATGCTCTTATTCCATTTATTACTGTCCCTCCTTTTTCTTTTCAAAAGCTTCCCATGGCCTGCAGGATGAAGTCCTTAGACTACATATAAGACCCTCCTTGATCTAGTCTATTTACTTCTCATCCCTCATCTCCTGTCCCTCCTGGCCTGAAACTTTTAGCTTACAGCCACACTTAATTGAACTGCTGGTAGTCCCTCTGATTGTTCCCAGCCGTCTGGGAGGTCCTGCATCTGTGCCATTGTTTCACGCAGTACTCTCTGCCAGTAAACTATCCATTCTCTTTTCTTCCTTCAGCTAAATTGCAGTTATCCTTCAAGACTTGGTTCAGTAATCATTTTTGCAAGAAGATATTCTGAGTCTAATGCTCTAGGCTGACTTAAGTGTCTTACCTCTGTCCTCCCATGGCACTGTTATTTCATTGCAAAGACTATAATGCATTGCAGTTACTTATTTTGGGGGGTCTGTCCTTCTCTCTCAGAAGACTCTGTGCTCTGGAAGGGGAGAGAAAGTCCCCTCATACCTCCAGTGCCTAACATACAACAGATGCTCAAAGTATGTACATCAAAAGAACAAGCAAGTTATCAAAACAAATATAGAAAGCAAGAGAGTATCTGACAGTGAGAACTGTCCAAGGGAAAAGGTAGCCTCATGAAGGTAAGCAGCCTTCCTGTCAATGTCAGCATGTCACACAGAGAGCACTCGTCAATGATGTTCTATACTCTCGTACTAAAAGGGAATTTAGTAAAGTGACTTTTGAGAGTCCTTTCAAATCTAGAATTTATGAAATATAGTTCCAATTACCTTGCTTTCCTTTTCGTTCTTTCTTTTTTATTTTATTTTTTTTGAGACCAAGTCTCACTCTATCATCCAGGCTGGAGGGCTGTGGCATGATCTCAGCTCACTGCAACCTCCGCCTCCCGGGTTCAAGTGATTCTCATGCCTCAGCCACCCCACCTGAGCCCCCCACCTCAGCCATCCCATGCCTGGGATTACAGGCATGCACCATCATGTCCGGCTATTTTTTTTTTTTTTTTGGTATATTTAGTACAGACAGGGTTTTGCCATGTTGGCCAGGCTGATCTTGAACTCCTGGCCTCAAGTGATGCACCTGCCTCAGCCTCCCACAGTGCTGGGATTACAGGCATGAGCCACCGTGCCCAGCCTTAACTTGCTTTTCAAATGAAGGGAACCTATGTTCTACCTTCAATCCCAAGATATTTTATACAAATTTCTAATTACTAATATAAGAAGTATTGATGAAAATATACTACACTCAGACTTGATTTAATCTAAAAATGTAGCTATATAACTTTATCTCACTAAGGAAATGCCACTGCTGAGCCAGTCTAAAGTTGCTACAAAAAGTTTGCTTTTGTACTTTAAAATTTTAATTGAAAAACAATAACTCTTTATATTTAGGAGGTACAATGCAATGTTTGATATATGTATACAATGCAGAATGATTAAATCAAGCTAATTTTTGTTCTTAATCATGTAGAAATTTCTGTACTTTTAGGCATTCTCAATGAAAGCAACTTCAGACAGGCTCATCAAGAACATTCTCTTAGCAAACTGTAGTTACAGAACTGAATTATTAGATGAAGCTAAGGCTAAATATGGTACATTTCCTTCGGTTATTAATTTATACAGTGTACCTCTTTCAATTGCCTATGAAAGACTTACCAAGGCTAATCATGTTAGGTACTGATCTAAGTGTTCTACAGGCATTTACTAATTTAAACGTCACAACAATCTTACGATACAGTTAATATTATTACTACCATTTTACAAATGAGGAAACTGAAGCCCCAAAAGGTTAAGAAATTAGCTTGAGCTGCACTCTTAGCAATTCTGCCTAAACCCCAACGTAGGGCACAGTACTATGAGAGCACAAAGGAAGGTGTGTCCAATTCTATCTGAAGAACTCAATAAGACCTTATAGTGGTAACACTTGAGTTAGGTTAAAAATAAATGTGCAGACAGAGGCCTGTATGGTGTGTGTATATGGCTTACACAAAGTGCAAATTAATTTGTAAATCTGGAGAACAATAAATTCTGTAGGGCTGTGATAGGGTGCATAAGTGTGGCACAGGGTTTGGTCAGGAACAGATTTTAAAGGGCCATGAAATCATTTGGATTTTATTCCATGGGCTTAAAGAAGTTACTAAAGGTTCTTAAGTATGTAGATGACTCAGTCGGATTTTCATATTAGAAAAATTAAATCTGATAGCATACAAGGAGAAGAGAGTCAGACAGACCACACAGAAGGCTCCTGCAATAGTCCAGAAAAGATGGTGTATATATGTCACAAAGTTCCTGAATATCAACTTCTTACCTTTACCTTCATGGTTTTGACGTATCTAACACGTCTTACCTTTTTCTTCATGGCTGTATTTGGTAGCACCCACCTGCAGATATAAACCAAAAAACAGTTTCCATGATCCAATTCCCTTAGAAATTGAAATTAATGAAGTATAAATAAACATGGAGGTACAAAAGAGCATGTTTAGTACAACGGCTGAGTACAGCTGTGTGTGTGGGACCTCAGATGAATAGAGGTCCCATTTTCCTAAATTATAAAACTGTGTGTATACTCTCTATCTCCTAATTAGAAGTTCAAGAGAGAACTCCTAGGAAGATTTATTTAGGAATACAAATGAGCCATTAAAATTCAAGATTCAATTTTTCATCATCTTAATCAAAGCAACACAGCTGCTTTAATCAAACAATATCTTCTATTTCTAAAAAAACAGAATATATTGATATCCTCTACTTGAGGACTGAGTATTGAATATCTTCTATGTATAAAAAACATTCAGCCTCCTAATTTTAAAATCTGGAAGTATCTTTTTAGTCCTTCAGCTGTCCTTCCAAGCCCTATTTCACTCATCACAGACACAAAGTAGATGTAAGTCTCAAATTCAGGTACAAATTGGCACAGAAAACACCCTCAAGCTCTGACCTGGAAATGCAAATCTTCTTTCTAGTCTTTCCATCCCCAACCTGGTGACAGCAAATCTCCTTTACTGATAATTCAAAGCAACTCATAACTGCTTTAATTAGAACACTCCCCCAGCACCACCACCAGGAATATCAGCCCCTTCCCAAGGGTTGTTTCTGATCAGTTAGCACCAATTCGCTTTCCAGTTTATCCTGTCGTCCAAAGCATAATCCCAATCAACATTACTGGTAAATCAAAGCAATTTATCATGGTGCGGGGTGGGGAGAAGTGTTCTAATTCACAATACTCTCTTCAATTTGAACACCCCCACTTCCAGGTTTCACAAATACCCTTCACCCACCCAAGCGATCCTTCCGGTTCCCCTAGTGGTGGATCCATTCTCGGCCCCAGATTTTCTTTCTCCGTCGTTTTCTCAGAGTCAGATTCTTCCATTGCGCAACAAGTCCTTTCCAGTCCCTTCTAAATCTTCAGTACTCTTCAGGGTTTGTTGTTGTTGTTTGTTTGTTTTCTTTTTCACCCCTCAACTGCCTATTCTCATCGCCTATGGCCCTCAGGCCTGCTCTATTCTTGCCTCCGCCTTTGTCCACTGGGGGGCCGCTTTCCCCACGGTTACCTTTATCTCTCGAACCTGGCCTCAAGGCACGGCCGAGCTGGCTAGCTTTAAGGCCAAGTGATTCCGTGGTACAAAGTAAGAGTTGGAGAATGACAGGAAAAGAGAGGTGGGTTAGGGGTTCGTCCCGAGTTTGGGCCTCAGGCCCCCAAGGTCTGGAAACCCAAAGGTAACTTCACCCGCAAAGAGGTGAGGACCGCGAAGGCGGAGGTGGCAGAAAGAGCTGACCCATGCCGTAGGCACTAAGCGGAGAACGCCTCAGCTGGCTCGTGGCTTCCGAGCCCGGCCGCTCGGAGAGTCAGCCGGCGGGGGCAGTAGTTACGACCTAACCACCCGCCCTTCAGGAACCCAGGTATCTCACCGCAGCCACCCAACTGCAGGCCAGGATCACGTGGGCATCTGCCTTACCCCGGAGTCTGTCACGTGACTGCCGCTACCAAAGGGACGGGTGGGCTGGGAAGAATACCATAGAGACAGCTCCAGGAAAGCCAGAGTGCCGTCTGTCATCATCACGTGGCCTTGGCTCAGGCTCCGCCCCTCGGGCGGGGTAGGGCGCTGGGAGCCTTCAGCCTCTCTAATGTGGGTGGGCCTGGCCCCACCCATCCGCTATGGAGAATTAAAGGAGCCGGTTGCAATTTCAGTGCCTCTGAGCTTCTCTTTTTTACTGCTGGTTACCGGTAATGGTTTTTGACTGGGAAGACCGAGCATTGTCTTTGCCTTCCTGCTTTTTATTGTTAATTCTTGCAATCGAGTTTGTAATTAAATGATTAATACATCCAAAGCGCTTAGAACTGTGTCTTCCACATAGCAAATACTGTATAAATTATCGTTATTGCTGAAACCAGGGATTCATCAGGAATTTTAACACACACATTCATCTTCCCACTTGTTTAAAACAGGAAGTGAAGGAAGTACCATAGTAAGAAGTCAATAAATAAAGTCTAGGGCTGGGAGTGGTGGGTCATGCCTTTAATCCCAGCACTTTGGGAGGCTGGGGAGGGAGGATCACTTGAGGCCAGGAGTTCAAGACCAACCTGGCCAACATAGCGAGACCCCATCTGTAAATAAGTGAAGTCTAGAATTGAGAACAGAAAGACTACTGGTAGGGATATGCACACCAGGAAAAATGCCCAGAGGGGTTCAAAGATGTTCCTTCTGGAGAATGGGGTAGGGGATAGGACGTGATATGTCAGGGGACTATTATTTTTTATCTGAAGCCCTTCTGTGCTATATATATTTCTATAATGTATAAATGATATATAATAATAAGATTAATATGACATTTAATTATATTTAATATAATCAACTAATACTTAAATAATATGTTATAAATATGTTATTTTAAATAAATGTGTAGTTTAATTATATTATTTATAATTAATATATGATATACTACATGTATTATTTACACGTAAGTGTGTACATATATTACTTTGATAAGAAAAAAAGGGAAGGAAGGAAGAGAAACTGCAGGAAACAGAGTACTATTATTGAAACTGCCTTTGCAAAAACTGTAACTGAGGAAATTATGACAGTGAAAGAGATCAGACCTCACCGACTCCATCTTACATCTAACCTTTAAGGTGTCCTTGTTCATTCCTGGGCGTAGGCCGAACTAACCTTGGGAAGGAATTTAGTTTATAGTTTAACTCTGATACAAAATTGATAATAGCCCTTTCTCCCTCCCGCTGCCCCCCACTAAAAAAAAACAAAAAAACAAAAAAACCTTCTTACCTGGGAACCAGTCGGCCTTTGCAGGACTAACAAATTAGCCACAAGATTACAAGATTAGAAATTACAATTCAGGGGCCATGCAGCCTCCAGCTGCAAGAGTCTGAACCTCCCCAAATTGCTCCCAGGAATAACATCACTGTTTTAAAACCTAAGATCACTGTTTGATATGTTTTGCAGACCCTGCATTCAGATGCACCAGCTTATGATACAGGAGCGGGGCAGGAAAGTGCTGGGCAGAGAAAGGCGGGTCCGTGGCTAGGGCTCCACCCTGGGGCCTGTGCCCATGGACCTAGGTGAGGATAGGCACTCCTGCCTTCCCACCCAAATGTTATATTCACCCCTAGAGGTTGCCATGGGGTCGGAGCCCCACAGCCTGCCCCTCTGCATGCTCCCCCTAGAGGTTGTGAAGCAGTGAGCCACTCCCGCTGTGGCATGCCCTGCAAGGGGGATAGGGGAACTTCCCTCGTTTCACTTACAGCACCCAGACCAGTAATCTGGCCCAGCCAGTTCTGCGATCCCACCCAGGAACAGAAGATAGCAAGAAAAACTCACTTAGAGCCCCCTATGATTCCATATCCAACTTGACCAGTCAACACTCCCCACTTCCCAAGCCCCTACCCACCAAATTATTGTTAAAAATTTCAATCCCCCGAAACTGATTTGAGTAATAAAACTGCAGTCTCACCCACAGCTGGCTCTGCATGAATTACTCTTTCTCCATTGCAATTCCCCTGTCTTGATAAATCAGCTCTGTCTAGGCAGCAGGCAAGGTGAACCCGTTGGGCAGTTACACTGTCTGCTCCCACACTTTCCACTTGAGGTCCTGTGTGATTCCTTTTCTCCACAACTGCCTTGCCTCAAGAAAAAAGTTATTCTACTCTGATTAGTGATCCTTCGCTCTATCACTAGCTAATCTTTTGTCTCCTTCCAACCAACTACCCCCAAACAAGCTTCCATTCTGGCTTTCCTTGTCTGATGAAAGATCCTGAGTCCCAAACCAGGAAGTCACCTTAGATTCACTGCCCTCCATACGTGTCAATGAGACCAGGTCATGATCAGTCTATTTTCTACTACCTGCCTGCTCTTATTCTTACTGCCACTCTTTTTGTTCCAGCTATCATAATCTCTGGCCTAGATATCCACAATAGCCTACTAAGTGATTTTCCCACAGTGGCAGCTCCAAAGGGGTTGGGAGTGAGTGAGTTGATCTTCATTAGTCATCTCATCCCCCAAAACATTTGACGTAATTAATATGTGCTTGCTTTCTAAAGGCAGCTTTCAAATATGTCTTCCAACACCTACTGCCCCCGGGCTTCACCAGCCAAATTGGCCCCTTAAACCACTCTTTTATAAAAATGTACTGTCTCGGCCAGGTGCAGTGGCTTACACCTGTAATCCCAGCACTTTGGGAGGCCAAAGTGGGCGAATCACCTGAGGTCAGGAGTTCGATACCAGCCTGGCCAACATAGTGAAACCTCATCTGTACTAAAACTACAAAAATTAGCCAGGTGTGGTGGCACGCGCCTATAATCCCAGCTACTCGGGAGGCTGAGGCAGGAGAATTGCTTGAACTCAGGAGGCGGAGGTTGCAGTGAGCCAAGATCGCACCACTGCACTCCAACCTGGGCGACAAAGCAAGCAAAAAAAAAATACTGTCTCCCTGTTGCTGCTGGTATCCTTTTCCCCCTCCTTCAAACCATCCATCCTCTCTAAAAGCTGCTCAAGTGATCCTTTATTTTAATTAATTAATTAACTAGTTTTTGTTGAGACTGGGTCTCACTTTGTTGCCAGACTCAAACTCCTGGCCTCAAGGGATCTGCCCACCTTGGCCTCCCAAGGTGCTGGGATTACAGGTGCGATCAAATTTCTTTTTATCGTCGTTGTAGTTGTTGTTGTTCTTGTTGTTTTTGAGACAGGGTTTTGCTCTCTGACCCAAGCTGGAGTACAGTGGCACAATCATGGCTCACTGCAACCTCAACTTGAGTAATCTTTTAAACCACAAATCGGAGGAGACTACTTCTCTACTTTAAAATCCTCCCATAACTTAAGGAAAAAGTGTGTCAATACAAGGACCTTCAAGATCTGGCCTATAGCAACTCACGAGCTATATTTCTCTACCCACATTCACTACCTCACAAGCTTCATAAGGAACTGCTGATAGTTGCCTCAAAGTGCCAAGAGGCAAGAAGTAAGAAGAGGAAGAAACAGATAAAGAAGGGGAGGGGAGGGATGAAGAAGAAAAGGGGGAGAAGTGGGGAGATGGGAAAGAGGGAAGGAATAGAGGGGTAAGGAGAAGAGGAAAAAGGAGGAAGAGGGGTAGAAGGAAGGGAATGGAAGAAAGGTAGTGGAAAAGGATTGAGAAACTAAATCAAATAAGCATAGATTCCAAATAATGGTGAATAGGGCCAATGTGCAGTGCATTCCTATTGTAAATCAAAAATAAAATACCAAGGTTCCTCAACCATTTGAATGTGCTTTCTCCTCGGCCAGGGCACTCTTTAAAAATGTATCCTGAGTGACTTTCTGGCCATGACAGGAAGTAGGGGTCAAACATGCCTCATTATATTTCTCCAGCTTTAACATCAACACAGACCTTTAAATCTGATAAGAAGCATTTACATTCTATTCTTTCTGAACCTGCAGGCTTCCTGCATGATTAAACTTTAGTCTCCACAACCTCTTATCTTAACCCAAACATTCCTTTCTATTGATCCTAGGTCTTTAAACTCAACCAATTGTCAACCAGAAATTTTTTCAATCTACCTATAAGCTGGAAGCCCCCCTCCCACCCCCACTCCGAGTTGTCCCACCTTTCTGGGCCAAACCCATATATTTCTTACATGTATTTGACTGAAGTCCCTTGTCTCCCTAAAATGTATAAAACCAAGCTGCACCGCAGCCACCTTGGGCACTTGTTTTCAGGATCTCCTGAGGACTGTATCACAGGCCATGGTCACTCCTATTTGGCTCAGAATAAATCTCATCAAATGTTTTCCAGAGTTTGACTCTTTGTTGACACTATATAGTCCAGCAGTTCAGATTCTGGTTTCTACCCAGGTACCTTTGGCTGCTTATTTTTCACATTTTTATTCTTAAAAAAAAAAAAACCCTTACATACATAGGAAGCGGAGGTCACTTTTTATTTTTGTTGAATTAATTTTTAAACATTTAATTATAGGTTCTTTTCAGAAAGTGTGAACTAAGCTCTATTACTCACACATTCATTCAACAAATGTTTATTGAGCAGCCTTTCGGTGCCAGGAACTGTGTTGGACAGCAGGGATACAAACATCACTCTATTTCAGGTTCCACTGCCTGTCAGATGCTTCTGTCTTAACACCTCAGCTCCACTATACTCACACAAACATCAGCATTCCCTTTGTCTAGATCCCAACACATATATTTTTTTAACCATCCATCTCAGCAAGAAAAAGTAATACAGGCCCCCAACAAATCCTTTAATAAGTTTCATTTTATGCCCTAAATTCAATCTAGTTACCTGTATCTGCAAACATACTCCTGAGTCTCCAATACTCAAACTGTCACTCATAAGTTGCCTGCCCTTCTCCTCCTCCACCTTTCCCTTCTTCCTCTTTTTCCATAGCTCACTGCTACTTCCCAGAGCTCCTTAAGTTTACTCCTACATACTGCTAGCAGCTCTTTTCTCCCCATTCCCACATCATGGCTTAAAATATCACAAAATGTTCTATTTAACAAGATTTAACGACTTGATTGATGAAAACTTAATGTGGGGACTTTCAGTTTCCAATCCTACATATAAGGAGCTTAAAAGTCACCACTCCATGTTAACAATAAGTAAAAAACTGAACAAACTGAAAAATCAACAATTAGTCTTAATTCCTTTAGAGAAGTGAGGCCACAGGACACACAGCTGCTGCCAGAATTGGGGAGAGAGGCAAATACAGATAATGACAAGTTTCCAGACCAAAATTCCATGAGCAGAAGCCTCCATGGGAGCCATTACCTAGGTAGAAAAACCTGAACTGTCAGAGGTATTTGAACCAGAGCAACTCCATCTTTAGTAGGGGCTGGGTAGAATAAGGCTGAGACCTGCTGGGCTGCATTCCCAGACAATTAAGGCATTCTAAGTTACAGGATGAGATACAAGGTCAGCACAAGATACAGGTCATAAAGACCTTGCTGATAAAACAGGTGGCATTAAAGAAGCCGGTTAAAACTCACCAAAACAAAGATGGTGACGAGAGTGACCTCTGGTTGCCCTCACTGCTACACCAACCAGCACCATGACAGTTTACAAATGGCATGGCAATGTCAGGAAGTTACTCTATAAGGTCTAAACAGGGGATGCATGAATAATCCACCCCTTGTTTAGCATATCATCAAGAAATAACCATAAAAATGGGCAACCAGTGCCCCTTGGGACTGCTCTGTCTATGGAGTAGCCGTTCTTTTATTACTTTACTTTCCTAATATCTTGCTTTCACTTTATGGACTTGTCCTGAATTTTTTCTTACAACCACCAAAGGGACTATACTGCAGAAACACCTAACCCAAAGACTAACTTTGGGTAAGTGGTGGGGTCTAGTAACATCTTTTTGACAAACCTCGAAGGGACAATACTGAAGAAACAACCCGACCAAAAGGAAATAAACTGCAGCACTGATTGTCCCATTTTGGGTAAGTGGTGGGGTACCCAGGTAAAGGACGCGATTGGGTTAGAGGCCCAATTTAGAGGAGTTAAAGTCTCTCATAAGACAGAGTGGGTTAGAGGCCCCTCTTAATAAAAGGCAAGGACACTTGACCAACCTTGGGTTAGAGGCCCAACTTAGGAAAATTAGGTTCCCTTCTAAGACTTAGGGGGTTAGAGGCTCCTCTCAGTAAATTCCCTTTTGGCTAAGAATGAGTTTGGCACTACAGGATGTTAACTGCTATTATCTTTGGAATAATCTGCCTTGCACCCTTTGCTGTGGGTGACAGGATTAGGCATGTACAGGATAGTGGGATATGGGGGGCTTTTTTCTCCCCAAAAACGAGAAAGTTGAGAGCTGATGGGACTGCTGGAAAATATGCCTTCACAACTGAAAAGCGCCCATCTGAACTTTTGATTCAGTGTGGCTGCAGGGGGTGGGTCTTTTGCTTTACCTCCCTGAGTTCTTCACCTTCCCCACCCTGCCACAGGCAATGCTTTTCTTTCTCTCCCTTCTCTTTCCTATCTTTTCTATTACTCAGGGTGACCATCTTGCCCAGAGACCACAAGTTGAAACTCCTGGTCAGAGGTTGGATTAATGATAATGGGGCCCAACCAGGGGCAAGTTTGGGCCTTGCCAGTTTGATATTGCACAGTGGCTAATGTCTATG